>NC_000006.12:38544848-38847878 GCF_000001405.40 Homo sapiens
CCCAGGAGGCAGAGGTTGCAGTGAGCCAAGACCGTGCCATTGCACTCCAGCCTGGGAAACAAGAACAAAACTACATCTCAAAAAAAAAAAAAAAAAAAAAAAAAAAAAGAAGACTGATAAGGGGAGATGGTTGTAGGAGATGAAGCCTGAGAGGTAAGAGGAAGCCAGATCATGTAGGGCACTGCAGAACATTCAAGAAGTTTGACTTTTACCCTGAGATGAGGAATGACTGGACAGTTTTTGTTTGTTTGTTTGTTTTTTGAGACAGAGTCTTGCACTGTCTCCCAGGCTGGAGTGTGGAGGCGCAATCTCAGCTCACTGCAACCTCCGCCTCCCGGGTTCAAGCAATTCTCCTACCTCAGCCTCCCAAGTAGCTGGGATTACAGGCATGTGCCACCACAACCAAGTAAATTTTGTATTTTCAATAGAGACAGGTTTCACACTGTTGGCCAGGCTGGTCTTGATCTCTTGACCTCTGGTGATTACAGGCGTGAGCCACCATGTCCGGCCATGACTGGACAGTTTTAAGGAGGCTTTGACTTATGTTTAAAAAGGAACAATCTCTGGGTTTAGATAGCGGCGATGGCTGCAGAACTTTGGGAATATACTAAGAAACACTGAATTGCACACTTTAAAAGAATGAATTTTAGGCTGGGCGCAATGGCTCATGCCTGTAATCCCAGCACTTTGGGAGGCGGAGGTGGGCAAATCACGAGGTCAGGAGATCGAGACCATCCTGGCTAACATGGTGAAACCCCGTCTCTACTAAAAATACAAAAAATTAGCTGGGCGTGGTGGCGGGCACCTGTAGTCCCAGCTACTCGGGAGGCTGAGGCAGGAGAATGACGTGAACCCAGGAGGCAGAGCTTGCAGTGAGCCGAGATCGAGCCACTGCACTCCAGCCTGGGTGACAGAGTGAGACTCCGTCTCAAAAAAAAAAAAAAAAAAAAGAATGAATTTTATATGTGACTAATGCTTTAATATTTAAAACACACACACACACACATACACACACACACACACACACACACACACACACACACACACACACACTGCTCCAGGGGTTTGAGAACAGACTATAGGAATGTGAGAATGGCAGCAGGCAGACCAGGTATCAAGCCACTGCAATAATCTAACAGAGAAGGTGATGGCTTGCATCAGGTAGTAGCTAGTGGATATGGTAAGAAGTGGTTCCAATTCTCTATATATTCTGAAGGCAGGGCCCCTAGGATTTGCTGATGGATTAGATGTGGTACATGAGAAAAAGGGATGTAGGATGACACAAAGGTTCTATCCGATGAGTTTTCTCTTTCCTGATATAGGCCTTGCCCCTTCCTGTTAGACTTTCTTGTTCTTCCTGCCTGGAATATTGACAAAGGGCTGGAGATGGATCTACAAGGACAAGAATGAGGACAAATGCCAACATACCAAGAATATCAGAGTGGAAAGACAGAAATAACCTGGCTTCTGAAGGTACTGTTGAATTCCTATACCAACCTATCATCTAATAAGAATAAACACCTCAATTATTTAAGCCAAAATTTCCTGTGATTTGTACTAAAATGTATCCCTAATTGATATACATGGTGATTTTTTTAATGCAAATATACTTCATTCTATTTGTCTTTGATTTATGACACTGCAGATACTGTGTTTTTCAAAAATTGAAGGTCTGCAGCAACTCCATTTTGAGCAAGTATATTAGCACTATATTTCCAACAGTGTATGCTTGCTTCATAACTCTGTCACGTTTCAGTAACTCTTGCAATATTTCAAACCTTTTCATTATTATTATATCTGTTACGATACTGTTTTGTTTGTTTGTTTTATTTTGTTTTGAGACGGAGTCTCGCTCTGTTAGCCAGGCTGGAGTGCAGTGACATGATCTTGGCTCACCGCAACCTCCACCTCCCAGGTTCAAGTGATTCTCCTGCCTCAGCCTCCCAGATAGCTGGGATTACAGGTGCCCACCACCATGCCCAGCTAATCTTGTATTTTTAGTAGAGATGGGGTTTCATCATGTTGGTCAGACTGGTCTCGAACTCCCGACCTCAGGCGATCCACCCACCTCAGCCTCCCAAGTGTTGGGATTACAGGCATGAGCCACTGCAATCAGCCTATGGTGATCTGTTATCAGTGTTCTTTGATGTTACCATTGTAATTGTATCTGGGGCGTCACGAGCCTCATCCATATAAAATGGTGAACTTAATGGATAAATGTTGCTCCATTTATCTGATTGCTCCATCAACTGGCTGTTCCCCCATGTCCCTCTCTCTCCTTGGGCCTCCCTATTCCCTGAAACATGACAATATTGAAAGTAGGCCAATTAATAATGTGACAATGTCCTCTAAGTGCTCAAGTGAAAGGAAGAGTGACACATCTCTCACTGAGCAATATGGCAAAACCTTGTCTCTACAAAAAATACAAATAATTAGCTGGGCGTGGTGGCACATGCCAGTAGTTCCAGCTACTCAGGAGGCTGAGGTGGGAGGATCGCTTAAGCCTGGGAGGTCGAGGCTGCAGTGAGCCATGATCATGATGCTGCACTCCAATCTGGGTGACAGAGCAAGACCCTGTCTCAAAAAAATAAGATAAAATAAATATAAACCTGCTAAAACAAATCCTTTAATAGCTTCTCCTTGTTCTCATAATAAAGTTCAAAATCCACAACAATTTCACCTTCTCTATCCTTGTTTACTTGCTCCATCCACATTGTCCAACCTTTTGCTTTTCTCAGTTCTTTGAACCCATCAAGTTCCTTCTCATCTCAGGGTCTCTGTACGTGCTGTTCCTTCATCCGTTCATGCTGTTCCTTCATCCTGCACCACCTCTCCTTCTCCTCCACCTGGTTACCTCCTGTCTTTCCTCAGGTCTCAGCTTAAACATCATTTCCTCAGGGAGGACCTCTCAGAGAATCCTGAACTTCACAGCACATATCATATGATAAGTGAAATGGTAGAATTAGCTACATGATTCCTTATTTATTATCCATCTTCACTACTAAAATATAAGCTCCTTAGTGGCAGGGACTTTTTCTGTCTTATTAATATTATCTGGCACACTGTAGACTTTCAGTAATTATGTGTTAAATGAATACATGAATGAAGTTTCTTTTCCATTGTGAAAATTTTGCTAGGTTCTAAGGAGTTAAAAAGAAAAACATTCCCACCCACACAGCAATACTTCAAATTTTCAAATTTTGCAGTGTAAATTACATAAAACACTATTATACCCTTATTTTTTATACTCATTTAGTTACCTCTGATTCAAAATTATGTTTCTTTGCAGCAAATCTATAAGTATACTATTCTCTAGAAACACATCAAAAACATTTATATGTTATATTTTCAGTAAGAAGTGATAGGATTACTTCAATTTCACTCATTTTCACTCCACCAAAATGGTACAGATTTTCCAGGCTGAAACAATTCATTTCCCTTTCATTTACACACTTATCTGTGAAGGCGGCATGAAGTATGCCATTGGAATCATCTCTCTTCGAAGTCTATTACGTATGCTTTGTAATTTACTGAAAATTGAAATCATCAGTAATCATTTCTTCCTGTTCTCTTTTCGGGCTAGAGTTCTTTTTTTGTAGAGCTTTCTTTTCAGGTTTTGCCAACACATTTTTTCAAGTCATTTTTCCTTTTCCTTTAAAATGAAAATGTGCCTACAAAGTTCAAAATCGTGCATTCCTAGATGGCATCTTGGAAGAAAGAATAGAGCAATTTCAAAGCAAAATATCTATTTTTTTTCCCAACTCACGCATTAATCTTTCCCTAGAGATATGTAAATAGGTAAAGAAGTGAGGTCCATACATAAAAAGAAACAGTGTACTAAGATGTTTACCTGAAAACCACACTATAATTCAAATATTGTTAAGGGTCATTGTCAATATGTTTAGGCCAAGAGCACAATCTACTTTTAAACTGTTGTAACCTGATAAAAGGGACAAAAGTTTGACACAGTATTCCTCTAAAGAGAGCAATGTAAAAAGATGAGCAATAAATCCATAAGGAAATGGATACAGCCAGGCAGAAATTATAGAAAAGGCACCAGGAAAAAATCAATAACTGCAGAAAGGGACAAGAGAACCCATGGGTAAAGGTGACTTGTAAATTCTAAGGATTTAAGATCTTTTAGAGGATTTTCATTAGATTGGGCTGTTTTTCCCCAAATCTAGCCTCTCAGTATAAATAAGTGAAGGCTATCTTCTTAACCAGAAGTTCACAATATTTTTTAAAAGTAACCTACAATGTGACTCCTTTTAATGCTCAGTTTCATAAAAATGCCTTGCACTTCAGAGACATTCATAAAACATCCCTCAGTATTCCAATGAGCTATGAACGCTGGTAAGATAAAACATGATGCTAAATCCCAGTTATTTACCTGTAAGGTTCTCTTTATGAATCTCTATCACCCAACCAGCTATTATGGTTAAATAGATAATGGATATAAAACACTCAACACTGTGCTAGCACAGAAGCACTCAAGATATATTAGCTATCTTTTGTTCCCATGGCATTGCCCCAAGTCTTAGGAAATGTGATGTCTCTAAACTGAGAGCCCTGGTAACCTGCTTTGGAGGGCAGTATGTTTGTCCCCAAACAGGCTGGCTCAGTATTTTTGCTTACTATTTGAGAATCAAGAAGAAAGTAAGATTTCAGTAGGTCCTCACTTAGGAACTGTCAAACGAAAGGAGAAAAGCAATCCAAAATGACAGCTGTCAGGAGAGGGAAAAAAAAAAATCTTAGTGGTAATAACAAGGTTTCTGCAAAAATAACTTTTCCCAGACAGTTGACACCAGAAGTGACTGTGCAGCTAAGCCTTCAGAGTAGGGAACCACCCTACTGCTTTCCTTTCTTTCACAAGTAAGTTTCTCAAAATAGTTGTCTATACATGCTGTTCCCAGTCCCTCTCTCCATTTTGAACCTACTCCTATTCAGCTTTCCTCCCACCACTCCTCTAAAACTGCTTCTCAAGGGCATTCAGGATCTCCATTTTGCCAAATCCAGTCATCAATCATCAGTTTTAATCTTACATGACCTCTTGGCACCCGACACAGTTGATCACTCCATCCTCTGTGAAAACACTTCCCTGCTTGGCTTTCAAGAAACTATCCTCGCTGAGCCACCACTTTGTCCCTGCCTCACAGGCAGCTCTTTCTCAGTCTTGTGTACCGGATCTTCCTCTGTACCTCATCCAGTCTCATGGCTTAATAACTTCTAAATTTATGTATCCAGCGCAGACTTCTCCCTTGGACGTTAGACATATATTCAACTTCCTCTTCAACATCTCTACCTAGACATCTAAAAGGCATCTCAGATCTAAAATGTTCAAACTGAGGTATTCCAAAACCTATTCTTCACATTCTTCACTGTCCTTATCTCAGTCTAACATAGTTCTATCCTTTCAGTTGTTCAGGCCAAAACTCTTGATATCATCCTTGATTTCTTTTTCTTTTTCTTTTTTCTTTTTTTTTTTTGAGATGTTGCCTCGCTCTGTCGCCCAGGCTGGAGTGCAGTGGTGTGATCTCGGCTCACTGCAACCTATGCCTCCCGGGTTCAAGTGATTCTCCTGCCTCAGCCTCCCAAGTAGCTGGGACTACAGGCACATGCCACCACACCCGGCTAATTTTTTGTATTTTTAGTAGAGATGGTGTTTCACTGTGTTAGCCAGGATGGTCTCAATCTCCTGACCTCATGATCTGCCCACCTCAGCCTCCCAAAGTGCTGGGATTATAGGCATGAGCCACCGTGCCCAGCCTCTTTTTTTTCTTACCCCATATCAAATCTATTAGCTAATGCCACTGGCTCTACCTTTAAAATATGGCAGAATCTAAAGCAATCCCTACCTCCACTGCTTCTACCCTCATCCAAGCCACCACTATCTTTTGTCTAAATTATTCTTGTTAGAATGTGTCTGCCCTTATACAACCTATGGTCTACCTAGTAGTTAGAACAATCAAATCACAGGATTCCTTGGCTCAATACCCTCCAGTGGCTGTCAATCTCACTCAACCAAGCGCTCTGCAACCTGGCCCCATTTCTTTTCTGACACCGTCTTATACTACTTTCTCTTCAGCTTCAGCCCTAGTGCCCTCCTTACTATTCCAGGAGCATACCAGAGCCAGTTGCTGTTCCCTCAGCCTGGAACACTCTTTGCCCACATTGGCTTGTTCATTAATCTTCAGGTCTTTACTCAGATGTCACCTTTATAATGAGGCCTTGCCTATTTGAAATTGCAAACCCACCCCATAAACATCCTCTTCCCTGCTTTATTTATTTTGTTGTCTCTCTCTCCCCAGTAGAACATAATTTCTATGAAGACAGACATGTTGTCCAATCTGTACTTCACTGAATCTTCAATACCTACAATACTCAGGTTATTCAGACTGGTCTGGGAATCTTCAGAGTGAAGACAATGCTCAGGCATCAGGCAGGGCGATGTTCACTCCGGGCAAAGGGCATACCATGTTTAAAGATACAGAACAATGAACTAGCACAGTGTACACTTGGAATCTAGAAGCAGTTTGGTTTGGTTGGAGCTTAGGGTTTCAGCAGGAAATGAGACTAGCAAAGTAGGCCGGGATCTAACACTTACTAAGTGTTACCCTACTCTAGGCATTGTTTTAATCCCTTTATATTATTCTTATGCAATTTAAACATCATAGCAAACCTTCTCCTACAAAGAAGCCACTATTGTTATTTCCATTTTATAGACGTGCAGACTGAAGACAGAGAGGGTAAGTAACTTGGCCAAAAATCACTCAGCTAATAAAGGAAAGCCAAATTCAAAGCCAGGCAGACTGACTCTAGAACTGCACCCTGAACCAATACACTATATTGCCTCTGTGCTATGGATCTTGGGTTTCATGGTATAGACAAGGAGGAGCCACTCAAAGGTTTTACACCGGCAAACAATAGGTTTAGTCTGCATTTTAGGATCACAGCAATGTGGAGAACGGATTAGAAAAGTGTAAAGAGACCTGCAAGGTCCAAGCTATAGAGATGTTGAAGGCAGGGTTTAAGGCAGCAGTATAAAGAAAGGAAGACTTTACAGACACCCAGGAAGATTTTATAAACACCCAGAATGTAGAAATTATTAGGGATTTTAAGAGTGTGGTGGCTGAAGACCCAGGAATTCCTGCTCTGCCATTTACCATTCTCTCCATATGCATTTACATTTACAGAAAATAAGAAATCACAAGCTGAATGAAAATCAAAGTATGATACTATGAGGTGGCTCAGCATCTAAATACCACAGAGCAGGAATACAGTAAAACTGGACTGGAACATTTGGCTTAGGATCAAGATGCAATTAAGGGCCTCTATCTTAAGTCCAATTCTGTATCTTGGGATTTTCCTATCTTCAGGCCAACAACACAGTATAGAAATCGGAAGCAGTGTCCAGCATACTTAGGCTTACATGCAAAGAGAGAACAAGAATGAGACACAGAATGAATGCCTGGGTTGCACAAAGTGTTCTGGTTGAACTTACTACACTGACTATATGGAAAGAGGAAGTATAAAAGTAGTCCAGAAAGAGGAAGTAATGGCAGGACTAACTCATCGCAAGATACTCTCAAGAAGAAGAGTAAGATGGCAAGGCTGGCCCAATCTCAAAGATTAATGAAAAAATAAAAATGGGCCGGGCACAGTGGCTCAGGCCTGTAATCCCAGCACTTTGGGAGGATCACCTGACGTCAAGAGTTCGAGACCAGGCTGGCCAACATGGTGAAACCTCGTCTCTACCAAAAATACAAAAATTAGCCGGGTGTGGTGGCTGGAGCCTGTCATCCTAGCTACTCGGGAGGCTGAGGTAGGAGAATTGCTTGAACCCAGGAGGCGGAGGTTGTAGTGAGCCAAGGTCATGCCACTGCACTCCAGAAAAGAAAAGAAAAAGAAAAAAAAAAAAAAGAAAGAGGGCTGTATGGCTGCATGGTAAATATAGCCTGATCAATATCCTGGACTCTGACTAATTAGGTTAGCATAATGTTAATATATGTTTGTCCCTTTGTATGCATGGGGGATTGGTTCCAGGACCCCCAAACCCCCACCAAGGATATCAAAATCTACAGATGCTCAAGTACCTTACATCAAATGGCACAGTATTTGTATAGTATAACCTACACACAACCTTCTGTACACATTTTTTTCTTCAATCCACATCAGTCAAATCCTGCATACTTTAAATCACCTCTAGATTACTTATACCTAACACAATGTAAATGCTATGTATATAGTTGGTGCACTGTATTGTTTTTCATATTTGTTTTTTAAATTGTATTGTTATTTTTATTGTCTTTTTTTCCCCAAATATTTTCAATCTGCAGTTGGTTCTATCTGTGGATACACACAGCTGACTGTATCAGAAAAGCCATCAGACCCTAAGTATGATGAAAATGAAGGGGGCAGAAGACAAACTGGATTACCACACCATGATGGGTCAATCTGAAAGTCAAATTAATGCCAAGATTGTGGTGAGGGGAATATAATTTCACTTGATATTGATTAGATTTGGAGGGGGCAGGCTGGTCACTAAAACAGATCCAACACAAAGCTGTCATCTTAGCCAGCTTAACTTAATTCTAGCATCTTTAAGCCTGATGTTTTGAGTGTTGGAAAAGAACAAACTGGTTATCCCTTACACTATATTCCCTAATACTAGTTGAGGAGTGACCTCTCTAAAAGATCAAGAGCAAAAAGTCTTTTTAAAAGATTCTAGACAATGTAGGATACTCTTTGCCATAAGAGCCAAAGCCAACAGAAATAATCCTTCCACCCTTGGGAAAAGAGATAATGGCAAGACTTCTCGTTAATAATCTAGCTAAATGATAGAACTTAAAAGATCTTTGACTAGCTGAGTGTTGTGGCATGTGTAGTCCCAGCTACTTGGGAGGCTGAGGTGGGAAGATCAGTAGAGCCCAGCAGTTCAAGGCTGCAGTGAGCTATGACCATGCCACTGCACTCCAGTCTGGGTGACAGAGCGAAACCTTGTCCCTTAAAAAAAAAAAAAATCTAAGACTGATTACTAAACCATTGGGAACAGGAAGTTCTGGGTTCAATGAATTTCTATATATTTTTTCATACTGGACACATGAAAGACATTAAACAAAACACACTATTTACTAGTTTAGCCGTCTCAGTGTCAACTTTTCAACATTTTGATGAAAATTTTGATCATACTAATAAAAGAAACCATATGGTATTGAATATTTTCAGCATCTAAGAAGGTAAATCTCAGAGTCAAATCCTCAGACAAACATAAATTAAGATTTATGGCTAGCATGATATATGAGCTACATGATTTGCCATAAAATAGAGAAGAAGGAGTCAGTCACACATCATACTTTTGAGTGAAAAGCAATCTCACAACTATTAAGAGATTCATGATGTGCCTGTCACACAGATGCTATAGACAGCCACACAAATCCTGTGAATGTTTTGTCCCCAGATCAAGGGACTTATCTCAACTATACAGTGACTAATTCAACCCCTCTCAGAGGAATGAACTTTTCCAATAAAAGAAAAATAAATGGAAGTGCCAGCCACTTTAAATCAAGCACTTAACTAACGTGTTGCTATTTAAATTGTAGATAAATATTCTGGCCTAAGTTCAAGGGAGGCATGAATGCAAACGTGGGTCATAATGAATGAGCTCTATTTAGAAAATGGCTTTAAGGTATACATTTACTTTTCAAGTTCCCAAAAAAATAATCTTCTGATTTTATTAGAACGGAGCTTGCATACTGTTTGGAAGTTACCAGAAAATCAACTGTGCATTGTAATTTCAAGTGATATATGTTCTTTTCACAGATTTCAAAATCCCCAAAACACTGAATTCTTGGATACTATCACAACCTTGGGGTATTCCCCAGACTCTAAGACTTAAAAAAAAAATCCAAAAAGGAATGGTATCCTCAGAAATAATGGGCTTCCAGAAGCTTGGCTGTAGTGAAAGCAGCCAGCAGGGTATATGAAACTCCACTCTTGCTGTTGCAGCGGAGCCTGCCAAGTCTACCAGTAGGCCAAATTAAGGCTGGTAAAGTTACAAACACGTTTTCCTTTTCAAATGGATTAGGAAGCTCCAAAATGTATTCATCTTAGAGTGTGAGTAACATCAAAGCTATGGGTGATGCTACTAAAGAGAAACAAAGACTTCAAAAACAATATTGCTACAGTCCCCTCCAGTACCCCCAAACTGGAAATCTTTATTTATGTAATGCCTTTTGATTTAATGAGTGACCTGCAGTCCTTTCTCCAAGATAAAAGTATAATCTGCTGATTAGCTACTCTTCTAGAATAGATTATTGCTCATCAAGGTTCTGTTTCTTTGCCTCACTGGTTAAAAGACAATTTTACTAAGGATGACTCACCCCATCTCTAACTCTCCTTGCCTGTGTTTGTTGCTGCTGTTCGTTACCAGCAAAACTGGAGAGGGAAGACACACAGACACATAAAGACAAGTATATAACCCATTACAGGAGGTTCTCATTATTCCAGAACAACAATTACCTGAAAAAGGACATTTAAAGTGAATTCACTTGAAATAACGACCAAAATTCCATAGTGAATGTGGAAAAGGGGTTTCATTACATTAAAAATTGAGATTAAATGTAAGTATATATTTAATCTTCTACTTAACAAAACGTATGTAATAAATGCAACTATGTGCTAACCAAAATAGTAGTAGTAGCAGTAGTAGTGATAAACAGTTGTTAGATATCTTTTAGTTTTTCTAGCATTTCCTAACTTCCCCAGCACAATTACAGTGAAGAATATTCTTCCAAAAATACCTGGACATCACCAACATTCCTTTAATTTTTAATTGTCAGATTCTTCTTTTGAAATGCTTACCATGTCATCATTTTGGTGGATTTTCTCTTTCTCAATTATTCACTGGTCTCATGCTGCCAGAATTTTATTTGCCAATGGCTTCGTATGTCAGTCTGGCAGCTTTTCAACCTCACTTTTCTCTATTTCATGAAATCTTTATTTCTTGTATTTTTGCAAAATCTGCCATCTGACTTTGCAATTGAGTACACTGATTTTACATCTTCCGAACAATCAGTAAAACACTATAACTAATGGGATGGGCAGGAATAGAATTCACAGGGATGAATGTTTGAGTGGGAACTAATTTTACACGTGGACAGTTCATTAGTGAACATTTTTATACTATGATTACTTCTGTTTCCCTATGCAACCTTCAAAACTGCAAGGCTCGAGGTAATGAATATTCAGCTAACAAGGGCATCATATACGAAAGGCCACAGTCATCATGGAAATGCCTGTCTTTGGGAACTAGAAAGGTTTCTCAGGGAACTAGAAGCACATCCCAAGGTACATCCTAACATTCTACATTTTAATGTTTCCTGTCTGCATGGCCTATCATCATAGTATAAATAGACTAAATAAAATGATAACTAGTATGCATCCCACTATTTGATCATGAAAATGATTTCAATCTGGCACCATTCACTAACTATAACAGCAAAATTAAAATCTTGATTTATTAATTTAAGCATTCAAATGTATATCTGACAACTGCCAGATTCCAGACCTACTAAGGGGTCTGGAAAGTCAAATGGCAAATGCTTTTAGAAGATTAAGAGATATATAGCAAGCATATGGATATTATCTTTGTCCTATAAAGTGTGTGTGTGTGTGTGTGTGTGTGTGTGTGTGTGTGTGTGTGTGAGAGAGAGAGAGAGAGAGAGAGAGATTTGATCACCCAGGAGTAAAAGTTATTACTTCAGAATCCAAAGTCCAAAATAAAACATTTTTTTTTAATCTTTGAAGCCTCACACACAAAAAAAGATAATACCACAAGATGATAAACAGAGATGAAAAAGACAGCACTGTGTGTTTAAAAAGACCTTCGGCCGGGCGCGGTGGATCATGCCTGTAATCCCAGCACTTTAGGAGGCCGAGGCGGGTGGATCACCTGAGGTCAGGAGTTCGAGATCAGCCTGACCAACATGGTGAAAACCCGTCTCTACTAAAAATACAAAAATTAGCCAGATGTAGTGGCGCCTGTAATTCCAGCTACTTGGGAGGCTGAGGCAAGAGAATCGCTAGAACCTGGGAGGTGGTGGTTGCAGTGACCCGAGATCGGGCCATTGCACTCCAGCTTGGGGAACAGAGCGAGACTCCATCTCACCAAAAAAAAAAAAAAAAAAAAAAAAAAAAAAAAAAAAAAAAAGGGCCAGGCACGGTGGCTCACATCCTCACATCTGTAATCCCAGCACTTTGGGAGGCCACGGTGGGCAGATCATGAGATTGGGAGTTTGAGAACAGTCTGGCCAACATGGCAAAACCCCGTCTCTACTAAAAATACAATAATTAGCTGGCAGTGGTGGCAGGCGCCTGCAATCCCAGCTACTCAGGAGGCTGAGGCAGGAGAATCACTTCACCCCGGAGGCAGAGGCTGCAGTGAGCCAAGATCGTGCCATTGCACTCCAGCCTGGGCGACAAGAGCAAGACTCAGTCTCAAAATAAATAAATAAATAAATAATAAAAAGACCTTTAGAGTCAGACAGACCTCAGCTTCAGTCCCAGCGGTTATGTTCTAGCTGTGTGATTATAAGTTCAATATGCTCTCTAAGCCTCAGTTTCCTCATTTGTGAAATACAATAGTTGGACAATAATACTTATTTCCTGGGTAAGACCAAATGAAATACTCAGTGTCTGGAAAATTGTGGGCCTTACCTATGTTATAAACCATATCTTAGCTAATAAATAATTTTCCTCCTTCTTCCAGGCATTATGACAACAATGTAAACCTTCTACCTGTTTATAAAAACAAGGTATTAGGATATCACTATGAGGACTCTGTCAGAATCCCTTGATAACGCCAATATTATAAACAAAGCTTCCCAAAAAAACAGAGGTCCCAGACCAGGCACATATCTTCTAAGCCTTACAAATAAGGGGGGTAAAGTTATTTAGATATGAGAGTAGCTTCTTTCTCAGTGACAATGTATAACACAACCAACTGTGAAGTTGGACATAGCCAAGTTAGAATCCACTTTTCTGATTTTGAGATCTTAGAGAAATTACTTAACCTTTCTGAGGCTGTGTGAAATGAAGATAATAAATAAGGCCTGCCTCCAAGAGTTGTTTAACGAACTCTTGGTGGTTCATGCCTGTAATCCCAGCACTCTGGGAGGTCAAGGCAGGACAATTACTTTAGCCCAGGAGTTTGAGACCAGCCTGAGCAACACAGTAAGACCCTATATCTAGAAAAAATAAAAAATAAAACCAGCCAGGTTTGGTGGTATGTGCCTGCAGTCCTAGCTACTCCAGAGGTTAGAGGGTAACTTGAGACCAAGAGTTCCAGGGTAAAGTGGGGAATGATTTTGCCACTGCATTCCAGCCTGAATGATGCAGTGAGACCCTTTCTTAAAAAAAAAAAAAATCTATCAGGTCTAGGAGCCTTTTGGTGGAGGCTTTAGGGTTTTCCAAGTATAGAATCATACTGTCAATGAAAAGAGATAATTTGACTTCTACTCTTCCTATCTGGATGCCTTTTATTTCCTTCTCCTGCCTGACTACTCTGGCTAGGACCTTCAGTACTATGTTGAATAGGCGTGGTGAGAGTGGACATCCTTTCTTTTAATGTTTTCAAGGAGAATGCTTCCAGCTTTTGCCCATTTAGTATGATGCTGGCTATGAGTCTGTCATAGATGGCTCTTATGATTTTGAGGTATGTTCTTTTGATGCCTAGTTTGAGGTTTTTTATCATGAAGAGATGTTGGATTTTACCAAAAGCTTTCTGTGCATCTATTAAGATGATCGTATGTTTTAAATTCTGTTCACGTGGTAAATCACATTTATTGATGTGCGTATGTTGAACCAACCTTGCATCCCAGGAATAAAGCCTGCTTCATCATGGGGAATTAACTTTTTGATGTGCTGCTGGATTTGGTTTGCTAGAATTTTGTTGAAGATTTTTACATCTATGTTCACCAAGGATATTGGCCTGTAGTTTTCTTTTTTCCCATATCTTTGCCAGGATATCAGGGTGATACTAGCTTCACAGAATGAGGTAGGGAGAAGTCTCTCCTCCTCCATCGTTTGGAATCATTTCAGTAGAATGGGTAGAATGGGAACCACCAGCCCTTTTCTGGATAGCTGGTAGAATTTGGCTGTGAATCCATCTGGTCCAGGGTTTTTTGTTTTTTGGGTCTTTTTTGTTTGTTTTGGTTGCTAAGTTTACTATAACTGATTCCATTTCGAAACTTGATATTGGTTTGTTCAGGGTTTCAATTTCTACCTTATTCAATCTTAGGAAGTTGTCTGTTTCCAAGAATTGTTCCATTTCTTCTCGATTTTCTAGTTTGTGTGCACACAGGTGTTTTCATAATAGTTTCAGAATACAAAATCAATGTACAAAAATCAGTGGCATTTCCATACTCTAATAACATTCAAGTTGAGAGCCAAATCAAGAATGCAATCCCATTTACAATAGTCACACACATACAGGGAAAAAAAAAACTAGGAATATGTCTAAATAAGGAGGTGAAAGATCTCTACAAGGACAACTATAAAACACTGCTGAAAGAAATTAGAGATGACACAAATGAATGGAAAAACATTACATGCTCACGGACTGGAAGAATTACTATCGTGAAAATGGCCATACTGCCCAATGCAATCTACAGACTCAATGCTATTCCTATCAAAGTATCAACATCATTTTTCACAGAATTAGAAAAAACTGTTCTAAAATTCACATGGAACCAAAAAAGAGCCTGAATAGCTAAAGAAAATCCTAAGCAAAAAGAACAAAGCTGGAGGCATCACATTACCTACTTCAAATGACACTATAAGGTTACAGTAATGAAAACAGCACGGTACTAGTACAAAAACAGACATGTAGCTCAATGGAACAAAATTGAGAACCCAGAAATAAAGCCACACACCAACAACCATCTGATCTTCAACAAAGTTGACAAAAACAAGCGAGGGGGAAAGAATTCCCTATTTAATAAACAGTGCTGGGATAACTGGCTGGTCATATGCAGAAAAATGAAACTGGACCTCTCCCCTTCATTATACACAAAAATTAACTCAAGATGGATTAATGACTTAAATGTAAGACTTCAAACTATAAAAATCATAAAAGAAAACATAGGAAATACCATCTATCTATACATCAGCCTTGATAAAGAATTTATGACTAAGTCCTCAAAAGCAATAGCAACAAAAACTGACATGTAGGACCTAATTAAACTAAAGTTTTGCACAGCAAAAGAAACTATCAACAGAATAAACAACCCACAGAATGGGAAAAAATATCTGCAAACTATGCATCTGACAAAGGTCTAATATCTAGAATTTATACGGAACTTAATTCAACAAGCAAAAAACAAATAGCTCCATTAAAAAGTGGGCAAAGGACATGAACAGACACTCCTCAAAAGACCTACAAGTAGCCAAAAAACATATGAAAAAATGTTCAACATCACTAATCATCAGAGAAATGCAAATCAAAACCACAATGCGATACCATCTCACATTAATCATAATAGCTATTACTATTATTTTTGACTTGTCAGAAATCGATAAAATGTTTTATTTGTATATATGCAAAATCAAAATCTTTTTGTACACAAAATATTTGCAAATTAATAAAAACATAACATTACTGCTAAATATAATCCTTTATATAAACATTTTTAAAACTACACAATATTTTGCTTTCCCTTTTTTGAAATTTATTTTTTTTAACTTTTAATTTAGGTTCAGGGATACATGTGCAGGTTTATTTATATAGGCAAATCCGTGTTACAGGGGTTTGATGCACAGATTATTTCACCACCTAGGTACCCATTATAGTACCCAATAGCTATTTTTCTGATCCTCTCCCTCCTTCCACCCTCCCCGCTCAAGTACACCCCAGTGTCTACTGTTCCCCTCTTTGTGTCCATGTGTTCTCATTATTTAGCTCCCACTTACAAGTGAGAACATACAGCGTTTGGTTTTCTGCTACTGGATTAGTTTGTTAAAGATAATGGCCTCAGGCTCCATCCATGCTCCTGCAAAGGACATGATCTCGCTCTATTTTTATGGCTGCATAGTATTCCATGGTGTATATGTACCACATTTTCTTTATCCAGTCTACCATTGATGGGCATTTAGGTTAATTCCATGTCTTTGCTTTATAAATAATGCTGCAATGTACATATGCATGCATATGTCTTTGTGGTAAAACAATTTATAATCCGTTGGGTATATACTCAGTAATGGGATTGCTGGGTCAAACGGTAATTCTGTTTCTAGTTCTTTAAAGAAATAGCCACACTGCTTTCCACAGTGGTTGAACTAATTTACACTCCCACTAGCAGTGTATAAGTGTTCCCTTTTCTCCACAATCTCACCAGCATCTGTTATTTTTTATTTTTTTACTTTTTAATACAGAATGGCTATTATTAAAAAATAACAGATGCTGGAGAGGCTGCGGAAAAACAGGGAAGGATTATATACTGTTGATGGGAATGTAAATTAGTTCAGCCACTGTGGAAAGCAGTTTGGAGATTTCTCAAAGAACTTAGAACTACCATTCAATCCAGGAATCCCTTTATTTGTTATAGACCCAAAGGAAAATAAATTGTTTTACAAAAAAGATACATGAACTCATATGTTCATTGCAGCACTATTCACAATAGCAAAGAGATAGACTCAATCTAGGTGTCTATCAAAAGTGGACTGGATAAAGAAAATATGGTACATATACACCATGGAATAATGCACAGCCATAAAAAAGAATGAAATCATGTCCCTTGCAGCAACATGAATGCAGCTAGAGGCCATCATCCTAAGTGAATTAACACAGGAACAGAAAACTACTCTCTTACTCATGAGTGGGAGCTAAACAGTGGGTACATATGTAAATAAAGATGAGAACAGTAGACACTGGGGACTACGGTGGGGGATGGGGCAAGGGCTGAAAAACTACTTATTGGGTACTATGCTCACTACCTGGGTGACAGGACCATTTGTAACCTAAACCTCAGCGAAACACAATATACCCATGTGACAAACCTGCATATGTGCCCCCCGAATGTAAAATAAAAGTTGAAATTAGAGAGAGAGAAAGAGAGAGCATGCAAGTGCACCTAGTACTATAAAGCATCTATCCTTATTACCAATACCCTGCAGATAATGCCATTTTCAAAACAAGATATTAACAAATTGTATTTTTCTTAAGAAGCCAAAATCTGCAAAGATCAAATTATGATGTGGACTCCTTCAGACCCAGATTCTGTAGGGTACATTTAAAAACATATGCTTTGCAGTCTTGAAGATAGCACAGGAAAATAGAAGTCATCACAATACGAAAATATAACATTCTTTCTGTTACACAAAATGGAGATGTGTCTTATTCCATTGACTGTCTTTCTCCTTCCCTCTTCAGTTTCTTCCTCCTGAATCCGTTTAATCAGTATTTAAACATGCTTTAGCACCTCTCGTCTTTAAAAAGTACATGCATTTCTAGTGTCCACCAGGTACCTTTATTTACCTTCATGGCGAAGTTTCTCAAAAAAAGTGATCTATTCTTTTTTTCTTCATTTCCTCATCTCCCAGAACTTTTAAAAAGTAACTTCAACTCCCTATTTATTTTTTAAAAATGATCGCATAGCCAAGTATAACAAAAGATAAATAAACATCTACTACTACTTGCTTAATCAATATTAAAGTTTGGTGTGTATCCTTCCACACCATTCTCTATTCTCATATAAATCCAAATAAACATTTATATACATACGTAAGGTTGTTTATTGACAAAAGAAGTATCTCTAATATGTGTTGTTCATCTAACAATTTTTATTAAAATCCCTCTAGGTCAATTCATACAGATATAATCAATTCCTTATTGATGGGCATTTTGGTAGTTTTCAGTTTTTTGAAGCTATAAGCAATGCTACAATAAACATGCTTACATACCTATTTTCTTGGAATGAATTTTGCCAACAAGGGGATTGCTGGCTCAATGGGTGTATGCATGTTTAATTTTATTATAAAGTATACATTTCCTTCTTTAACCCACTCTAATCTGACTTCCACCACTACTGTATCAGTAAAACTGCTCCTGCCAAGGTGAACCATGCACTGAGTGTTGCCAGGGCTGATGGACACTTCCCATTCCTCATCTACTTGATCTGCCACTGATGACCTGTCCCTCTTTCTTGAAGCCACACATTCTTGACTGTCCTTTTCTTGCTGGCTATTCTTTCCCCATTTCATTTTACAACTTCTCTTCTACCTGAGCAAATTTTGGAGCACTTCAGACTCAGTCCTAGGTCCTCTTTTCTTTTTCCTCTACACTTTACTACATTCTATTTCCTTTGGATCTAATTGGCTCCTATGGTTTCAAATATCATCTTCTAAGACAACAACTCTTAAGTTTCTATTTCTAGCCCAGACCTCCTTTTCCATCTTCAAGCCTGTATCTAACAATGCTCCCTGGAAGTCACATAAGCTGAAGAACACATCTCAAATCCACTCGTTTCTCTCTGACTCCACTGCCACGATCCTTACACAAGACCACCACTCCTCTCCTATGCTACAACAGAGGTCTCCCAACTGGTTTCCCTTCTTCCACTTCGGCCCAACTCAATCCATTCCCCACAAGGAGGCAAAGTCTTTAAAAAACTAAAGTCAGATCATGTCACATCCCTCAATACCTTCCTAGGAGCTGCATTTTTGATAGACTACCACAAGCTCTTTAACGTGCCCCACACACACATGCAGACCTGTACGACCTGGTCATTACCCACCTTTCCTCCTCTACCTCGCTGCCACTCCCAGCACACTGACATCTTTTCATTTCCTTAAGCAAGCCAAGTTCTTTCCTCCCTCAAGATTTCCCTACCTGTCTCTGCTCCAAACGCTTTCCCCTTTTGTCTGCCTATCTAACTTTTTTTTTTTTTTTTTTTTTTTGAGACGGAGTCCTGCTCTGTTGCCCAGGCCGGAGTGCAGTGGCACGATCTTGGCTCACTGCAAGCTCCGCCTCCCGGTTCCATGCCATTATCCTTCCTCAGCCTCCCGAGTAGCTGGGACTACAGGCGCCCGCCACCACGCCTGGCTAACTTTTTTGTATTTTTAGTAGAGACGGGGTTTCACCGTGTTAGCCAGGATGGTATCAATCTCCTGACCTTGTGATCCGCCCACCTCAGCCTCCCAAAGTGCTGGGATTACAGGCGTGAGCCACCACACCTGGCCTTGCCTATCTAACTCTTAATCATCACTTAGGTCTCAAAGATCTCTTCCCTGAAGGACCTCCCCTGACTCCCCAGTTTAAACTGTATTCGTGTTATACCTTTACTGTCCACTTGTGCTTTTCTCTCTCCACATTTATCACAGCTTTCTTTCTTTACTTGTCATTACTGTGTTTAATATCTGACTCTCCTACTAAGCTGTAAGCTTTAAGGGTGGGGGATGTGTGTTCAAAACTCCCCACTGTTAATTCTAGTCCCAGTACAGTTCCTGCCATGTAGCAGGCACTCAGTATGTTTTTGTTGAATAAATGAGGAAAAAATACTTTTATTTCATTGAGGAGATCAAAAATTCTCTGGAAGAAGTGGCATTTCAGCTTGCTAAATGAATACATGGGATTTCAGGAGTGGAGATGAGAGAACATTTCAGAAAGAGGAACTGAGACCACATGTTTGGTACTAGTTAGAGATTTTTTAATCTAAAATCCAGCTCAATCCTGGCACCAAGCATAACATAAGAATCTCACTATATGGCCGAGCACGGTGACTCACGCCTGTAATCCCAGCACTTTGGGAGGCCAAGGTGGGCGAATCATTAGGTCTGGAGATTGAGACCATCCTGGCTAACATGGTGAAACCCCATCTCTACTAAAAATACAAAAACAAAATTAGCTGGGCGTGGTGGTAGGCACCTGTAATCCCAGCTACTCGGGAGGCTGAGGCAGGAGAATCGCATGAACCCGGGAGGCAGAGCTTGCAGTGAGCCGAGATTGCACTGCTGCACTCCAGCCTGGGCGACAGAGCAAGACTCTGTCTCAAAAAAAATAAATAAATAAAAATAAAAAAGATCTCACTATATAAAAACAAAGCAGATAAAATAGCAAATGTCACCATTTTTTTTCTTAAATAATAATTCTGCAACTAGCTTAAACTGATTCCTTCACAACTTCTGTCTACCTATGTCATTCCATTTCCTAGCCATTTAGGTTCTAAACTTCAAAATTCTTCTTGATTTTTTTTCTCCATATTCAATCAATCATAAAGTTTGACTGGTTTTTCTTCTGAACTGTCTTTCACAGCTATTTCCTTTCACCCTTTTAATGAAAGATATTCTAATTCAACCCCCCTTCACTAATCACATTACTGCATCCTTTTCCTAAACAGAGTTTCTCAACCTTGACGCTATTGACATTTGCAGCTGGATAATTCTTTGTTGTAGGGAGATGTCCTGTGCATTGTAAGATGTTTAACAGCATCTGTGGTTTCTACTCACTAGATACCAGTAGTATGCAACCCCTCAAAACAGTCTCCAGACATTGCCAAATATCCCTTAAGGGAGCAAATTCACCCCCAGTTGAGAACCACTGTTCCCATGAGATGACCTCTTGGGAAAAGCCCTATAAAACCATCTGATCAAAACTCTATCCTTTGAGGCTAACTCGACTTTCATCTTTTCTATGAAATTGTGATATCTATCAACAACAAGTGCACAGTTGTTTAATTTTTACAAATAATGAAAAATCTGCATAAAACAAATGAGACCATGATTTGCTTGTCAGTTCAAACAAAGATTCAAAATAATGATAATGCCCATTGTTGATAACAATGTGGGAAAATGGAAACTATCATTCATGGAGAGGAATAAACGTATAATATTTGTGGATAGCATTTAGTAAAATGTTTCACACTTTGAGATGATTATAATACTTTGACCTTGCTTGTTTAGAGATAATCAGACAAATGGGCAAAGACTACATTGTTCTGTAATTGCAAAACTGGAAACATCCTAAAGGTCCCTTAATAGGGGACTGGTCAGGTAAGCAACAAGCAACAATACATTTAGAACACTTTGCTATTGTTTAAAAGGATAAAGTAGGTTGGTCTGAAGTAGTGAGTTATCTCGATTGTTCACAGTCAGTTACAGATCGAAATCCTTATTCTACTCTTTGTCCACTTCTCACTACTGCACTTGACTAAAAAAAAATTAAAGATAAAAAAAATTTTAAGGGGAAAGTAGATTTTATTGATATAGAATAACAACCACAATAAATATAAAGATATATGTGTAAGGTTTCAAAACAGCATATACTACATAATACCATTTTTGTAAATAACATGTTTGTGTATGATTACACATAGAAGGCTAAAAGATATGTCAAAATATTAACAAAATTTCTGTAGTCAAATCATATTTTAAATGTATTAGAGGAACTGCTAAATCTTCTTGAAAAATCTTAAAGAAGTCAAGTATATGAATCTATACTTTAAAATCTTCAGTTTACTTAAAGCAGGTATATTCTCCACCTTTATTTCGGGCAAATATCCTGAGTTGAAATATTTTTTCTTAACCATACTTTTGCCCTAGAGAAATCAATGGTAAAAAGGAAGTTTACAGAGAAAAATATACTTTTGTGCAGACAGCTTACCGGTGTGATGCAGCCATGAATCACACTGAAAATAAGTCCCTTGAAATCAAAGAAAACAATATGTTTATACAAAGAATGTGCCCCAAAGTTCCCCAACAAAGAAAAGTGTTTAATCGAAATATTCGTTGACAGCTGGTTAGTGCTGATTCTCAAGTAGAAAAGAAAATCAGTGTCATTGTAGTCTATTGTTTTGTGTGTAAGAGCTGAATATGCAAATGAGACCAAAATGGAGACTCATTATCTGTTTTACACTTCAAGTGTGATTTTAAGCACTGTAGGTATACATACACACACACATCCAGAATACACATATATCTCAACAAACCATGCACATCATCTGTTCAGAACTGGGAAACGCGTGCATGCTTCTACAACATTAAATGGAAGGCAGATGGTAGTCACTGATCAACAGACATAAAATAAAGTCCTTCTAAATCCTACTCTCTCTAACAGTCCTTCTAATTTTTTTCCTTAGAAAAATATCAAGCAGTTTTTCATTACTGTTGATTTGCAACTCCAAAATTACAATGGGCAATGCAAAACAGGATTTAAAAGAAGGAAAAACGTCTTTTGGCACAGATTTCTCTTTCATAGTCTTAGGCAGGCGATAACACTAACTTTGAAACCATAGCATACTGTAGTTTTATCAGTAACTAATGTGTAAATTAGTTCTTTCTATAACTGAAGGTTTAGCTTTCAAAATAATTACTGATCATTTTAGTCTGCATCACATTTCTTTTGCAAAATGAGATGAACTAAAACAGCTGTTACATTCTAATAGCTTTATAATGTGCACAGAATTTCTATGACTATTAGAAATTAAACCTATAGCTTCTTATCATGAAGGACATATTCATGTGTATATATGACCCATATTATTTGGAAGAAGAATTATTAACTAATGAAATTATAATTTGAAACATAAGTAAGGCCGCTAAAGAAAATATTACAGCTCTTAAATGAGGTCAATGCCAACAGTCCACTCCAATCCACAATCCACTCCCCCCACCTTTCTTCGCATCAATAAAGTGCTTTGGGCTGAAGGAAGTCCAAGTGTTCGTGCTACCACCGTTCCTTGCAGGGATTGAGCCCTCTATTTTCATACTGGGAGATGAATTTTTAGAAGATGAACCAGGCCTGGCACTCTGCCCAGATTTTCTGGCAGCCGACAAGCAATCTGGTTTTACTTCTGGTCTACTCTCCCTTGAGCTAACCTTGTATCCACAGACAGCACCCTGATCTAGGGAACTTCTACCATTTATAATGATGACTGAGAAAGCTCTGATGATTTTACTAACCGTGGGACTTGTACTCACAGTCTTCTTTAAACATATTTCCTGTGGAAAAAAAATATAAAATTTTGTTTCCTATTATTTCCTTCTAACACTGGCAAAAAAAAATAGCAGTGTTAAAAGGGTATTTTCCAGAAAAACAGATTATTATCCAGGCACCTGCATTCAGGGATTTTAGAGAGCTAAAGAGATTCAACAAGATACCTGATGAGCCACTACCACCAAAGGAATATAAAGCAAGGTCCAGGAACTGCAAAATGATTTCAAAAGTATACAAGATATATAATTAATGGCTAATTGGGAGATTCAAGCTATAAATACTATGAAAGGTCAGAGCAATCATTGTTAAGTAGTATGGGGTGAAATCTGAATGTACAAGATTTAACTCTCCACTGACAGAATTATTAACTACTCAACAATATCATTTTTAGAGCACCATTGCCAAAGTAAGCAGGATAGAAAAATGACTATGTAATTCACACACAAAAAATCTGTATCTAAGTTTGTTTGTTTATCTACAAGATCTAATTGTCCCTCCATCTTCTTGGTCATCCAAAAAGCAATCAATGAAGTTTTATTTCATTGACCACATTTTCTTATTCACTTTAGAAGCTGGATTGAAGGTCCTAGAAACTCTTCCTCACCAGTTTCATTAATTTCTGGGTTCCATTCCCAGTTCCGCAGCTCACTTTTGTCTCTGTTCCTTGTGCTGGAGGCTCTTGGCTCATATTTAGAAGCCCTCAGGTCCTGGATGGCATTGCATTCTGTTCCTTCCTTGCTTCAGGATTTCCTAAGTTTCATAAACAAGTGTTGGGAGAGTTGCAGTACACCAAAACAGACTCCTAAAGGAGATTTCACAAAGGAAAACTGATAGACTAACATTCATTTCCTCACATGCAGCATGTACCCAACAATGAAATATCTATGAAATGTATTATTTTTCTAAGCAAAAGTCACTAACTCAAGTCCTGCCTCCAAAGGAGGGGAGGGGTACTTTCTTTACTTCTTGGGAATTTTTACTGTTTTCTGTGACAACGTAATTTATACTTCTTCGCAGGGAGTCTTTTAATCTTAAAGAAAGAAGTTTTAAAAGCGACAGCTTTAACTAAAACCAAGTAACTCCTAGATACCTTACACAGTTATACAAGGTAACACAGAAAGAGAAGATTGTCATTTATGTATGTTCTCTGAGCTTAGGGACATAGGTAGGAATTACGGGTGGGTAGATGGTAAACAGACAATTTTGATTAGTGAGACAAAAAAAGGTATTCTTTGTAAGAACCAAGAATGATGCTATAGAAGCAGAAGAACCTAATGATGGAGAGCTTTGAGAGAAGGGTTTAGATTTGGCCAAGTCCAATGTAGAGTCTACCTTAGGTAAGTGTCCTGAATACACATTATTTTGCCTGGAAGGGCAAAAACTATATCATGAAATTCTTGACAGCGGCCACTGTGTCTTGTTCATCTTTTTATGTCTGGCACCTAAATGAGGTGCCTACAATATAGCACGTGTTCAATAAATGTTTCTTGCGTGAATGTCTGAATGAATAAATCCCATAAGTAATAAAGTAGTATTCAGAAGAAAAATATGAGAAAAAAGATGTTTGATGATCAACATAGAAGGTGCTACCTGAACTTAATCCTGGGCCTAACTGCTTGGGAAGCAACTGTTAGCAGAGGCAAATATAGTTTTTGCCCTTTCAGAATGAAAAACAGGCAATGGCTATTTGTGGTAATAACAACAGGTGATTAATGTTAGTAACATCATCTCATGCAATAAGCTTATTAGGACACTAATTTATATTCTAAAATTATAAAATACAATGCAAAGGAAAAGGGCAATCCTGTTCTGTTTTCTCACACAAAAGAAGCTCAACATGTTATTATCCTCTAAACAAAACAAAACAAAGAAGCTTGGATTCAATTGAATAACTTAAGGACAAACAGTCATTTCTCAAAGGTCTTACTGAATATAAAACATGGCGGGGTTTTGGGGGATTTTTTTGCTATTGTTGTTGTGTTTTCCCCCTAATAAAAGGGTTCTAGATGAAAATAATAAACAGAAAATTTCCCAACTAAAAAAAAAAAGCAACTCAAGGTGTGAAGAGATCTTGTAAATAAAAATTTCCTAATATATGGAATTTGTTTCTAAACACAGTTTAATGAAAACAAGCTAGGATTCAAGAATATTAGGTTCACTCTATAATAATACTCTAAAATGATCTTATGGAGAACTAAGGGGCAGGAAAATTCGAAGCTCTACAAACAAACTGACAAAACATACCTAGATAAAGGATTGCTGCACTCCCTTTGGAGCATTTTAAAACAGAAAATATCCCCGGTTGTTCATCATCATTATTAGTATAATGTGTGTGTAGTCTGGGTGGCTGTGACCAGCACTAGTAGAATTTGGCCACAGCAGGTCCTCCCCTACAGGATTGCTGGAAACTGCTCCTTCCAAAGAGGTAGTAAGAGCTTCTTCAGGGCTCAATGCCTCCTTCTCCTACTCTAAGGTAGAGCTATTTCTTTACCTTGATTCTTGCATCAGCAATGTAATGTGGAGTCAGGCAGACCTGGTTACAAATTTAGCTTTTCTAAGGCTCAATTTCCTCACCTATAAAATTAAGTAGCGGTTTTTCTCCTACAGGACTATTGTAAGAATTACACAAGGTAATGAGATGTGCCTGACCCACAGAAGATACTCAATAAATGTTAGACTGTTCCCTTCCTACCACTTCTGAGGTCCTGTAACCTCATTTCTCTTTATCCTCATTCCTCTTTTCTTCTGTTTTCTGATTCCTTTTACATATTTAGAGAATCTATCTCCTATCTCCTTTGAGTTACTCCTCTCTTTCAAAATTCCAAAGGAAGGTTAAAAAATATATATATTTGCATGAAACTGAATAGCTGGACTACAGAAGCCCACATTTCTCCTATGCCTTGCAGATGACAACTCAAGAACTAGCTAGCAAGCACCAAAATATATACCTCTGGACTTTGGACATAATTAACGCTCCACATCAGCAGAAAGACTTAAATAGTACAAATAGTTTCACATGTTATTTCACAAATCACAGACTTTCAGAACAATTTATATTTAAATATGATGGTGTAAAAAAGCAATTTTTAAATTCTCTTTAGCTTCGAGTAAAATTGTTATAATTTAGTGACACCATGTGGCTACACTTTGCTTTGCATTCTTAGAAGAAAATGTTCCTCTATGAGGGTTGCTCTTGCTAGTTCAATTGTAATATCAAGGTTGTAGGTAGATGGACAACTCAAACTAAGTATGAACTAAAAAGATAACTTTTTAAAAAATGAAACTAATCCTGTTTCTTTTACATCTGAATAAGGCATTTCTTGAATTGTGAAGCTCTTCAGTCATAAGAAGAAAGTAAAGGCTCAGTATTATTCTAGCTAGGATTCTAAAGCAATCTAGTGAACACTGAATAATGTAAGAGTGTCTACCTTTAAAAGTAAATAGATACATCAATGCCCAGTTATGGGCAGAGGTGTAGGGAACAAAAGAGAAATGAAAGAAGACATATGTTATACAAGTGTTAATATAGCAGGGAAAGAATGCTTCCATAAATAGCAATGCTTATTTTCTCATTTATTTTATGTAGATCTATAGCACTATGTAAGTACTATAATCTAATGAGAATAGGTGAAAAAAAATTATGCTGTATCTATTGACACCAGGAATGAGGGGGGCCTAGAATGTATAGTAGCAATAAATGAGATTAAAATGCCATATACCAAAACACAGTAAAGTTAGAGTATTCCTCTAATGAGGTCTCCCACAGTAGACCAGCTACTGCCAAATAACATTCAATGTACACCAAAGAAAATATTTAGATGTTGTGTAAATATCTAAAACAATGGGCCAGGCATGGTGTCTCACACCTGTAATCCCAGCACTTTGTGAGGCTGAAGCAGTCAGATCGCTTGAGTCCAGGAGTTGAAGACCAGCCTGGGCAACATGGCAAGGCCCCATCTCTACTAAAAATAGAAAAAACTAGCTGAGTGTGGTGACACATGCCTGTAGTCCCAGCTACTCAGGAGGGTGAGGTAGAAGAATCATTTGAGCCCAGCAGGCAGAGGTTGCAGTGAGCCAAGATTGCACTACTGCACTCCAGCCTGGGTGACAGAGCAAGCCCATCTAAAAAACAAAGAAACAATCACACACACACACACACACACAAAACCAAAAACAAATAAAACAATGACCAGAAAATATCACCCCCTTCATCTCAGCTTAAAACACCTACCCCCCATCTCTGGCCTTTTCTAACCATCCTATTTAAAATAATCCTTCTCCCCTGACTTCTGTTACTATCACAGTACCATCTTTGCAACACTTATAATTATGTGATGTGCTTATTATTTGTTTGTTTTAATCTGTTTCTCCCAAATTCCAAAAGCACAGAAACCTTGGCAATCTTCTTCAGTGTTGTGGCCTCAATATCAAGTACAACAATAGCATAAAGTAGGCGCTTATTTGTTGAATGGGTGAGTGACGAATGAATACATAAAATCTATTTCCTTAGCTGGTGAAGCATGCCTAAATTTCCTGTTGTAAGTGAAAGTAGAACCATTCTAGTGAGATGTTTATCATCACTTACGGCCTCTAATGTGACTACAACAACCAGAAGACAGCCTAGCAGATGCTCTATGATACCCTTTCTTTTTTCTATGACACATATGGCACACACAATTTCTCATTCTAAGAAAAGAAGAAAAAGGAGGGAAGTGAACTACAATAATTAAAATACTTTCAGCAAGAATCAAAGAAATCAGTGGAACTGAGTAGGGTATATGCTAGAATCCAGCTCATCATAAATATGGCTGATCACATTAGGATAGCAAGAAATGATTATCAAATAAATGACTTTAATCAACTGACTATCCCTACCTGAAAAGATCTATGCAAAATATCCTGACTGTATTAAATACTTAAGATATAAGGCTTAAAAAAAAAAAACAAGTAGTGGAAAAAATATATATATATACATAAAAGTTTAACATACTTTAATATTAGAGTGAGGAATAATCTTCTAATCATAATACCAAGCCAGAAATCATTTAAAAGACTGACAGATTTGAATACATTTTTTAAAAAGTAAAATTCTATATGGCAAAAAGTACCAATAAAACACTAAAAATGCGTTAACAAATTTCATATATGACAGGCAAAAGGATAATGTCATATATATATATGTATTGATACAAAGTTCTCACAAGACAAAAAGAAAACTATCTCAGAAGAAAAATATGCAGAAGACAAAAACAGGCTTTTCATAAATAAGAAATTAACAAATGGCCAGTATTAAAAGATACTTTAACTCACCAATAAAGAAATTCAAAGTAAAATAGGATTTTTGTTTTAAACAAATTATGTATTACATTGGCAAAACGGTGACAGTGTCTGCATTGGTGAAGGTTCACAGAAAGGGGCATTTTTACATGCAATTGGTAGAAATTGAGTACAACATTTCCAGATGGCAAGTTTTATCAATATTTAAAATATATACATTATAACTTTATAATGAGAGATATTTCCATTTTGATAATTTTTTAAAAAAGGAAATAAAGAAAGAAACCGTTTTGTATTAACCAAGTTCATCTCTCCTATGCCAGACTCTAAATTGTCAATTTACACCCATCTCAACACCCTGTCTGGCCTTGTCTCCAGTAAACAACGCTCCTAATCCTCCTCTAAACTCTGACCAGCCCCTGAAGTAAATACCTCTCCCACCTACGCTCTTGTTCCCTCTCTCAACGGGCATAACCTTGAGAACGTTGCTTTTAGCCCTGCTTTCTTCTCTCTCAACTCCCAGGTTTTAGACCAAGATCCCACTTGCAATTCCAGCCACCAGTCACATGCACACTTTGAATTCTACTTCTATCCATTTTCGCTCATGTTCTAAAGTTTTCTCATTTTTCAGCAATATTATATGGCTGCCAAATTAACAGCACCATGTTGAGGAATAGCTCAAAATTTTAAGAGCACCCCCCAGAGTACTCAATATCCACCATTCATTACTAGTGTTTTCTGTTTAGTACTAGGCTCGATCATCTAAGAAAGCTGTGGAAAGGACTGGGAGAGAGTTTACCAGATAACCAAGAAGACAATTTGAAGGTTACAGATTATGGGTAAAGCGGAAATTGCCTTTCCTGAGAAAGAAAAGGCTGATAAGACATAACATGGTTCTCAAGGCATATGAAAAACTAAACATAAATTGATGAGTCACTTTTCTCCATCTCCAGTTAAAGGCTGAAGAGGATAACTGGTCTAAGCTTTTGGCTACATAGAGCAATCCCCACTTAACTCACGAACATTCCTAAAATGAGTCCAGAAAGGCAAAGCGAACCATTGCTCTGAGTTCATTATCATGGTTGGAATGTTCACACTGGCTTTGAAGCCTGATATTATCTGCCATTAGATAACATCGACTATCTTGGTGAGGTGAATGCTGACTGAATTACATTTGACAAGATAGATGAGTGGCAAATCTTATGTTATATATATTTTACCAACCAAAATATATGAAAACTCCTAGACATATACAAAGATAGGCCGGTTGTTAAGATAAAACTGTTTAAGGCATGTTTTGGACTGTATGTATGGGTTGGCGATACAAAAAAGTACCAAAAAGACTAGGGTCTTTAGAGGTTAGAGTGAGAGCCACCTCACAGTGAGAGCTACCGTGACCAACGAGGATGGCAGGGATGACTCTCTCTGAAGGTCAACCACCATTCAGGAGTTTCTGAAATTAGGAAAAATAATAAAAATGACTGCCATTTATTGAGTCCCTCCTTTCTGCCAGAACTGTGCTCTGTACATGTAAATGTGCTGTATCATCTAACTCTCACATCAAACCCCATGAAGAGGTGTTGGTATTCCTATTCTTTATGGATGCAGATACTAGGGCTCAGAGAGGCACAATCGTATTACAACACAAATATGAGGTGAAACAAAGATTTGAGAAGAGCTCTACCTAACTCCACAGCCCATTGTTTTAAACAAGAATTTGAGAAGAGTTCGACCTAACTCCACAGCCCACTGTTTTAAACAAGAATTTGAGAAGAGCTCTACCTAACTCCACAGCCCATTGTTTTTCTACTACACAGTTCTGATTTATATGCAGTTTAGCCTAAACTCAGAGAGAGGACGGGGTAATCTCAGATTTCTCATACATAAGGTATCATTTTTGTAAATGTATTAGATGTAATCTTTCATCAATACATGACACATTCTTCAGGAATAACCTCCAAATTCAGTTTCCTGAAGAAAAAACAAAGTAACCTTTGCAAACAGTTCAGAACCATTTACCATTACAGAGAATTTTCCAGCACTCATACATGTATTAATGAATACATTGATAAAAAGTCTCAAGGAATATATGTACATATTAATGTTCCCATCAATCTCTCTTCATTACATAGTCATTGCCTTGACACCATGAAACCTGTGCTAACATTTATAGAGTACCTACTGCATACAAGGTCACAGTCTGAGCACTGTGCAAGAATAATAAAAGATTAGAATCCATACTGCCTGCCTCCAAGAGCTTATAATTTTAGTATCAGAGGCAAGATAAACACGCAAAGGACACTAAAGAACAAAGCTGACATACAAACGTGCAAATTAACTAACATAATGCAAACTGAACACTTACGTGCTAAGGAAATAAACAATTTATTTGCCCAGTGAAGTTCTTGGAAGAAGTGCAGTTAGAACATTGTTTAGGTAGACAATGAATAATTGTGAAGATAAGAAACACCAAGACATCCTCAGTTAATCTACAGAGACATATTCTTAGGTTCATTTTTAAATACTATCAAAATTATAACCTAGTAAAAAAGACAGTTTACTAAGGAAAGTAGTAATATAATAAAGTGGCTATAATTTTTAAAAAATTCTTATTAACATGGATATCAAGATTCTTTCCTTTTCTTGTTATCATTATCACTAACATCACTGTTGCTCATTTTTTTTCAACCAGAATTGGGAGCTGGCTATACCAAGACAAAAACTGCCTTCATGAATACAGCCAGTCTCTAAACACGTAACAGCTCTACCAACAAAGTCAAGGCCAGACAGGAAAGACAAAATAAGGAGAGTATAATAATGCTCACTAATATATAAAGGTAAAGTATATTTTCTAAAAGCCAGAGATCATGATCAAAGGCACGTTTCCATACATACAACAGGAGCTTTCAGGTGGGTAAAGCACACAGGCTGTCATGGCTGGTATTATTATATTCATAATGATTTGTTCTGGGAGTCATGTTCCTGTTGTTTCAAATTAAATGCAAACACACAGTCCTTCAGTCCATATCAGACGCTTTGTTATGCTGCCTGTGTTTTAATCAGATACAACAGTAATAACCTGAGTCAATGCAGACTCAATCTCCTCCTCTATGTGGGGGTCCCTCTGTCACTCTGGAAGTATCCCTAGGCAGCTCTGAGATATGGAATCTTCACTCAATTTCTTGTCCCTCTTATTTTAATCCATTCAAAACTCCTCTGATAAAAGAGCAACCGCTAGACCTGAGACACTTTAGTCTGTCTTTGGGGAAATGAAATTGATTTTCTTCATTTTCACACAAGAGGATCCCTGGGTAACAATATTGTGTCCGGTCATACCAATAAAAAAAATGTAGGCAACGTTCTTTACTGTACCAGAGGCTGAACGGTTTTGTGAAGTTCCTTAGTGGAGGTAAAAATTCAGCCTTTTGCTGTTAGACCATAAGTTTCACAAGTATAAGAGTAACTTCTGACCAAGAGACTAAGTGCTGTGGTGCCTTCCCATCTGCTCCCAATCAGCCACAGTGGGAGATCAGATGGGTCATGGGTGAGGGGCCAGCTCCACATTCTCCATGGTGTACACTCACCATATCCCTTCCCTTTTCTTCCTGAGCAAACAAACTAATCACTTTCTACCTTTAATCTTTTGACTTTAAGGTAAAGAATATCTAAAGGCAATTTCCAGTGAGAAAACACAGCAGAAAAAAGCAACAAAATTTTGGGGGCCTTTAACCACCTAAACAAATTCACTAATTTGTATAGGCTTTACAAAATTTCAGAAATTTTAAATGATGGATTATACCTAAAGGGAGAATATGAAATATTAAAACAGTAGCTTTTTGATACTTTTAAAAGACAACCATATCGAGGGCTGCGATACATAACAAAAATAAAAGCAGAGGTGCTCTGGCTGAAGAGAAGCTCTGAGCCTAGAGCCCCACTAGCTAAGCCTCATTTGCCCCAAATGCAACCCCACTTGAAACACCTGTTCTGTCAAACCCCATTTGTTAACCACTAACCTAAAGGAAAAAACAGATAACCAGAACATGTACAATGGCATTCAAAGATGTCCTCTGGCCCTGGCCATTCCCAGGGAAGACTCCAGAAATATTTCTCATGGCTTTCATAAGAAGAATGCACCCCCTAACAATAATTCTGCTTTCAATGTATCACAATGAATATTACCATTCACTGTATAGCACGGAGTTTAAAAAGCATTCCACTTCTCAAATGTTCCCTGTCCCTTCTCATTCATTCACATGTGTACTACATACATATTATACAAGACATGTTGTATAAATAGTTCCACAACACACTGTAAATATTAAGATGCATGATTTTCCATACTTTCCTAAGTTTTTTACTTGGGATATGTTTAGTAGTTGACATCCTGAATAACTCTTTTTTCAAGATGAAAAATGCAGTTCTGCTTCTCCAAGTCCAAATCTCCTTATATAAGAATAAAAATCATTTATTAACCACTGAAAACTAACCTGCAGACACGGGCTGGAAAATATAATTTCTGCCAAGAACGACACAGATATTGTGAATGATCTATCACTCTGACCCAATCAAGTTCATCCATTGACACTTCAATGAAGTATGAGTAAGACCTGTGAATCAAAAGGAAAAAGCAGAAAAAAATTACCACATTAAAAAACAATACAAAGCTGTACTTTAATAAAGTGTTAAAAGGTACAAAAAATACAGAATTCACTAATTACATTTTCTACATAATCAAATTCTAATAACAAAAGAATGTTATGATAGCATTCACCTACAATGCACTGAAATTATCTCTCAGGTTGTCTGTCTGCTTTCTCAAATCATAAGCTGCTTAAGAACAAAGGCCATCCTGTACTTATATTCATATCCCCAGGGTCCTACACAGTGCTTGGCACATCAGGCATGCAAGATATTTACTCCTTTTCAAACATGGTCAGGATGTCTCACCTATACCATATTAGAAGATAAATGATGCCACGAGAGAGAGAAAGAACAGAAAATGGAGAAGCAGGAAGTATGCTTTCTCCCTCTACCTTCCCTGGCCAGGGTGTTCGGCCACCCCTCTAAGGAAGAAAGTCAACTTGGAATGGCTCCCTCACAGAGGGCAGCTTATCTCCTGCTGCCTCCCAGTCTCCTACCCTCCCACATACAAGCTACCTGCAAAAAAATCAATGACACCAGTCAAGAGATAATGCGTGTTTCGTACAACTTAAAACTTGCCAGCTGATAATCTGGCAGTAACGAAAACAGCCTATAATCCTCCCCTAGTCAGCTACTCCGAACCATTACATGCAGGTCCCATCCTGAACAAATCTATATTCCCCTGTCATAAGCCAAATTTAAATTTGAGATGCAGTTATTACTTGTACTGTAATATCAACAGGAACAATCTTGGAAGATTTAGGTGACCATAAATGTCATCCTGCAACCCACAGTTGTGACCAGAAAAGGTCAGCTTATTTTGTGTCATCCCCTCACTTTCTTTGCTGTCCCCTCACTCTCATTCATTTTATCACTCAGTCTCAAACTGGTTATAACCTTTTATTGAACTTCTCTGGGTTATCAGTAACAGAGGATATAATTTTACAACATGTCAGAATCTTTTTGGCTTAAGATTCTGAATTTTTCACCTTTGCTTAGAATGGTAACAATTTCTGTAAGAAAAGAACTGTTATGTGGTAAAGTTAAATCCCCCGTGAATGTAATGCACATACTGACACAAAGTGGCCTATAAATATTAACATCACAGAAACGATGACAACCACTTTGCTTCAAACATACTAAACTTTTCTTTTATTATTTTTATAATAACTTCACTATTAGTTAAATGAGTGAAATACGTAAAGCTTTTAGAACAGTGTCTACCACATAAAAGTAATGAAAGTACTGCATATACATATTATTATTATACTGTTATAATTAATCAGAGACTCTTGGAAATGAGATATGTGGATTGGCTCCACTTTGCCAATTAAAAACATCAAATTATATCCATAAGCTACATATCAGAAAATATATTCTTAATAAAAAGGAAACAGGAAAAGATAACCTGGGGATCTCACACATCATGTACATGGGAAATGCTGACTCACACTTCATAAAGCTTCCCCTCATACTTGGCTCAAATGGCCTAAAAGGCCAGTATAGTGGCAGTTGTGCTAACAGAAGAAACACACTACCTTGTAAGGTTTGCAGGGCATCATCATCATTACTATTTAAGCCCTTCATGCCCAGATCTGAAGAGGCATAAGTGGGGCACAGTTTCTGGGTATGCAGGGTTTAGGTTTATGATAAACAGCAATGAAGGAAACAGTTCAGTTCTTGTCACTCATACTGCTCTGGTACTTCTGCCATTATGGTTGAACCTAGAAGCCACAGTGGGTGAAAGCATCACAGTGGCTGGAAGAAAGGCAGAATTCTGAAGCCCCCAAGAAACTAAATGGGTTCCCAAACTGGAGTTCATTAAACTTTTTCACAAATTTCTTTTGTTTTGAGGATAATACTTATCTACACACTAAAAGACATTATTTCTCTTCACCATATGGTAAAATGCATTTAAAAGGTTATAATATTCAAAACCAATGAATCAAGTAAATAATGTTAACTCATGGTAGAATACAAAACGACTATTAAAAATACATTTTAGAGGAATATTTTTTAAAGGGTAGAGTGTTCACAATGTATTAATTTAAAAGTAAAATTAGCTTTTTGTATATCTAATCTTCATTTTATAAAACTATGTTTGTGCAGGTTTCTGTTTTGTGTGTGTATGTGTCCATGCATAATTGAAAAAAATGCTAGATACATATGAAGATTAATAATGGGTAATGAGATTACTAGCAATTTTTATTTTCTTCTATGTGCTCTTCTATATTTTCTATGGTTTCTACAATAAACACATATTTTTATAAGAAGAAACAAACAAAAAAGTGTATTTCTTTTAAAGAAATATATCCTTTAACTCCTTCCCCAAAACCAACCTTCAAGAGATAGCAGAATGATCACAAAGAAATAAACCATCATATCTGTAAAACAAAAGTAGATGACCACAAAGCTAAGTCATCTCAAACATAATGTCAGTTTCTAAGTCATGCTAATCACTTACCGGCTATCTCGGTCCCACAAGAGTATCCGTATGTGATTGATAATGGATGGCTGACCTAGCTTAATCTCGATGCCGGAACGGCAGTCATCATCAATTGGGTGCCTTGAAAATCCATGATCCAAATCATAATTTTGAGTATCACCATCTAATAAGGCTGATTTCAGCTCCCCCTTTACAACTTGGGCTCCATACTTCATAGTTGCAATGTTTTCTTCTGGTACTACAGTTAAAAATAGAAAAAGCAAGGTTAATGATTACTTATTTATTCTGTATTTTTTGAAAAAAATACAATTCTAGCATTCCAGTTTATTCTAGTATCTGCATTTAAGAACAGCATAGACAAGTTTATTGGATAGAAAATACAGAACATCTATGAGGATTAAGACACCATTCAGAGGCCGGGTGCAGTGGCTCATGCCTGTAATCCCAGCACTTTGGGAGGCCGAGGCAGGTGGATCACTTGAGCCCAGGAGTTTGAGACCAGCATGGGCAACATGGGAAGACCCTGTCCCTATTAAAAACAAACAAAAAAAATGTTCAGAGTTTAAATGTAATATTAGTATCACAACCACAAAGTGCTTGAGACTAATGTTATTTTTCAAAAGTTAATAAAACTAGAAAAGGCATGTACTAGGACAAACAAATCAGCTCTGCTGAGTTCATTCTACTAGTAACTTTAATATCTACTAAACAGGCGGGGTGCAGTGGCTCATGCCTGTAATCCCAGCACTTTGGGAGGCCGAGGTGGGCGGATCACCTGAGGTCAGGAGTTCGAGATCAGCCTGGGCAACACAGTAAAACCCCGTCTCAACTAACAATACAAAATTAGCCAGGCGTGGTGGCACATGCCTATAATCCCAGCTACTCGGGAGGCTGAGGCAGGAGAATCACTTGAACCTGGGAGGCAGAGGATGCGATGAGCTGAGATCGCGCCATTGCACTCTAGCCTGGGCAACAAGAGTAAATCTCCGTCTCAACAACAAAAAAATCTACTAAACAAAAATAGCATGTAAGATGACCTGTACCTGCCATCTGGACTGAGGACAATGTATAAAAGCAAAGCAAACAGGTCAGAAATCTGTTAAAACAACAGAAAAAGAAAGGTTCCAATATAGCATAGCTGTTAGTTATATATGAATATGCTGAAATTAATTAATCTAGCTTATAAAACAAGATCGTTTAAAAAAGATATCTTTTTTCTGCACTTGAGAATTTTTAAAAATGAAAATTGATAGTCTGTCATCAAAATCAGTATTATGGTTATTATTAAATCCCCTCCCCTCACCAACATTAGATTTATTAACCACCAATTGTGCCTGGGACTCTGAAGTCCTCCGTGTAAATTATGCTTCACAGATGTGGAACCTATCTTCCAGGTACTAACATTCTAAAACTGACACTCTCCATGGAAAGACAAGAGGCTGCAGAAAGATATTAAGAGCTTGAAGAGTCAGAGATTAAACAGTGGCTCCACATTTAGCCAGGTGCATCACTTTGAAGAAGTTTCCCTCTCTCAACTTCCATTTCTCAATGGGGTGGGGGGGAGACCATATCTATCCCCCAGGTGTTTCTGTTTAAGAATTAAATGAGATGATGTTTGTAAAGCATATTATGAGCTCTACTCATATATACATATATTTTCAAAATATACAGCCATTACTATTAAGAAAACATATTAAAAAGCACACGATAAGAGAACTATGTATGTTTACAGACTGTAAAAAAATACCGAATTCTCACAGTACACATACATTTTGGTTGTGTGATTTGAATACGGGAAAGTCTGGGCTATAATCAGGTTATTGGCAAAAAGATAGTAATTCATCATTGCAGATTTCTGGAAAAATTTTTTTTAATTTCAAATGAAGATGAGTAAAGAGAGTGGCACCAGAAAAGAACAATATATTGCAGCTGAAAAATGGAAGTTTAAAATGGAAGCAAAAGACTGTAGCAACCCAGCAAAAATAAACAAAACATCCTAGTTATGCTTAACTTCTTACCATCAGAAGTTTAAGTGCTATCGATTTATAACTTTCTAAATTCTATTAGCGTGTGATAATCACCCATATTCTTCCTATTTAACAAATCTTCTATAATACATGACGTGCTAGACACTGTCCTAAGCACTTTGCAAATATTAATTCCTTTGACTTACTCCTCATAATAATCCTTTGAGTACAGTACTATTATTACATCCATTTCACAGATGAGAAGTGGAGGCAGAAAAAAGTTAGACAGACTTACTTGTCCCAGGTCACAAAGCCAGGAAGTAGCAGAGCTGAGATCAGAACCTAAGCAGTCTGCCTGCAGAGGCCCTGTTTTTAACAGAATATTCTGCTCCTTCCCTCTTGAAGGGTTTCTGATGAATGGCCATACCTTCTCCCTCTTTCTAACCCCCACTTCCCTCTAAAATTGCCTTAGACCCAGAGGAAAGAAACAAATAGTATGATATAGGGGAAAAAAATGTTAAAGTGAAAAAAACCAAGCTTAAGATTCAGGCTCTATCATTCACCCCCCTTGAGTAAGGCCTGTTAGTCTCTCTGAATCTGCTTTCTCATCTAAAAAGAATACTTTGTCCAACTGACCTCATAGGGTTACTGTAAAAAATACACTACAGATAAAAATTACACTACAGATAATATATGCTAAAGTAACATATAAAGCGCTCATTCAGTATTCAGTCAAAAGGCATTTTTCTGAGGACTCATCCTGTACCAGGCACCATGCAAGGTATCGGGAAGAATTAGTGAACTCGACAGAGATAGGCCCTGCCCTCCTGACACCTCCAATCTAGAGAGGAAGTACTTTATAAGCAAGCAAGCAAACAAAAGCTTGAAATCCATGCTATTCAGATATCAATGATGCATAACTACTTGGTAAAAATAAATGTGTTTTCCCTTCTTACTAGGCATAAAAAGTGGAGGTGCAAAGTCTGTTGCTGCTGATCCCTGGAACCATCTCCTGCAGTCCTGACACCACAAGTCAAAACTAAGCCAAAGGCTGGGCACGGTGGCTCATGCCTATAATCCCAGCAGTCTGAGAGGCCGAGGCAGGTGGATTGCCTGAGAGGTCAGGAGTTGGAGACCAACCTGACCAACATGGTGAAACCCCATCTCTACTAAAAATACAAAATTAGCCAGGTGTGGTGGCATGAGCCTGGAATCCCAGCTACTTGGGAGGCTGAGACAGGAGAATCACTTGAACCCAGGAGGCGGAGGTTGTAATGAGCTGAGATGGTGCCACTGCACTCCAGCCTGGATGATAGAGCCAAGACTCTATCTCAAAAATAAAAAATAAAAAAACTAGGCCAAAGACGGGAACATCAAGCTCTCAGATTTAGAATCTAATGCCACTTTTGGATTTTCTCTAAACATAAGTTTCTTCAACACTAAAACTTATGAAGCTAGGGGTAACATACCAGGCACAAGAGTTTCAAGTGATTGTGACTAAAGTCTAAAATGGAAATGAAATTTCTACCACAAGTCTAAGTCTTCTTTTGAAGTTTATTTCAAGGGTACTTGAAAACTTTCCTAACCATTCTTGATACAGACAGATTCATTCCCTGAGAGTATTTTTCACTTCAAAACAGAGAACATCTACACAAGTGGAAATTCTCTCATGGTAACTATATGAGTATCTCATTGGATAAAAATATAACTCCAAGAATTTTTCTGCAAAATCCATAATTAAGTGATGAATATAATAGGAAGAATCATCATGAGAAAATTCAAATCATAATAAAATAAATCAAACCATAAATATTCTTAGTGCCTATATCTGTCTATCAGTAGAGAAAAAAAAAAGCTCTTCAAAAAATACAAAGTGCTGGCTGGGTACAGTGGCTCATGCCTGTAAACTCAGCACTTTGGGAGGCCGAGACAGGTGGATTGCTTGAGTACAGGAGTTTGAGACCATCCTGGCCAACATGGCAAAACCCCATCTCTACTAAAAATACAAAAAATTAGCTGAGCGTGGTAGTACATGTCTATAATCCCAGCTACCTGGGCAGCCAAGGCAGGAGAATCACTTGAACCTGGGAGGTGGAGGCTGCAGTGAGCCAAGATCATGCCACTGCACTCCAGCCTGGATGACAGAGCAAGACTCTGTCTTGAAAAAACAAGGTGATAAAGATTAAACAAGATAGTAGATAATCATAATTTTTTACACATAATTTTTAATGCATAATATTAAGCTTTGAAATTCTACAGCTAGGTAGAGATTGCTAATTATTAGAAGGAAAAATTAAGGAGAAATGAAGCAGAATGTACCCCTAGCTACACAGTGCCAAAATCTGAGAGGAGTGCTGGGTTAATTACCTTGTGCTTTTCTTTCATTGCTTTATGTTCTTAATTATCTTTTATCGAACTCTCTATTACATGTAGGTTGACATGGTCATTCGCCCCAGTGGATTATTTGGATCCAGACTTAGTTCTCTTCCCAAAGCAATCTACTTACCCAATTCTGTCACCTAAATCATTTTCTACTCCCCATCCCAACTTCCCTAGAAAATGTATGGATGCTCCCTTCCTGTGAATAATCCCCAAGAACTGCAGCATTACAAGTGACTTTCTTGACAATTCCTCACTTACCTTAACTTTACCTCCCCCTTTTTCCCACTCTCTGCAGGCCTCCTTTCCACATTTGACAGTACTGGCACTCAAACATACCACAGAATGGAAATAAAAAAGAACCCAGGCAGAAGAATCTATGGAAGAGTATTTGCTTGGTGAGTCAGAAGACCAGCACTTTGGTTCCAGTTCTGGCATTGAATTCACTTGGTAATTTAGGCAAGTTACATAGATCACAGAGCTGAAAGGGACCGTCATCCTATTAAATTAAAAAAAAAAAATCCTAGGGTGCTTCCTATGTGCTGCTCACTGTACTAGACTCAGCCCTCCCGAGCTCACCATCTCAGGAGACAAGAGCATGTGTACCGACACTACACACTCCCATGGAGGAATACTCATTAGAGATGATTTATACATCCCCTATTTACAGATGATAGTTTCTCTAGCACAATAAACTATAGTTGGGAAGATACAAATAGCATCTTCTATCTTTGAAGATACAAAGCCAAAGAGTTTTATTTATTTTACTTGTATTTTTTTAGAGACAGGTTCTTGCTCTGTCACCTAGGCTGGAGTGTGGTGGGATGATTATAGCTCATTGCAGCCTCAAACTACTGGGCTCAAACAATTCTCCTGTCTCAGCTTCCCAAGCATCTGGGACTACAGGCACACACAATCACACCCAGCTAATTTAAAAAAAATTTTTTAGAGACTGCATCTCACTATATTGCCCAGGCTGATCTTGAACCCCTTGCCTCAAGCGGTCCTCCTGCCTTGGCCTCCCAAAGTGCTGGCATTACAGGTGTGAGCCACTGCACCCAGCTCAAAGAGCTTTGAAAGTATTAAAGGTTCACTGTTACTATTACTGTCTTTATGTGATAGATGAGACAAATTTAAATTCTAGTTTAGAAGCCAGGGATGGATTCATTCAGCCACTCATTTATCACTTAGCAAAACAAAAGTCTAGATTCAGGCACTGTGCTACTAGGTAGGTGCTTGAAAAACAAAGGCAAAACAACATAATTACATTGTTCAAAAAGCTCAACCTAGTATAAGAATCTAAGCAAACAAACCAAGAAATATAATATCACAGTTGCAAGCTCCCTCAGTCTGAGGAAACTATAGGGATAGGTACAGGGTAAACAGGACAGACCACACACACACACACACACACACACACACACACACACACACGCATATTTATGTGTTAACCAATAATGTAACTTAGCAGTCCTATGAACAGATTGACTTTTTATTCAATAAAGATATCTTGAGGATAGAATTTGTGATATGCTCCCTACTATAAACATTCAGAAACAAGAAATTACTCTCTTTCCCCAAATCTAAAACCTGAGATATACAAAATGAAATATAACTCAGCCTTAACAAAAAAGCACTAACTTTTTAGGATAGATAGAAATATCTCCACAGCTAAGACAAAGCTAAATGTTTGGCAGAGGTACAGGTAGTTCAAATATCCTAAGAAAAAAAAATTCATTAAAAAGTTAATTCTCTTTCCCCAGCTGTATAGAAAAATGTTCATCATTATATATGCATAAAACTAGTCTAAACTACCTTCCAGAAAGACCATCACAGATAAGTTTAAAACACTGTTTGGATCTTTTTTTTTTAAGGGGGAAAAAAAATCCCTGTAATTTGGTAAAAGCCTTAGGACATGCAGCTCTAAGAATTAAACTTTACAGTAACCAACGATAATAAATTCAAAGAAAAAGCATTAGTCTCTATATCCCAGTCCCAAGATAAAACCTCTCTACACTTCATGAGAAGTCCCCAAAGACACAGAATCTACATCCAGATTCTGAACAACAACAACAACAAAACCAAATTCTGTCAATAACTTCAAAATAAACAGACCTATCTTTTCAAGTCGTCAGCCCAGGAACACTTCTGAAATTTTATATCCTTTTTTTCCCCTAACAGTGAAGAAATTTGATAAAAGAAAACAATGTCATGAATGTTAAGATAACATTTACTGGCCAGGCGTGGTGGCTCATGCCTGTAATCCCAACACTTTGGGAGGCTGAGGCAGGTGGATCACCTGAGGTCAGGAGTTCAAGACCAGCCTGGCCAACCTGGTGAAACCCCATCTCTACTAAATATACAAAAATTAGCCAGGCGTGGTGGTGGGCACCTGTAATCCCAGCTCCTCGGGAGGCTGGGGCAGGAGAATCACTTGAGCCCAGGAGGCTGAGGTTGCAGTGAGCCGAGATTGTGTCGTTGCATTCCAGTGTGGGTGACAAGAGTGAGACTCCATCTCAAAAAAAAAAAAAAGGATAAAATTTACTTAGAAAATAACCTATTTTTGGAGATTGGGTGGGCCCACATGAGCCTACAAGTGAGGTGCAGTGGCCATGGAGGGCAACCGAGGGGTCAGTGACCACAGACTCCCTGCAACACCCCAGCCTGGCGGCCTGACATCGGCCCAGTCAGTGGAGACCTGTGGAGAGGTGGCGGTGGTGGCCTCCACAAGCCCTCTTTTTCTAGGGTTGTATAGATAGAACATCCTGGAGTCCACCATGAACAGACAGTTGGACCTAAGTGGGAAGGTAATCATGAAAGCTCAACTTGGGGAGGATATTCCAAAAATTCCTATTCATAATGAAGATATTAATATTACTTATGATGAATTAGTGCTAATGATGCAACGAGTTTTCAGGGGAAAACTTCTGCGTAATGTTGAAGTAACAATAAAGTATAAAGATGCAGATGACGATCTTATAACAATTTTTGATAGTTCTGATCTTTCCTTTGCAATTCAGTGTAGTAGGACACTGAAATTGACATTATTTGTTAATGGCCAACGAAGACCCCTTGAATCAAGTCAGGTGAAATATCTCTGTCGAGAACTGACAGAACTTTGAAATAAAGTGAATCACTTATTGGATAGCTTGGAACCACCTGGAAAACCAGGACCTTCCACTAATATTCCTGAAAATGTTACTGTGAATGGTAGGGAAGAAAAGCCTGCTTCTTCGGATTCTTCTGGAAAACAGTCTACTCAGGTTATGGCAGCAAGTATGTCAGCTTTTGACCCTTTTAAAAAACCAAGATGAAATAAAAAATAATGTTACGTCGGCATTTGGCTTAACAGATGATCAGGTTTCAGGGCAACCCAGTGCTCCTGCAGAAGACTGTTCAGGAACATCTGACAGCATTGCCGCCTCCTCCTCAGTAGCAGCTCACCCACCAGGAGTTCAGCCACAGCAACCACCATATACAGAAGCTAAGATACAAGCAGGTCAGACTGAAAGTCAGCTGTATCAATAGTACCAGCAACAGGCTAGCTATGGTGCACCGTGTCTGCGGGCTCTACCTCAGCAGCCTCAACAGTATGGTATTCAGTATTCAAAAAGCCAGAGTCAGCAGACTGGACTCCAAACAACCTCAGCAGTTCCAAGGATATGGCCAGCAACCAACTACCCAGGCACCAGCTCCTGCCTTTTTGGTCAGCCTCAACAACTGCCTGCTCAGCTGCCACACAGTACCAGGCAAGCAATTATCCTGCACAAATTTATACTACCCAAACTTTTCAGCCTACTAATTATACTGTGGCCCCTGCCTCTCAACCTAGAATGGCTCCAAGCCAACCTGGGGCCTATAGACCAAGATCAAGTTTTACTTCACTTCCTGTAAGTAGCATGACCCCTCCTCCAACTGGGCCTAATCCTTATATGTCCTCCCTTTGGTCAGGGCTATACCAAACCTGGACCTGGTTATCGATAACGAGGCTTATCTACACCAATTAATGTAGCTGCTAGCTATTGGCCTCCCAAAAGACTCCAGTACTGTTTTAATCTGTAATGAAGTTCACAAATTTTAAAAGCAGAGCATTTGTTATATCTTTGTTGCTGTTAATTGAAAGTATAATTTGCTGGAACACAAAGACCAAAATCAAAGTTCTTTCCTCCCTGCTTAAAAATATAGCAACTTCTTAGTTATTTTGGAACACTACTCTTACATGTATGTAAAGTGATTGACCTAGCTTCCCTTGTCCAGAGGATATTAAAATGCTAGTGTAAGGTTTAGTCATCTTACTTGGCTTTCTGCTATTAACATGATGTACTAAAAGTAGAGCCCTTTTAGAATACGACTAGATGTCATGTATAAAATGTAAGACTGATAGATTAATAAAGATGATTGAATTAAAAAAACCTATCTTTTCAGGGTCTGACAGGGAAGTGTAATGCTTCCTTGTATTTATATTATTGATTTTATTATTCACATGCTTTAAAAGTCAGGAAAAACAGACTTACTTAATCATTACTCAAGTTCAGAAGTTAGATAAAGGATTCCCAAACATTTACATAGTCTCTTCCTTGAGCTCCCCCTCATTCACTTCAAAGTGAAGAATTTAACATTGATGAACAACAATCTGTGTATGTGTCATTCCAGAACTGAGTGACTCAACTGGCTAAGTTCTCCCTTTCGCAACTCATCTCCTGAGTTTCTTGTAACCCAGGTACTACCCTTATACTGACCAGTTGATCAATTCCAAACTACCAGTAACCATGTGAAATGTCCAAAACAAATCCTCACTCCTGCAAACATGTCCCAAGATTATCCCTATAATGAATCCAGTTCTAGGGCCTTTTCAGCACTTCAAATCAAATGCAGGGCAAGAGAGGGAAAGGAACTTATATAAGACAGGATCCGACATGATAATTTGAAAAGCCTAACACTAATTACTCATCTTACTACCTCTTCACTTGCCATCCTCCCACACTTTATCCAAGGCTGACACTTAACTAGTACCATTCTCTAGCACCTCTGATTTCTTCCTGGACCTCTCCCAACCTGATCTCTCTAGCTACCATACTATTTTTTTACTACCTTACAATCCAATTCACAAATCAGACAGACAATATGTTATCTCTATTATCTTTTCAAACATCCATGGCCTAATTCCCTGGCAGCCAATCTTCTGTCCAGATTACTTATCAACTAATCACAATTTATATCCAAAAGTTGTCTCTCAATTTTCTTGACCTCCCTATCGTGAGCTACCATTGACCATTGGATCCATAGGAAAGCTCTCTCCTCCGGTTGTCCTCTGTAACTCTATTCTATCCCAAATGTCTTCCTTCTTCCTTCTCTACCTTAAGTCCCCTGGCAATAGGTTTTCTCCAAGTTTCAGACTTTGTTTTTTACTTCTTTTTCTATACTCTAGCAGCTCAGGTTTCAACTCTTTTATCACCAGCTTTGACTGGTCCTAAAGAGTAATGTGTTCCTATTTCCTATTAGACATTTCTCCCTGCATTCATTCACTAAGCATTCACCAAGCATTCACCAATTACCCATTATATGCTATTTGGTGTGTTAAATGTTGAGGATATAGAGATCAATAAGGCCTATAAAGATCATCTCTGCCTTCAAGGATCAAAGACAAGTAAACAAAAATGTTTAAAACAATGTGATCAAGGTGGTAATTCTCACACAGATATACACAGAAAAAAAAACACATCATAATGATATATGGTAACAATGGTTTCCTATATTGAGCTTGCACACATTATTTTAATTAAGTCTCATAACAATGCTAGGAGATATAAAAGGTAAAATTCCTTAAATAATTTAATACCAGATTGTACAACTAGTAAGTGACTAATTCAGGATTTGAAGTCAAATTTGTCTGGGCCAAAACCTATGTTTCTTCTCCTATGCCCAGTGAAAAGAAATCTAGACCTGATAAGTCAGGAGAGAATTCTGTTAAGAACATCTATTTAAGATCAATCAGTATTTCAAGAGAATGTTTAAAGGCATAGTCAAGAAGAGATAACTCAGGGAAATGACTAGTTTGGGACAGAAGTTACAACTTGCAACCCCAAAACCCTCAAACTCAATCTAAAAATCAAGCTCAGCATCTTCTTCAAAGAAGTACTGTACTGTATTTCATTACAGACATACCTAGTGTTCAAATTTTTAAATTTCTGAAATCGCAGTGTAGACATCATAGTGTGTCACAGTTAATTGGCAGTATTGTTTCTTTTCTTAGTGGAACATAAAATAATGGTGCCTGAGAATTTCTGGCTTCTTAGATTTGATAACAAATGGTAACTTTCTCCTAAACTTAATCCCCACATTTATATCCCTTGAATCATCAAGATCTATTTTTTTCCATTGTATCCGTTCTAATCATCCATTATTTTCCATTTTCCCTGCCACCAATCTGGTTTGAGGTAGTATCAATTGTGCACAGATTAAATACTCTCCTCACTGGTCTCTCTGAATCAGTTTTCCCCTATTCTAAATACTCAAATACAGCACTATGGATCAGTCTTTCAAAACCACCACTGCATGCATGCCACTCTCCCTCTCTCAAATTGGTTCCTCACTGCATGTAAGGGAGATTCCAATCTAGTTTCCAAGACTTCCATAAACTGGCCTAAGCTGACCTTCACATAGTTTCTTTGCTATTAATCAATAAAAGCCTTCTACTCTAATCAAGCTCTTCTATTTATGGTCTCTTCAAATGCTCTAACCTCTGTCTATTAACCTCATGATTCTTCCCATCTGAAATTCACCCAACTCTTATACTATTCAAATCAAATGTCAAGGCTCAACTCAAGCTTCATAACCTCCATGAAATCTCCCTCAACCATACCAAGCCACTTCTTCTGAAGTTCTATAACATGTACTCCCTTGAATATTGTTGTATTTAACTTTTCATGGGAGTTTATGTCTTATTTCCACAATGAAATTAAAAGGATCAAAGGCAGAGACTATGTTTAACAATTATGCAGCATAGTTTAGTGGTTAATTACACAACTTCTGGAGCCAAACTACATAGGTTTGACTCTCAGCTCTGTCATCTTTCTGTGTGACCTTGGGCAAGTTACTTAACTTCTCTGTTTCAGTTTCCTCATTGTGTAAAATGGAGTCAATAACAGTATATACCTCAAAGAGTTGTGAGAATTAAATCGTGTAGGACCTGTTCTTGATACATACTATGCACTCTGTAAGTGTTAATTGCTATAAATCCATTAATAAGAAAAATCACCACTTAAGTGGTGATAAGTATCATAAGTGTTAGCTACCTTATGTATGTATGTTACATAAGTGTTAGCTATTATTATTGTTATTTAGAATCTCCATGTTCAGCCGGGCGTGGTGGCTCATGCCTGTAATCCCAGCACTTTCTGAGGCCAAGGCAGGTGGATCACCTGAGGTCAGGAGTTTGAGACCAGCCTGGCCAACATGGTGAAACCCCGTCTCTACTAAAAATAAAAATTAGCCGAGTGTGGTGGCGGGTGGCTGTAATCCCAGCTACTCAGGAGGCTGAGGCAGGAGAACCGCTTGAACCTGGGAGGCGAGGTTGCAGTGAGCCGAGATTGCAACTTCCATTCTAGCCTGGGCAACAAGAGTGAAACTCCATCTCAAAAAAAAAAAAAAGAATCTCCATGTTCATGGTACCCAAAATAATAAGTACATAGAATGTACTCAGTATTTATTTGATGGAGGAAGGAAGAAAAGGTCTTAACATGAGCAGCAGCTTTTTAGGAAAGTGTCCATTTCTGACATTCTGGGGAGGAGTTGAGAAATCTGTCCAGGAATGGCAAGAAATACCTATTTGGGGGTCTACAAAAGCTAATCAATCTCAGGAGGAATTAACAGGAAAATGAAAGGGAAAGACATTCCATAGGCTAGCTGTTTATAAACGTACATATTTCATGTACACCTGCACTACACGGTTCTGTAGTAGCTTTGCGGTTTTAATGGCATGAGAGGCATACCAAGCTTCTTGGTTGAGTTTAGGATAGACAGGTACTTACTGAGCATGCCTCTATAATTGAGGTCCATATCCCGGCTCTCAGATCGCACTTTAATGGCATCCAGGATGGCATCAGGAGACAGCAGTCCTGAAGGCCTCACAACATTCAGAAGCTCTGTGAGGCTCATGAGAGGTAAACGCACAGCCTGCATGATTTCAGCATGATTCTCCTTTGAATTGTGCTTACACCAGTTTAATAAGGCTAGGAAAATATCTTTTTCGGGAGCTGCAAATGAGTCTCTTAACACGATGTTTAAAAGTGCTGTCTGAAAAGGATAAAAAGGTAAAATTCCAGTTATATGAAGTTCAACCACTGCATGACCAATCAGTAAAAGCTTACAGGACAAGTATAACTTAGCCAATTAACTCTTTTTGACCCTCTCCTTCCCTTATGCTTTGTGCCACATATTCTCCTACTCATTATGGCTGTGTAAACAACCAAGACGGTAGCACCATTCTTTTATGTTCAGGTATCTTGTACCACTACATCAAACATTTAATCTTTCCAAACACATCTGCATTCATCTTTTTTAAAACAGCAAAAAGAAAAACGCCAAAGTGAAAAGCTGTCAATACATTCAGATTCTTCAAGAGAGTGTACATTGTTAAGTTAGAAAGACATATTTGGCATTTAAAATTCAAATTTTGTTCCACAGTATTACTTCACTACCATACTTTTGGCTCTCAGATCTCCAAACTGACCTCCAGGAACAATGTTGCAACCCTCAAAGATCATTGTCTTTAAAAATTAAGTAGAAAAAAATGAAATAGGATAACACAGATCTTAATTTACACTCAAATCAAGATATGTAGCTTTTCAATAGATTTTTCTCATTAGAAATATCCAGGTTCTAGAAGGAACACAACAAGGCAAATGGAGAGACAATCACTACCCAGAGTTCAAAGGAAGATTTGAGCAAAACAGTTTTACTCTAGCTATAATACTGAATTTTAAGCCAGCAAAAAAAGCAGGGACTTAAAGACATCAAATGTTGCATCAGATCTCCTCTATGAATTTGCCTGCTTGCTCTAAGGAATTATTAGTCACACTCTCTGTCAGAGAAAAACAAAACCAAAAGGTAGTATGCAATACCAAAAAGGACCCTATTTGATTGTCACTACCTTGAAAACAACCACACAGCAGCACAGTCTCTTTTGCACATAAAACTTACCTGAAGAACCTTAAAAGAAAACACAACCAACCAGCCCCTCTCTTTTATGATCTAGAGTCCTGGTAGCTAGATGCAAGTGGCTAGACCAGATAACCAATGATAACGCTTTGATACCAATGATTTTTTTTATTATTCTTAGTCCATTGCTATACTTCTACAGTATAGGTATAAATAAAACAATGCATGCCTATAAATTACTTGTAGACAAATGACACACCTTAGAAAGGGAGAGGAAACCTTCACTTGAGAGGACTTCCTGAGCATTCCTATCCATAAACATGCAGCACATACAAGTTAACTTGGGAAGTGAGTAGAGACTGGCAACATCAAAAGTCATGCAGACATTCTGAATGTTAAGTATGGTGCAGAGATACTCAGAGGTAGAATCCTCTAGCTCTGGAAATCCATATTTATGAGCCAGGCTCAAAAAGTCCAGCAGCACCTCCTCCTTCTCATCTGTCAGCGTTGCCCGCCCAGTGTAGATATATTTGAGTAGCATTGTGAATGCTTCTGCAGTGGTGTCTTGGAGAGGAATTTCTGCTTCAGGCTGAGACTCTCGCATTCCACCATATAATAATGCTCTGCACATCAGGGAAGAAACACATGAAGAAACCCTCAAATAGGATTTGCTACAAAATATTGGAAATAACAGTTATCAACATTATGCAAATATAAATTTTTTTAATGACACAAAGATCCAAGTGAAAAAATGCAAAGTAATCATTTAAAATGGTTCTTTACAGGACACAAGAGGAATGATTTTAAAACTATTTGAATTAATTCTGTAAGCCACTGAACTAATGAGATACTCTGAAAGCTCAAGATATGTGACAGATATTAAATAGAAAGATGAGAGTGATCTTTTGAGAGGCACAATGAAGTTGATATAAAGATGTTAAAGGTCAATAAGGCAATTTAAAAAGTAAAACTCTATAGGAAAAGATATAATCAGATAAACACTAATATGATGCCATTCTCCCCTGTAAGACTGGCAGAAATTAAAAGGCTTGTTAATATCAGTGCTGCAAAAGCAATGGAAAAACATGTTCTTTGATATGCTGCTTTGAGAGTATAAATGGCAGCCCTTTATGGAAAGTAATTTAGTAGCATCTAGTCAAATCTAAAATGTGCATACCCTTCAACTCAGTAATCTCTCTTTTAGGACTCAATTCTAGGGAAGTAATACAGTAAAGAAAAATGTGTAAGAAAACATACTGAAACACTAGTAAAAATCTGAATGTCCATCAGCAGCAACATGGTTAAAAAAACTGTGATATACGCATTCTATGCAGCCATTAGAAAGATCAAGGGAGATCAACAGGTACTGTTTTGAAAACATGTCCAGGATATGGTAGGCAAGTAAATAAAATTGCAGATCCATATGTACTGCATTAAAAAAGTACATAACCAAATATTTACATGTTTATGCACATATGTCTACATCGGTATTTCTTTAAATCAAGAAAAATCAGAAGAAATTCATATTAAACTCTTAACATCACTTATTTCTGGGAAATGGTATTAGATGGCTGGGAGACAAAGACTTTCATCTGTTACTTTATAAATTAAAAATGAAATTACTGATAGGATTACAGTGATTTTTTATTTTTTTCCTTTCAGATTAAACAAAAAGCCCTACATTATTGCTTATCTAAAAAAATGAAAACTAGACAATCCAGTTAGGTAATGAATTTGAATTTCTACCTCTATCAATCAAGAGGAATAATATGAACCAATTAAACTTCCAATCTATCAGGAAAGAAAGGACGAAGAGGACAAGGGAGAAGTGCAGAAAAGGGAGAGAAGAATACAGAATGAGAAAGAAAAGATGCAAAAGTGAGAGGAAGAGACTGGAAATAAGAAAGAGATTCTCCGTGTTGCTAAAATTCTCAGAGTAGGACTAGCATTTCAGGTTTACCTACCTGGAACTTGTCCCACCCTCCCCCAGGACCTAGCATTCTTGCTTGCCCCAGAAAAATAGTTGAAACCACCCAGAAAAGATTCATGAATATTCTGAGCATACCTCTTCACTGGGTTATACTCTGCCTAAAAGTACCCCTGAAGGTTTCCATTAATCCAGAGAGCATCCAACCATTACCCTAAAATTACCAAATTAAAGAACTTCTCCTTCTCGGGGAGACCTCAAGACTTATCCCCAATCCTGTATGATCCATGGTATTTATTTGGATTCTCAATGCTTTAAAAGTGGTTTTGATGAGGCTCCCTTGGAACAATAAACATGAACCCCCAACTTCAACAAGGAGACAAGCACAGAGGTTCAATGTTTACTATGAAGTTTCCTCCTATACAATTCCTTATCTGGGAATTGATAGGCTATTATGACAGCACTTAGGCCTCTTCTGACAGCTGACAATTAACATTCCTTTGCACATGAATACAGTCAGCATTGAGAACCTGTCTAAGGTAGCATTGAGCTTAGCTCTAAGGTAGACTTAGAGGTAGAGCTTAGCTCTAAGATAGTCTAAGGTAGACTCTGAGCTTAGCTTAGTGAGCCAGCAAATATTACGAAGGTTCAATATCTACAAAGACATCAAGAACAAGGTCAATAAGCGGGGGGAGTATATTCCATTCACTCAATACGATCTTCAAATTTCTCAAAGTATTTGAGTTTTTTTTAAGGATATACTAATCACCTAAAAGATATCCTCATAGAGTTGTTTCAAATTATTTTTGAAAGAGGACAAGGTACACTGTACTAATAAACAATAAACACAGGCTGAGAAGTTCTGACTTAATAAAAAGTGGGCTCTTGGCCAGGTGCAGTGGCTCAAGCCTGTAATCCCAGTACTTTGGGAGGCTGAGGCGGGCGGATCACAAGGTCAGGAGATCCAGACCATACTGGCTAACACGGTGAAACCCCGTCTCTATTAAAAATACAAAAAAATTAGCCGAGCGTGGTGGCAGGCGCCCGTAGTCCCAGCTACTCGGGAGGCTGAGGCAGGAGAATGGCGTGAACCCGGGAGGCGGAGCTTGCAGTGAGCCGAGATCGCGCCACTGCACTCCAGCCTGGGCGACAGAGTGAGACTCCGTCTCAAAAAAAAAAAAAAAAAGTGGGCTCTTATAAAACACTTTAATAGTAATGACTGGACCAAAATTTTAAAAAGAGGAAGAAATATAAAAGGAAAAGTGTGCAGAGGACAGAGGCTGATAACAAATAATGGCTAGACCAAGGTCGGATGCCTTGGCAGAGTTGACCACTAGGAAGAATAGGAGAGTGCTAGAACTTTTAACAGACTCCTCACTTTTCTAAGCTCCCGGTTTCATCTACAGTGGCATTTTACATGTGTAAGATTGGAAGTTCATGAAAAACCATAGGAGCTCTAGCTACAGAGTAAATATTTCCAGGAGACACACTTTACCACAACATGTCTGACTCTAGGTGTTGCTGTCTTGCTTAATTCTGACTATAAAAGCCAGACACTGCAGTTATCACTACAAGGTAATTGAAATTTTCTCTAATCCAATGGAATCTCCATTTTAGATACCAAGTTTCCCAGATAAATCTATAACTCTGTGAACCATCTTTATCCTTAAAAATAGAAAAAGATCCATTATCATGCATAAATTATAACTCACTCAGTAATTAATTCAGTGATGACTCCCTTTTGACAAATATTAGGTAAAATGTAGAGTAGTTAAAGATCAGCTTAAGATTTATAACCCTGGAAATTAAGGACCCAAGTAACCAACAACAGCTGCATACAAGTGCACGTCTTAGATCTGCTGGGTTACTAACAGCTCCTAGACCTCAAACCAAGGGGTATATGTGTCCATTAGCAGGTCCACAGGGCAGTCTACCTATGCAAAAAGAAGCTTTAGTCCCATTAGCCATCTACTGGGAGGAGACAGTGAGGGCAACGAAGACTTAGCCTGAGAAACATTCTTGAGACCTTGAAAAATGGTTGATTGGGCACTATTTGGTCTGGGAATCCTTCTAACCCTTTAATTTTAAGGTGGCTCCTAAAGGAAAAGGTGATTCTCAAAAAATAACAAAGTCTACAAGGATGAAATCTTCATAGATATTGAATTGAGAGACTGCAAGACTTTGTCATTATACTTGGTTATATATTTTTCATAGAGCAGAAAATACCAGTGTTTTCTACAAGTGAACTAAATTTTCAAAAAAAGTATTACACACTTACCGAAAATATTGGCACCTGGCTGCTAAAATTACCCTGTGGGCAGGAAAACGTTTCTTTTCCACCACGAATGTGACGTCGCCATATTCTTCCCCAATCAACAAGGCACCAATATGTTCAGACAAAATGTGCACATGATCAATTTCCCCCACTGCAGTAAAGGGGCGAAGAGGGTGGCTGTTACTCATCTTGTGGAATAGACGATAGTCGTTGTTCTATCATATAAAGAAGGAATGAGAGTTAGTTGGGGGAGGGGAGTACACATAGAAAATCACTTACCATAAACACAGCTAAGTAAAAATTTAAAGTGCTTAGAAAAATTCCTATGAGAGAGTTAATCAATGGTATCCTTATTAACCCATTTATTTTGAGAAGGAATTCAGCCTGCTTCCCTTAACTGTACTCCCTTCATCACACTAGCAAAGCAAAAATGCCAGATCTCCAAACACTAACAGCACTTGGAGCCATCACAGTCTAGAAAACTGAGCCCAAACACAGGTCTCATATTCCTTACAGTACCTTAGGAAAAGAAAAATCAACAATCAGAATAACTTCTCTTTTACATAGATATATTGAGCAAGGTTGGGTACAATTATACCGAATAGAAAAGTCATTCAGGCACCGATCTAGGCCTAAATTACAAACAGAATAAATGAAATAATCAGATTTCAAATAAGAAGTTTTGGTACGAAACCATCTCAAATATTTCATTTAAAAAAAATCTTCTGGGGCCAGGCACGGTGGCTCACGCCTGTAATCCCAGCACTTTGGGAGGCTGAGGTGGGTCGATCACCTCAGGTTGGGAGTTCAAGACCAGCCTGACCAACATGGAGAAACCCCATCTCTACTAAAAATACAAAATTAGCTGGGCCTGGTGGCGCATGCCTGTAATCCCAGCTACTCCGGAGGCTGAGGCAAGAGAATCGTTTGAACCCAGGAGGCGGAGGTTGCTGTGAGTCGAGATGGCGCCATTGCACTCCAGCCTGGGCCACAAGAGCGAAACTTCTTCTCAAAAAAAATAATAATAATAATAATCTTCTGGAGTCACAAAAATAACTTGACATTTATTAATGAACATTTGCAGTAGCATCCTAAGCTCCCCACATCCAACAAAAGAGTAATTCCAACAGTTTTCTCAAGACTGTGGCTTCTTTTCCAAACTTGTTGCTCTGATGATCAGGCTGCCAATGTTTACCAGAACATCATTACATTTTGTCTCATTTCCAGGCACCTTCCTTGCTTTTGTATACAATGCCTTTCTACAAAATTAACTGAAAATCAAAGGGCTAAAATATGATTAACAGCTTTACGTGTAAGAAAGTGGGGGGTTATAGTCTTAGAAAGCTAAAAATGTTTATATTTTTTAATACCGAATGTACTTGCAGGTACTTAAAAAAAAAAGTTGGTCTTGTTCTGTTGCCCAGGCTGTAGTGCAGTGGCGTGATCACCACTCACTGTAACCTCGAACTCCTGGGCTCAAGTGATCCTCCCACCTCAGCCTGCCAAGTAGCTGGGACTACAGGTGTACACCATCATGGCCAGCTAATTGCAGGTACTGCTTTGATAAGTGTAAGTAACTGGCAAGTATGTCAGAGGCTTGGCTAGCATTCAGATGCCCCCGGTGAAGAGGTAGTTGATAGCTCAGAGGTAGCCAGCTACGCCTCTGCTGCATCAGAGACTAGAGAAATTGAGACAGATATGTTATCTCTGCTAGACCTCCACACCTTTTTGAGCTCTCCAGTTGAACCACAATTAAAGGTTGAACAGCTCTTAATCTTTAAACTCCCACATCCAGATCATTATTAGCAAGGTGTGTCAAAAATAGTCTTTCTCTTCTGTGACTGCAATGGAAGATCTTCATGGACCAAGTTCCGAATCTGCCTGCTTTAGTTAACCTACCACCATATGCCCACCCTCAAAAGGGGGAGCAATAGCAGCGATGCAGAAGAACATGGAAAATGAGCTAAGCAAGAAAACACCTACCCAGGTAAGTGAGCAAAATCCTGGTTCTCTACAGTAGGAACATCAGAGAACTAGCAGGATAATCCCTTAACTGCCAAGGTAAATCCTTCTCCCTCAACTGCAGCCTCCATTTGAAAGCCCTAAAAACAGAATAATCTCTAGTCACTTGTGTATGAAAGACCAAATTCAGCTTAAGAGGATCTATTTGAGAGTATGAGCAAGTAATGTGTGACACAGTAGTCTTAATGTGTACACACAACAACTGTGTAATATAGGAGCTGGAAAACTTTCTATAAAGGGTCAGACAGTACATGGTTTAAAGCTTTGCAGGTTATACAATCTACGTCAAATGATTCAGCTCTATGGTAGGAGCCTAAAGGCAGCCACAGGAAATAAGAAAATGAATAAACATGGCTATCTCCAGTAAAACTATTTCTAGAAAAGACCTAGATTAGACTCGCAGGTCATAGTTTGCTAGCCCCTGGCCTACCCCGTGATCAAGGACTGACGTCAGGGACTGACTGTACCCTAGGCAAAGGATCAGACTGGGAGTTTTTTTGTTTGTTTGTTTCTTGCTGGGTTACCCAGTTGATGTTCCTATGATCATTTCCTATGTTGGTCAGGAAATTCAGAAAGCTACTGGTACCTGACTTCAAAACCTCTTCAATACAAACTCTCACATCACTCTCCAATATTTCAATGATCGTGCATGATTCTAAACAAAACGCTCTTCCTGGCTGAAAAAAAATGCAATGTATATACCCAGTAAATATATTTAATATATTTTCTGGTATATTTTCTTAATATTTTATTGAGGTCATGGCTAATACTCATATTACTTACTAAATGACTCTTGATGAACAACGATTGATTTTTGGTTAACCAGCTCAGAAGGGAAATTTATTTCTTAAACTGATATATCATAAACATTAATATTACATATGTATCTACCATAATAAGTTCTCCAGATCTCTACTTCTCAATACATCTAATTTCATTTTGCTAAACTTGCATTTTAATTATGTTTTTCCAAATGGAAACATGAAACTGTTTCGTGTATAGAAAACAGCCACTTAGGATAAAATAAACACAATTTTATTGGCATACATAAATAATTTTAATTAGACTAGTGATTCTCAATGAGCTTGCCCAACATTGGAATCAAATGGGGAGCTTAAAAACAACAAAAAAAAAGATGCTCGAGTCCCACTCATCAGAGACTCTTATTTAATTAGTCTAGAATGGGGCCCAGGCATTGGAATCACCATTCTGAAGTGATTCTACTAAGCAACCTGGAAAAACAGCCACTGATTTAGACTCTATATTGTTGTAGGTTTCCATCCCTTGCTCAGGTGTACAAGTATACAAAAACATCCACAGAAAAAATTTATTTAGGATATAATTTAATTTGAATCTTATTGCAAAGATGTAAAAGATACTAACAAAGTTACCAATGGCACAGCTTTACGCAGAAAATGAGTATTGTTTCACCAATGGGATAGTTTACCTACAAAGTGATAGTTTCAGTCTACCTATGTGTATTTTAAAAAGTATGCTGGCCAGGCACAGTAGCTCATGCCTGTAATCCCAGCACTTTGGGAGGCTAAGATATGCAGATCATTTGACACCAGGAGTTCAGGACCCTGTCTCCACAAAAAAATTTAAAAATTAGCCAGGCATGGTGGCATGAGCCTGTAATCCCAGCTAATTGGGAGGCTGAGTCAGGAGGATCACTTGAGCCCAGGAGTTAAAGGCTGCAGTAAGCTATGAATGTGCCACTGCACTCCATCCTGGGCAACACAGCAAGACCCTGTCTCAAAAAAATAAAAAAGAAAAGAAAGAAAACCAAATTAAAGTTAAATGGATTAGGAAACAAAGAGGCAAAAAAATCAATATTTGCAGATAATGACTGCCCACATGAAAAATCCATGAGAATCAACTGAAAAAAAATTAGAGAAAATAAGAGGGGTTCACTAAAGTAACCACATAAAATAATTATATGAAAATATCTAGCATTCTTCCATGCCAAAAACAACTAGCTAGAAAATATTAGTAAAAAGATCTGCAATTTATAATTGCAAAACACATGTAACATGTAGTAATAAACTCATAGGACATGTAAGGAAATTATAAAACTCCACTGAAAGATTTAAGAAAAATACAAAGACATAAGTTGTTTGGGGATAGAATGATCCAATATTATAAAAAGATCCATATTTTCAACTTACCATGGGTTTATCAGGACGTAACCATATTGTAAGTCTAGGAGCATCATTTATATAAATGTAGCATTTCAATTAAATGGGGGAAAATAAGGATTTTTTTCAATAAAAGGTATTGGCTAGCCATTTGGAAAAAAGCTGAACAGTCACATAAGAGTACAAAATGAAATATATATGGATGTCAGCTTCAGCACTTTCTGTAAAGCAAAAAAACTGGAAAAAACCCTGAAGGCCCATTTAAAGAGAATTGGTTAAATAAATAATGGTATGTCTATACAATGAAATATTATAAATTATTTAAAAAGAATAAAGTTAGATACTAATGAACAAAAAAATCTTAAGTATGTGTATTTACATGCAAAAGACAATCTACAAAACAATAGTATAGTGAAATATCTTGTTTAAAAAAATACACTGAAAAAGCAAGAATATAAGTCAAATTGTTAACCAAGGGTTAAGTCACTAGACTGGGGCTGTTGGAAAATTTTACATAGTGCACTACATACTTTGTAATGTTTACAAATTTTATAATGTTTATTTGTAGTAAAACTATAAACAAATATGTCAGTAAGTTTGGCCACAAAATTACAAAATAAATTGCTTTGTTTGTGAGATAAGTGTTTGGATTTGCCATAAGCAATAGAAATTGATTTAGTGACTAAGACAGAAATGGCAAGCAGAAGGGCTATGTATTATCTCCACAGAGAAAAAGTAATTAACAACTTGAAGGCAAGGACATAAAGTTCATTACATTAAAACTGGCAAGAGAAAAAAAAAGTTCATTACACTAAGACAGGTAAATCAGATACCTGGGTAGCATGGCCTACTAGGACATTCCATCTGATATATCCCAACTAAAGATCTTCACCTAAGAGAGTTTCAGTCTGACTTTTTCTAGACTTAAGGCAGATTTTCCCAGATGCAAAGTGTTCTTCAATTTGCCCCTACTGACTGTCCTGGAGTCTAAACTTGCTGATCCTCACAGCATAGGGCAAGGGTAATGTATTCACTCAAACTGTTGCCTCAAGGTGGGAGGAAGAACAGTAGGAAGGCAGGGGGACGAAGGACTTACACTGAGAATGGACAGGAATATCTCAACTAGGAAATGGTACCTTTCACGGTACCATACACAATTATTAGTTTTGGATTCTGGGACCTCATATGAATTTACTTACCAGGGATGGTGGCACAGAAACTATACTATTTTTCTTGGCTAGTTAACTTTCATGAATTCAAATGCACTAAAAATCAAAAATGACTAAAGCAGCAGTACTAAAGTCCTGAGGGTTATTGCCTGCTTATTATTCAGTAAGAAACCAACACCCATTTGTTCTAACCAAAATAATAAACAATGTCCATCAATACACTGAGAGTACCATATGTAGTTCATAATGCTGGAACGTTATAATTGCCCCTTAAGGGGGAAAAAACCAAGTTGACCCAAACATCAATTTCTTTACTTAAAGCTCACTTATACAACTGTTTACAAACTTTAACCAGAGCTAACTACATTTTTTAGAATTAAAGTTTATTCTCCAGTGTTTAACCAGGAAATAGTCAAAGAGCAAAGTTCCACAAGGTGGAGACGCCAAAGAGTCCTTGAACACTGTATGAATCTCCCCTGGGAAGCCCTCTCTGCCAGGTGTATTTCCTGACTGAAAAGCCTTTACGGGAAAAAAGACCTTCTGCTCTTTAATTGCAAAATATAAATGATCCTTCTCTTGAGGAAAGAGATAGCATTTACAAGCATATGGTTTAGCAATTTCTTTCTGGTCTTGGTACCCATGTGCTGTGTAATTTGAAGTAGTATTCCTTAAACTTTAAGTTAATATCGCTTGGGGAGATAAATGATGTCCTGTCTGCATCTTAAACACTCTCCAAAAAAAATCACATTCTACTTCTCACAGAAAGGATACTTCACTTCTCTTGATATATACTCTACCCCTGTCATCCAAAAGTCTAAGGAACAGGTGAAGACTGACCGTGCTGCTAGATGTAACCTTGACTCTGATATTTTGCAAACCCAATTCTAAACCTTGCAGAAGAGAATTATCCTCCAGCCAGTAAAGTGCTACGTAAGAACATGACTGGAGTTCACATGACAGGATTCCTGACATACCTTCTTCTCTGGGAAAGATTTTGAATGTCCAGTTAAGCTCCAAAGTCTTGTCATTCTGTAATTTTATGTTTGTAAATAAATGTTTATAAATATGCTCCGGTTTGACCACTAAAGAATAGTATCATAAAAATATTTGACAAAATTATTTTATTAAGCATGCATGTAATTCCAATTACCAGTTAACACATTGATTCTCCACTTCTTTGCCAATGAACAAACTAGTTTCTGAATATGTATATGATTCATTCAATTAAAGATTTATTGAGCTCTCTCTACAATACAGGCTCAGTGCTAGGCGACAGAAACACAAAGATTAATAAAAGTCTCTACTTTTGAAGAACTCATTGTCTACTAAGGAAAGTAGGACCAGATAACAAGTAATGTAAATTCTAAAACTCATAGGGTGGCTATGATTTTATGAAATTTAGAAAGTCAAATACTTCCATAAGTACCATACCAAAACAACCACAAAGATGCTAAATAGAATACTAAATGAACAGAACTCAGAAAATTATCAGTTATATTCTTATATGAGAGTAAGGGTTAATATTCAAATAATTGGCTATGTGCTCTCCAAAGTGGGCTGCTCATATTCGAGGGAGACTGCAATACAAACCACAGGAATTTGGAAAGAAAACATTAACACTTATATTGATGTGTTTGTATGTATTTATTTTAGACATGAGGTCATGCTATGTTGCCCAGGCTAGACTCTTAGGCTCAAGTGCTTTTCCCGCCTTAGCCTCTCAAGTAGCTGGGACTACAGGTGCACACAACCATGCCTGGATTGATATTAATTTTTAACCTAGAAAAATGAGAATAAAAATCAGCTTTGCTAATTCTTTTTTTTTTTTTTAAAGGCAATCTTGCTCTGTCACTCAGGCTGGAGTGCAGTGGTGTGATCTCGGCTCACTGCAACCTCCACTTCCTGGGTTCAAGTGATTCTCCTGCCTCAGCCTCCCGAGTAGCTGGGATTACAGGCGCACACCACTATGCCTGGTTAACTTTTGTATTTTTAGTAGAGACGGGGTTTCACCATGTTGGCCAGGCTCGTCTCAAACTTCTGACCTCAGGTGATCTGCCTACCTCAGCCTCCCAAAGTGCTTGGGATTACAGGCGTGAACCACCATACCCAGCCAGCTTTACTAGTTCTTAGTAAGTGGATGGCACTGCCTCCTTCTCATGATCTACATGTCAAAAACAGTCATTTGTGTCATCAAATAAATAGGTGACTTGAGAGAAGAGTGGGAATTCCACAAAGATGCAGGGCTGAAGGTAGTGTCCTTACTTGTGCATGGGAAGTATTAAGTTAACATGTGCTTGCTTAAGTGAATTTTCCAAAAGTTATCTAGTTTTAATTAAATTCTCTCTCACAAAATGACAAGTGAATTATAAAAAGGTTCCCACAGTCTGGGCAACATAGCAAGACCCCTTATCTACACAACTTTTTGTTTTTAAATTAGCCTGGCATGGTGGTGTGCATCTGCAGTCCCAGCTACTAGGGAGGCTGAAGCAGGAGGATTGCTTGAGCCCAAGAGGTCGAGGCGGCAGTGAGCCATGTTCATGCCACTGCACTCCAGCCTGGGTGACAGAGCAAGACCCTGTGTGATGGTTAATATTGAGTGTCAACTTGATTGGATTGAAAGATGCAAAGTATTGTTCCTGGGTATGTCTGTGAGGGTGTTGCCAAAGAAGATTAACATTTGAGTCAGTGGACTAAGAGAGGCAGACCTACCCTCAATCTGAGTAGGCACCATCTAATCAGCTGCCAGCATAAAAGCAGGAAGGGTAACAGCCGACTTGCTGAGTCTTCTGGCCTCCAACTTTCTCCCATGCTGGATGCTTCCTGCCTTCGAACATCAGACCCCAAGTTCTTCAGCTTTTGGACTCTTGAACCTACAGCAGTGGTTTGTCAGGGGCTCTCGGGCCTTTGGCCACAGACTGAAGGCTGCGCTGTCGGGTTCCCTACTTTTGAAGTTTTCAGACTCGGACTGGCTTCCTTGCTCCTCAGCTTGCAGAGGGCCTATTGTGGGACTTCACCTTGTGATCGTGTGAGTCAATACTCCTTAATAAACTCCCCTTCATATATACATCTATCCTATCAATCCTGTCCCTCTAGAGAACCCTAATACACCCTGTCTTAAAAAATAAAAAAGGTTCCCACAATGAAACCACTGATTGAAGATAATATAACATTGTCAACACAAGCAAATAATAAGAAAATGGCCAATATGACAACTTTACTACTTACTGGTAGTAAAGATTTTATAAGAAAGTGACCTTTGATTATTTTAAATGATTAAATCATTTGAAACATACAATATAATTAACAATGAACCTCCACACAAAAAGCATTAAAATATTTGTTGACTAAATATATATTCGTTGGATGTATTAATCTGAAAACAAGCTTAAAACCAAATTAGAATCTGGTAACAAATTAACCATTTTATAGTAGGGACACTGAAAGTACTTCTCATCTAACAATAATGGCTACTATTTATTGAAGACTTACTTATAAGCCAGACACAGTCCTAGCATTTTTATATATATCATCTTATTTAATATTCAAAAAATTGAATTAGGTAGGTACTTTTAAAATATCCATTTTACAGACAGGAAATTGAGACACAGACAAGATTCGGTAATTTGTCCAATCACATACCCAATAAGTAGCAGATTCAGAAAGGGTTTGTCAAGGTCCTGAACTTATAAAACCTTGCTAAGTAAATGTAAGATATCAGAAATGATTCTGACTCTGACTTCTAGACCTGTCAGCTAACTCCTCAGAGCAGCAGTTCTCAAACTTTAACATACCATCTTCAGACTAGGTAAAATATGCAAGGGTGATAAGAATGAAATGCTATTTTTCAATTCTCTTTGGAAAGATTATACATACATGTACTTTGCTAATACAAAGAGAATAATTCATATTGGAACTGCAATGTACAATCTAGTTACTTAAAAGTTACAAAACAAGAATACTGTTGACACAAATATGCATCAATATATACTACAGGGTTAAGTGAACAACCTGTAAGAAAAATAAAGACTAAACAGTAATTTATAATGAAAAATTAAGAATAGAAACCAATATAAAGCTCAACTCAACATATACTGACGATATATGTCTTTCTAAAATGTAAAGTAATTCCATTTTATGCATGTTCATATGTTCATATGTGGAGCTTTGCAATGTTGCTACACGTTGGATAGTATCCAAACTTCTTAGTAGAAAACTTAAATTAGAAGCCTTTATAAACTGTAGTATTATGCTAATGTGGGTTTATGTATGCCACATTTTGCATACTCTTAATGCTTCACTTGATTGGTTATCAGTAAGTTGCCAAAGGATATACATAAATGAAACACTATGAGATCTTCTGCTATTTGCCAATATGTTTTGGACCAGTGGCCTTGGGCCATCTTTTGAGAAGTGTTCTTCTAGACTATGAAATGCTCCAGGCTCACTTTGTATAATAACTAACTCTGTGGTGGCTGGGAGAAGCTACTCCTTTATTATTTATTATTTAATCACAAAATATCAAGACTCCCAAGGCAAAAAAAAAAAGGCTCAATTTATAATTTGCCAAATTATTTTTATTTCAGTTCAAGCCCTCTTCAGTCTCTCTGGATTCAATCTCTTATTAAAACAACCTTTCCCAAGTAACTATGAAAAAACAAACAGAATCATTCAAATCTTCCAATAAAATAAATATCAAATGACCCAACTGAGCTTCATTCTGATTTTAAATTCCCCCAAATCCTGAAACTTCCTTCTTCCTCTTCCTTCCCTTCAGAAAGGATCAGGTACAAAAACTTACCAGATTTTCATAATCTAAGTTCTAAATGTTTACCTATAAACTACCTTATTCAGTCACAAACATTCCCCTCAGTCTCTTACTTCTCATTTGCTCTAGTATATGACTCCCTATAAGGCAATCTCCCATAAAATAAGATGACTTTTAGGAATGACAAGTCATAGATTGCAACTCTAAGAAGTTGCTATCACTTATAGATCTCAGAGATTATATAACTATCCTTTTCCATACTCTCAGCCTTATTGGTCCCAAGCCATTGAAAACTGCATGATCTGTATTCTGGGAGCAGAAAAATATATGCACCTAGAGCCAAAAAGCAATGAAAAAGTCATGATGAGCGCAGAGGTTATTAGTTGTAATAATATTTGAGAATACAAGACAAGCCATTTCTGTTTAATTTCTTCAGCGGCAACTTATGGGTCTGTAACATTCTTGCTCAGATTTAAATTATATGATATTTTCCTAATTAATAAAGGTTATTATAGCATGAACTCCCATTAAAGCAGTGGAATCATCAATTGCAGCAATTTAATTTCTTTGTAGCAAAGCTACTGTGAACATTTGCATTACTGTCTGTGTAAAGGAAATTGGCTTTTCATTTGTAGAATGTTATAAAAATGTTCTACTATGCATACTTTGACTACTGTTTGTTAAACCTAGTATCTTGGCTATTTTCTGTGGAATTGTAAAATAAAAAAAGATCAACTCTGAGAAATTTGTACAACATAAAATATTGATTTATAAGTTTATTTGTGCCATTCTAGAACATAATCTAAAGGAAATGTTCCACGAATTATACTAGTATTTTGCTCTTTTTCCCCTATATAACCTCTTCCTCATTTGTTTTATGAACATTGACTTTATTCTAACTCCAACATAACATTCTGTACTGTGATTTTAAAAAAAGAAGAAGCAGAAGAAAAAGAAACTCAGAAACAAGTATCTCCATGCAGTCTAGGAGTTACTGTCCAAAACCTACAGCCATTGACTGCCTGAGCTAAGGGGCCACTGAATTGACCAAGAATTCTTCCAAATCCAAATCTACAGTGTGTATGTAAGAATAAAGGAATGAACAGGCACAACTCAAGCCAACAACTTCATTTTAGGAACAGAAAAAGCTTAGGCAAAAAGAGTTTACAGCCTGGGCAACAAAATGAAACCTCATCTCTTCAAAACAAACAAACAAAAAACTAGCCAGGCATGGTAGCGCACACCTGTGGTCCCAGCTACACTGGAGGCTGAGGCAGGAGGTTCACATGAGCCTTGCAAGTCAAGGCTGCAGTGAGCCATAATCACACCACTGCACTCCAGCCTGGATGACAGGGCAAGACCTTGTCTCAAAAAAAAAGAGTTTAAGTCCAAGAAGTCCATGTCTCTAGACTTTTCCTATAAAACTATCAGCCTTTAATGTTTCAAATTTAATTTTACCACCAGACTTCCACAAACCCCCAAGAATAAGCAAATATGTGGCCTGCCTTTCACCTTCTTCTATGTGTACATACACTTCACCTACAGTGTGGGAGAATAAAATCCAATTAAAAAAAGACACAGAATATATTTTTTCCTTCTGTTTTAGAACAAAAACTCTAAAGGGTAGTGGACGGTTCTTCTGTATTCTGTTCACTAATACCCTCAAGACACTAATGAATAATTGATGAGCTTATGATTAGACTGCTATCCTCAGTTTTGAACAACATTCATGGAACAAATTTAATTCACATCTAATATTGAATTCTCTTTCTTTTATCATGATTGAAATATGCATCAAGGTTGATCTCTGTTCCTTAGAATTTCATCAGTTGGTTCTTTACCTAAAGTCATAATATTGGTATTTGACCAACTCAGCTAAAGCACCAACTTGGGATGTCACTGACACAAATTCTCATAGCCCATCAAAAGAACATATTGGAACTATGCCTTTGTAACAGAAGCTTACAATGCAGGTACCTTAGAAATAAATATACTGACACAAGAAGAGAACCTATTTACACTTTATAAGCAGAATACTGTCTGAAGGTCATTTCTAAAAGAAAAAATAAATTGTGGTTAATAAATTTTTTAAATGTTGTTAGATTTCATTAGTTGAAATGGCATCACATTATTTGACAAATATAAAGCCATCAAGTGTAGCAGAAATGTTGTAAAAGACAAATGCCAGCAGAAATGTTGTAACAGATAAATGCCAGCTTCTCGAAGTGTATATAAACCAAGAAGCTTATGTTTTACTTGGCAAACAGGAATCAGCCGCTGATAACGAAACAAGATTCATAAAATACTCTCTTTGCTGTAGCCATGGTAAATCTAAAGCAACCCATACGCGCTGTGGATAAAGTGAGATTTAAGTAATTAAAGAAGGTAGCTTTTTAAGGATATTAAATGAAAGATATTCCATGCAGACAACACAGCAAGGGGAGGAGACACTCAGTGGCACTAATGGAAAACGTGAGATTGAAAAGGAAGTTTGTTCTGAGTAGCAACAGAGAAGAGACAGAAACAAATAAACACTGTGGTGGATAGAATCTTACAATATAAAATGTGCCTAAACTACAATGTCTTCATAGGAACAAAGATCAGAAATGGAGAGGTGCTCATAGTTCTGTGGGGGTTAAGATCTGGGCAGATCATTTTAAGTCCCTTGAAAAAGGGAAAGGGAGATTAGGCCACATTCTGTAGTCCTTCAAGCTCTAAAACTGTAACAAAATCATGTATGTAGGAAACAATGTTCTCATATACTGTTGTAAGTATAAACTGGTTCAGCTTTTTGGAGGTCAGTTTGGCAGTCTATCAAAATTTTAAAAATACATTTCCTATGGCCGAGCAATTTAGTTTCTAGAAATATATAAGGTTATTAATTACAGCATTGCTTGTAACTGCAAAAAACCGGGGTGGGGGGGGGACTAAACGTCCATCAATACGGTGAATGGAAAATATATTACAGTGCATCTATACAATATAGCCATCAATAAGAATGGAATAGATCTATATGTTCTGACTTGAGCACCAAAGCATGGTCAGTGACATAAGCAAGCAGACCTCATACAATAGGATCCATTTATTTAAATATACGGAATACATGTGAGGATATATATGTGTTTAAATACATATACGTATATGTACATGCATGGTATCTAGAAGGTACCTAAATATTTATTAAGTAAACACAGACATAGAAAAAAGAATTCCAAGCACACACATCATACTGTTTACAGCAGTAACCTCCAGAGAGGGAAGTGGGAATGTAGGAAGATAGGGAATGACTGGGAAGTTTTATGATTAAACTTAATGTATTTCTCAAGTGTTTCCTTCTTTTATAACAAGAATGGATTTCTCTTTTACATAAATGACATTTTGAAAAATTTAAACAGTGGAAATTACTAAAGAAATATTTATCAAAAGGATGCATTTTTAAAAATGCATTTTCTTAAAAACATAGATGACCTCCTACTTGTACCAAGAAACAGTGCAATGAGACATGAGCAAACACTGATGCAGACAGAATTTTAGTTAACAAGAGACTTTTTAGAATTAGCTAAATATGTGTCCAAATGCAAATCCTGGAGGGCAGTGACTAGGTCTTTCTTCCCGGTGTCCCATAAGGATGCAATAAACAAGTATGACACTAAACACAAATGTGAGACTCCATGTGAGTCTCAGGAATTGATTATAAAATATACATACCCATCTTAAAAATATCTCTCAACTATTTATCATCAAATATTTTCATTAGGAAGTTCTCCATTCCCCTTGTATTCAGTGGGTATTTAGTTTCCTCATTTCTACTTTACTAACCAAGGTTATACTCCCTTATCACACTTTGTATGTTTCTCATTTTTTTCCAAATATATTTAAACTTACAAAACCACTTAATTATCATACTGCATCTTTCTTGGTGTTTGCTCTCAAAGTCTCTAGCGATTTAGGTTTTGTTTCCAACTGTCAAGTCTATAAATACTTTGAGTGGAATGTAAACAAACCTTAACAACGCTATTATCCTGAGAATCAACACCTTAAAATCTCTACATATCACTATTCAATTTTTCCATTCACAAAAATATAAAACTCATGGTCAGGTGTTTCTAGATGGTGCATAGGTGTGCATTTTCAGAACACAGGAAGGGTAGGACTCTGTTCTTTCTACACTTCTATGTTATTTAGTTTGTTAGTTTAGTTATAATGGGTAGGACCTATGAAAAGCAAGTGTATAAGAATGGAAGTTCATGAAATAAGTGATTCACATAGCTGACTTTCAAGAATGTCTGCTCTTCAACTAATATTCAAGCCAACAACTGGTAAAGGCCTATTCTGAGCCAAGCCCAGCCTAGCCACAGTGGAATAAAGAGCAGTTAATACCCAGATACCAACTAACCAAGTTTATTATCCTTCTCTTGTGCTGTAACTTAGAGATCATAGGCAAAAGATAACTGCAACTCCTTCTCCAAACACTCCCTTCGCAATCAACAAAAGATGACATTCCAAAAACAAATTATATATAAGCCTTTGAATTCCTAAGTCTTTTCATTAGAAACAATGTTGCAATATCTGGTGGCCAGTCCACAAATGCCTATTTATTCCCAAGATGACTTAAGGAATGGGGTATTATGGAAATCCATGATGAGTAACAATGTGGGGAAATGCAGAGTCTCAATTTAGAAAGAAAAAAAATACCTTACTAGCTTCCTGGCAATAAAAGGACAAACTCTTTTCCATTCTCCACACTCTCCCCACCCCCAAATCCCCTTCAAGTCTGAGATGAAGAGGCCAGGGGCACTCTCTGTTATCAGACACAAGAATTACTACTCTTACCTTCTTCCCTTTCAATTGCCTTATCTGCTGATTTTCAGCAAACCAAGGTTTGCTCTCTTGGGCTCATGAGGCTGTAGAATGCAGTGTCTAATTTCCATCAACTCTCCTGTCCCTTTGGAGCTGCAATGGCCACAGTGATGGCCACTTGCCACATGTGGCTACCGAGCACTTGAAATACAGCAGGGCCAAATTGAGACGAGCTGTAAGTGTAAAATATAAATTGTATTTCAAAGACTTACTAAAAAAAGAAAACCATGTTTTTATTGAGTAGTTGTCAAATTGGTAATATTTTAGATATATTAGTCTTCATAAAATATATTAAAATGAATTTCAACTGGTCCTTTCTACTTTTTTCATCAGAATAGCTATTAGAAATTTTAAAATTACATACAAGGCTTGCGTTTGTAACTCACATTATAGTCCTGTTTGACAGCGCTGCTTTAGAGATTGTCTTAGGAAAGGCAATAAAGAGTATCCAAAGTCATACTGCCAGAATTAAAATCTCAGGCCGGGCATGGTGACTCACGCTTGTAATCCCAAAACTTTGGGAGGCCAAGGCAGGTGGATTACCTGAGGTCAGGAATTTGAGACCAGCTTGGCCAACATGGTGAAACCCCGTCTCTACTAAAAATACAAAAATTAGCTGGGCATGATGGCGGGTCCCTGTAATCCCAGCTACTTGGGAGGAGGTGGGGTGCAGGAGGTGGAGGCCGCAGTGAGCCAAGATCATGCCACACTCCAACCTGGGCGACAGGTTGAGTCTCTTTAAAAGACAGAGTGAGACTTTATCTTTTTTAAAAAAAAAAATACAGCCCATATGGACACATGTATTACTCAATGACAGCATTTTGTGTATTTCCTGCACATTTTGTTTCAATATAAAAATGTCAGAGGGAGCCTGGGAATAAATGGTTAAGGGGTACTGACATTCCTGTAGCAATGTAAGGAACCTCAATCTGGACTCTGGGAGATGTGGGCCCTGACTTTCCTATCAGCAAATCAGCTGTCCTCTTTGGCTTTTGTTAATCTCATTTGTAAATGAGAAGACAGGGCTAAAAGTTCTCTGAAGTCCCTTCCAGCTATGAGTATTCTCTTCCTCTCCTTCCAAACAGCTATGTCAAGTCTCACCAGAACGCTTACCACCATAAAAACATCCAACTTAAGCAGACTTTGCTGGTGAGGAGCCCTCCTGCTTATTCACCTTGTTCACCAGTTAGTGAGAGCCAGGGATATGGAGCTGCTGGCTCTTCTGAGTTGTCAAGTCTCTCCTCTCATACCTCCAGCCTTTTACTATTGGAACTTCTTGTATTCTCCTTGTCTGGCTAATTCTGCCTCTTTCAAGGCTCAGAACAAGCTTCAAGCCCTTCAGCAGAAGCCTTCACTGACGCTGCCAATCTAGGTCACCTCTTCTGTCAGATTCTGTTCCCCCATCACCGCCCCTATCATACCTTGCTATGATTTTGTTACGGACCTGTCTTGTTGGTTAGTAAGCTCCCAGAGGACAATAACCAGAACACAGAGACTACAGGCACTCAACAAATGCTGAATAACATCTTACTCATCTTTACATCCCCAGCACCTTACAGTGACTGGCATATTTAAGACCCCAAAATTAACAAAAGAGGCCATACAGATATTAACAGACCTCTCTTCCAAATTCCAGACCCCTATATTACCACTGCCCACTTTACATTTGCACTTACTTTTCTCAAAGATACCTCAAAACTCAATTCACACTCTCTATGCCCCTCCCTAGTAAAAGCCTGTCCTTATGCAATGTTCCCTAGCTCAGTGAATCCGGCTGTGGAAGCCAGAAAGACACTGCCTTCGACCTCAACCTAATCCATCAGCAAGTCTTTTGTTTTTACCTCCTAAGATAGCTTTCAAGTCAATTTACTTCTTTGCAACTTCCATGCTACCATTCTAGTTCACTCCACCTTCATCTCTCACTCGGACCCTCACATAGTTCCTAAGTGATCTCCCGCTTTCCACTCAGACCTTCCTCCAAACTGTCCTCCATGCAGGAGCCAGAAAGAATTTCTCAAATTACAAAACTTGAGTATAAACCATTTCCCTCATCCTTTCCCTCCAGAACTCCTGTCCCTATTTAAAACCCTTCAGTGGTATTCCACGGCTCTTATCGTAAAAGAAGCACAGAAAAAAACGTTTAACTGGGCCTTCAAGGCCTGTGGAATCTGGGCCCTGCCTAACTCTAATCATTCCCCCTGACTTTCCCTAGCACTGACATGCTCCCTTATGCCACAGGGCTTTGGCATAAGTTGATCCCTTGTTGGGACCATGCTTCTTCTTTTCACCTTCCATCATCCAAGTGCAACTCAGGTGCCATTTCCTCATGCAGCCTTCCTTGACCTGGGTCTAGCCAGCGCTCTTGTCATCTGCACTTAGAAGGCTTTTCTTTTCCTTCACAAATTGTATCTCTTTGTATTTATACATTTCCACCCTTACATGCCATTTCTCCACATAAATCTTTTGAAAATATAAATCAGATCAGTCACTCCATTGCTTAAAACACTTCAGTGCCTTCCTATCTCATGCTGAATAAAAATCATACTCCACCAAGATCTACAGCTCTGCAACCCAACCACCTCCCCAAACTCATCTCCAACTCCTCTCCTGGCACATTCTGCTCCAGCCACACTGGCCTTACTGTTCCTTAAACACAGTCAAAGCTTATTACTGACTTAGGATCCTTATCATTACCTTCCCTCTACCAGAATGTTTTGTTCCCAAAGCTTCATACTACTGGCCACTCACCATTCAGGTCTTGGCTCCTAACCACCCTACATACCCTACTACCCCCTTCACTCCCATACCATTTCTAACCTTCTACTCCATTTGATTTTCTTCACTGCTCTTAGCCCTAGAAGATAACCTCCATGAGAGCATGGGTTCTGCCCTATTCACCTCAGTGCCTAGAAAAGTACCTGGCATAGAGGTACTCAATACCTGTGTGAATGCTTAAAGTAATTATTGCGGTCCTTTTTCAAATAACTGCACTTCACTGACAGTGAAGAGTTACACATATGAGGATGGGATAATGTTGGCTGTGGTAGGCAGAAATGTAAGATGGCACCCAAGATCCCTGCTCCCAGATACACACACCCATATAATCCCCTCCCCTTGAGAGTGGGCAGGACCTGGAAATATGATGGGATAGTTACTCCAGTAACTTTATATAAGAGTCTTGTAGCTGACTGGAGGGAGATTCTCCAACTAGCCTTGAAGAAGCAAGCTGCCATGTTGTGAGAGGCCCATTGGCTAGGACTTGGGGGTGGCCTCTAGGAACTGAAAGCTACCTCTAGCTAACAGCCAGCAAGAAAAGGAGGATCTCAGTGGTATAATCACAAGAACCAAATTCTGCTACCAACCACTGAGCTTAATAGAGGACCCTGAGCCTCAGATGAGATTATAACCCTGCTGACACTTTGATTTCAGCATAGTAAGACCCTGAGCAGAGAAGCCAGTTGTGCCATGCTTGGACTTTTACTTATATAATGGCCATCAATACTATCAGACCCAACGCCTACTTTTTATAACAAATATTTTATTACAACGCCCTACTATTCTGAAATAAAATTCAGAGATATATAACCTACTAAACACTTTTTTTTAATGTATTAGCAAGCCAGGCACATGTCTAATAGTCCCAGCTACTCGGAAAGTTGAGGTGGGAGTGGGAGGTGAGGCCAGCTGGACTTCCTGGGTCGGATGGGGACTTGGGGAACTTTCCTGTCTTACAAGAGGATTGTAAATTGCACCAATCAGTGCTCTGTAAAATGCACGAATCAGCAGGATTCTAAAAGTAGCCAATCGCGGGGAGGACTGAAAAGAGCGCGCTTTGATAGGACAGAAACGAAACATGGGAGGGGACAATAAAGGAATAAAAGCTGGCCACCTCAGCCAGCAGCAGCAACCCGCTCAGGTCCCCTTCCACGCTGTGGAAGCTTTGTCCTTTTGCTCTTCACAATAAACCTTGCTACCGCTCATTCTTTGGGTCTGTGCCATCTTTAAGAGCTGTAACACCACAAAGGTCCGCAGCTTCATTATTGAAGTCAGTGAGACCAGGAACCCACCAGCAGGAACAAACTCCGGACACATCTTGGGGACTTGTCCAGGATATCGCTATGCGGTGAGTACTATCGGACCCCTTTCGCTTGCTATTCTGTCCTATTTTTCCTTAGAATTCAGGGGCTAAACACTGGGCACCTGTCAGCCAGTTAAAAGTGACTAGTGCGGCCACCGGACTAAAGACACGGGTGTCAGGCTTTCTAGGAAAGGGCTCTCTAACAACCCTTGCCTCTTCGGAGTCGGGAGCGTTGCTTTGCCTGGAACCAGCTTCTGCTTTTCCTGCACTTCCGGGCTGAGCCGAGGGTCAACAGAGAGGAAAGCCATTCGGCTCCAAAAAGTTGGTTGACCCTGCAGCCATGAGCAGAACTCTCAAGGTTACATCACCCAAGCGAGACTTGCCCATCTATTCTATCTATCCTGACCCTTGCCTCCTGGGTCCCAATGCCTCTCAGAGAAGTTCCTCCCACCTCTCTTCTCCAAGGCTAGTCCTGCTTCTCAAAACCACTCCCTGTCCCCGATGCTCTTCTAGTTTCTCCTATAAGGATAATTTGTAACATAAATTTCAGGACTCTGTTCCCTTCTTTAGGCACCCAGGCTTACCAATCAGAAAGACATAATTTTTGCCCAAAGCCCCGTCATAGGGGGTACTATCTGGAATTTTAGGATGCCTCCTCAGACTAGCAGGCCTAACAAAGGCCATTCCCAAAGCCAGGATATGGAGAGCCTCAGAAATTACAGACTCCAAAATTGGGGGGATGTCCTTCCTATTCAAATGATGAGAAGTGAGGACAAAAGACGTCACTGTTCCAATGCTGGAAATCCCTTCCCTCCCTCAGTGTATGGCCCTCCACTCCATTTTGAGGCATATCATCTTCATAGGACAAGGGTAAGGTCCCAGCACCAACAGGAGAAAACACTTAGGACTCTAACTAACAGGTTTTTGAGAATGCATCCGTAAGGGCTACTAAATCCAACCTTTCTCGGTCCTCTTTGTGGTCTAAGAGGAAAGGCAAGGGTGCAGGTTTTTGAGAATGTGGTGGTTAAGAGCCACTAAATCTGACCTTCCTCGGTCCTCTTTGTGGTCTAGGAGGAAAACAAGTATTTCCACTGCTGCTTCAGTGAGCGCAACTATTCCAAACAGCAGGGTCCAGGGACCATTGTGGGTTCTTGGATGGGGAAAAATACAGACCAAAACCACGGACGGTTTTTCCTTTCAGATGGGAAACACTCAGGTATCAACAAGCTCACCCTTGAAATGCATCCTAAGCCACTGGGACCAATTTGACCCGCAAAACCTGAAAAAGCAGCAGCTTATTTTTTTCTGCACTACGGCCTGGGCCCAATATTCTCTCCCTGATGGGGAAAAATGGCCACCTGAGGGAAGTATAAATTACAGTACTATCCTGCAGCTTGACCTTTTCTGTAAGAGGGAAGGCAAATGGAGTGAAATACCTTATGTCCAAGCTTTCTTTTCATTGAAGTATAATCCACAACTATGCAAAGCTTGCAATTTACATTCCACAGGAGGACCTCTCAGCTTATCTCCATATCCTAGCCTCCCCACAGCTCCCCTTCCTATAATGATGAGCCTCCTCTAATCTCCCCCACCCAGAAAGGCAAAGAAACAGGCAAAGAAATCATCAAGGGACCACAAAACCCCCCAGGCTATCGGTTATGTCCCCTTCAAGCTGTAGGGGGAGGGGAATTTGGCCCAACCCAGGTGCATGTCCCCTTTTCTCTCTCTGATTTAAAGCAGATCAGGGTAGACCTGGGGAAGTTTTCAGATGATCCTGATAGGTATATAGATATCCTATAGGGTCTAGGGCAAACCTTCAGCCTCACTTAGGGAGATGTCATGCTACTGTTAGATCAAACCTTGGCCTTTAATGAAAAGAATGTGGCTTAAGCTGCAGCCCAAGAGTCTGGAGATGCCTGGTAACTTAGTCAAGTAAATGACAGAATGATAGCCGGAGAAAGGGACAATTTCCCTACCAGTCAGCAAGCCGTCCCCAGTATGGATCCCCACTGGGACCTAGACTCAGATCATGGGGACTGGAGTCGCAAACATCTGTTGACCTGTGTTCTAGAAGGACTAAGGAGAATTACGAAAAAGCCCATGAATTATTCAATGATGTCCACCATAACTCAGGGAAAGGAAGAAAATCCTACCACCTTCCTTGAGTGGCTATGGGAGGACTTAAGAAAATATACTCCTCTGTCACCTGACTCCCTCAAGGATCAATTGATCCTAAAAGATAAGTTTATTACCCAGTCAGCCACGGATATCAGGAGAAAGCTCCCAAAAGCTAGCCCTGGGCCCTAAGCAAAATTTGGAGGCATTATTAAACCTGGCAACCTTGGTATTCTATAATAGGGACCAAGAGGAACAGGCCAAAAAGGAAAAGCAAAATAAAAGAAAGGCCACAGCCTTAGTCATGGCCCTCAGACAAACAAGCCTTGGTGGTTCAGAGAAAACAGAAAATGAAGCAGGCCAATAACCCCGTATGGCTTGTTATCAGTGTGGTTTGCAAGGACAGTTTAAAAAAGATTGTCCAAAGAGAAACAAGTCACCCCCTTGCCCATGTCCACTATGCTGAGGCAATCACTGGAAGGCACACTGCCCCAGAGGACAAAGGTTCTCTGGGCCAGAAGCCCCCAACCAGATAATCTGTCAACAGGACTGAGGGTGACTGGGGAAAGCACCAGCTCATGTCATCACACTTACTGAGCCCTGGGTAAGTTTAATCATTGAGGGCCAGGAAATTGACTGTCTCCTGGACACTGGCACAGCTTTCTCAGTGTTAATCTGCCCTGGATGGCTGTCCCCAAGGTACATTACCATCTGAGGAATCCTGGGACAGCCTTGTAACCAGGTATTTCTCCCACCTCCTCAGTTGTAATTGGGAGACTTTGCTCTTTTCACATGCCTTTCTTGTTATGCCTGAAAGTCCCACACCCTTATTAGGGAGGGACATATTAGCCAAAGCTGGAGCTATTATCTATATGAATATGGGGAATAAGTTGCCCATTTGTTGCCCCCTACTTGAGGAGGGAATCAACCCTGAAATCCGGGCATTGGAAGGGCAAAAAATGCCTGCCCAGTCCAAATCAGGCTAAAAGACCCCACCACTTTTCCTTATCAAAGGCAATATCCCTTAAGGCCTGAAGCTCATGAAGGATTACAGGATATTCTCAGATATTTAAAAGTTCAAGGGTTAGTAAGAAAATGCAGCAGTCCCTGCAATACCCGAATTCTAGGAGTACAAAAACCAAAAGGTCAGTGGAGACTAGTGCAAGATCTTAGATTCATCAATGAGGCAGTAATTCCTCTACATTCAGTTGTACCCAACTCCTATACCCTGCTCTCTCAAATACCAGAGGAAGTGGAATGGTTCACTGTTTTGGACCTGAAGGATGCCTTCTTCTGCATTCCCCTGCACTCTGTCTGCCAGTTTCTCTTTGCCTTTGAGGATCCCACAGACCACACGTCCCAATTTACATGGACGGTTTTGCCTCAAGGGTTTAGGGATAGCCCTCATCTGTTTGGTCAGATATTGGCCCAAGATCTAGGCCACTTCTCAAGTCCAGGCACTCTGGTCCTTCAGTATGTGGATGATTTACTTTTGGCTACCAGTTTGGAAGCCTCATGCCAGCAGGCTACTCTAGATCTCCTGAACCTTCTAGCTAATCAAGGGTACAAAGCATCTAAACCGAAGGCCCAGCTCTGCCTACAACAAGTCAAATATCTAGACCTAAGCTTAGCCAGAGTAACCAGGGCCCTCAGCAAAGAACGAATACAGCCTATACTGGCTTGTCCTCGCCCTAAGACATTAAAACAGTTGCGGGGGTTCCTTGGGATCACCAACTTTTGCCAACTATGGATCCCTGGATACAGTGAGATGGCCAGGCCACTCTATACTCTAATCAAGGAGACCCAGAGGGCAAATAGTCATCTAGTAGAAAGGGAACGAGAGGCAGAAACAGCCTTCAAAACCTTAAAGCAGGCCCTAGTACAAGCTCTAGCCTTAAGCCTTCCCACAGGACAAAACTTCTCTTTATATGCCAGAGAGAGAGCAGGAATAGCTCTTGGAATCCTTACTCAGACTCACGGGACAACCCCACAACCAGTGACATACCTAAGGAAATTGATATAGTAGCAAAGAGCTGGCCTCACTGTTTACAGGTAGCTGTGGTGGTGGCCATCTTAATATCAGAGCCTATCAAAATAGTACAAGGAAAGGATCTCACTGTCTGGACTACTCATGATGTAAATGGCATACTAGGTGCCAAAGGAAATTTATGGCTATCAGACAACCACCTGCTTAGATATCAGGGGCTACTCCTTGAGGGACCAGTGCTTCAAATACGCACATGTGCGGCCCTCAACCCTGCTACTTTTCTCCCAGAGGATGGGGAACCAATCAAGCATGACTGCCAACAAATTGTAGCCCAGACTTATGCCGCCTGAGAGGAACTCTTGGAAGTCCCCTTAGCTAATCCTGACCTTAACCTATATACTGATGGAAGTTCATTTGTGGAGAATGGGATGCGAAGGGCAGGTTATGCCATAGTTAGTGATGTAACAGTACCTGAAAGCAAGCCCCTTCCCCCAGGGACCAGCACCCAGTTAGCAGAACTAGTGGTGCTTACCCAAGCCTTAGAACTGAGAAAGAAAAAAAGAATAAATGTGAACACAGATAGCAAGTACGCTTATCTAATCCTACATGCCCATGCTGCAATATGGAAAGAAAGGGAGTTCCTAACATCTGGGGGAACCCCCAATAAATACCACAAGGAAATCATGGAGTTACTGCATGCTGTACAAAAACCCAAGGAGGTGGCAGTCATACCCTGCCAAAGCCATCAAAAAGGTGAAGAGAAAAGGCAGAAGGAAACCGTCGGGCAGATGCTGAGGCCAAAATTGCTGCCAGGCGGAACCTCCCAACAGAAATACCTATGGAAGGACCCTTGGTATGGAACAACCCTGTCCAAGAGATTAAGCCCCAGTATTCCCTGACCAAAACAGAATGGGGACTTTCACAGGGGCATAGTTTTCTCCCCCTGGGGTGGTTAACGACATTAGAGGGGAAGGTACTCATACCCGAAGCCAGCCAGTGGAAAATACTTAAGTCCCTCCACCAAACTTTTCATATGGGTATTAAGAACACTCATCAAATGGCCAAATCCCTATTTACAAGGCCAAATCTCCTCTGGACCATCTGACAAGTAGTCAAAGCCTGTGAGGTGTGCCAAAGGATAATCCCTCGGTCCGTTGTAAGGCCCCTCTGGGGCAACAAAGAATAGGGCACTATCCCGGGGAGCACTGGCAGTTAGACTTCTCCCATATGCCTAAGTCAAGGGGATTTCAATACTATGTTAGTCCCTGTTGATAACTTTACAAATTGGATAGAAGCCTTCCCCTGCAAGACAGAGAAGGCTCAGGAAGTGGTTAAAGTCCTAATTCATGAAATAATTCCTAGATTTGGGCTTCCCCAAAGCTTACAAAGTGACAATCGTCCAGCTTTTAAAGCCACAGTAACTTAGGGAATTTCCAGGGCACTAGGGATACAATATTACCTTCACTGCACCTGGAGGCCACAATCCTCAGGCCCCATCTCTGATAGGACCAAAAATACCCTAATAGGATACGCAATCCAGCTTTTATGCTCTTACATTTCCAACCTCACCTATTACACAAGCAATGAAAAGCCTATACATGGCCCTGTAACCACGAACACCGTGTTAACTTTCCAAGCCCCTTTATGCATCCAATGCAACCTGTTATCAGGCCTGCCCCTGGGGCACCTACTATCCCATCAGTGTAATTACACCCTACAACTTCAAGCCCCAACTGATCATAGTAACTTCCCAGTTACCCAAACAGCTCCATTCAGATGGCTTGTCGCCCTGCTTCACAGTCTGGGTTTTGTAATGGCAAACATACTCCCTGCATGACCATTCATCCCTGCAATCCCTGCAGCAGCACCCCCACCACTAATGAATGCCTTCTCATCCCGTCTTTCAATTACTCTCTTGAATGGTTCCTAGTAGATACAAAACAGTTTTTTCTCCAATGGGAAAACAGAACACAGGGAGCCACTCAGTTTGCTCCCAACACCCCTTTCCAGCCACTCACCGGGGCTACCTTGGCAAGTACTCTAGGAGCATGGGAAAATGAAAACAACAAACTCACACACCTTTTTAACATACACAACCAGTTCTGTCTACCCAGCTAAGACATATTCTTCTTATGTGGAATGTCAACCTATATCTGCCTCCCCACCAACTGGACAGGCACCTGCACCTTAGTCTTCCTAAGTCCCAACATTGACATTGCCCCAGGAAATTAGACTCTATCAGTGCCCCTCAAAGCTCAAGTCTGTCAGCACAGGGCCATACAACTAATACCCCTACTTATAGGGATAGGAATGGCCACTGCTACAGGAACCATAATAGCTAGTTTATCTACTTCATTATCCTACTACCACACACTCTCAAAGGATTTTTCAGACAGTTTGCAAAAAAATAACAAAATCTATCCTTACTCTACAATCCCAAATAGACCATTTGACAGGAGTGACTCTCCAAAACCACTGAGGCCTAGACCTCCTCACTGCTGAGAAAGGAGAACTCTGCACCTTCTTAGGGGAAGAGTGTTGTTTTTACACTAACCAGTCGGGAAAGTACAAGACGCTTCCCGGCATTTACAGGAAAAGGCTTCTGAAATCAGACAACGCCTCTCAAATTCCTATACCAACCTCTAGAGTTGGGCGACATGGCTTCTCCCCTTTCTAGGTCCCATGACAGTCATCTTGCTATTACTTGCCTTTGGGCCCTGTATTTTTAAACTCCTTGTCAAATTTGTTTCCTCCAGGATTGAGGCCATCAAGCTACAGATGGTCTTACAAATGGAACCCCAAATGAGCTCAAGTCACAACTTCTACCAAGGACCCCTGGACTGACCCACTGGCCCTCTGACTGGCCTAGAGAGTTCCCCTTGGGAGGATACTACAACTGCAGGGCCCCTTCTTTGCCCTATCCAGCAGGAAGTAGCTAGAGCAGTCATCACCCAGTTCCCAACGGCAGTTTGGGTGTCCTGTTTAGAGGGGGGATTGAGAGGTGAGGCCAGCTACACTTCCTGGGTTGAGTGGGGACTTGGGGAAGTTTCCTGTCTTACAAGAGGATTGTAAAACGCACCAATCAGCACTCTGTAAAACGCACCAATCTGCGCTCTGTAAAACGCGCAAATTAGCAGGATTCTAAAAGGAGCCAATTGCGGGGAGGACTGAAAAAAGTGCACTCTGATAGGACAGAAATGGAACATGGGAAGGGACAATAAGCGAATAAAAGCTGGCCACCCCAGCCAGCAGCTGCAACCTGCTCAGGTCCCCTTCCACACTGTGGAAGCTTTGTCCTTTCGCTCTTCACAATAAACCGTGCTACCACTCACTCTTTGGGTCTGTGCCATCTTTAAGAGCTGTAACACTCACGGCGAAGGTCCGCGGCTTCATTCTTGAAGTCAGAGAGACCACGAACCCACTGGCAGGAACCAACTCTGGACACAGGAGGATTGCTTGAGCCCAAGAGTTTGAGACCCACCTGGGCAAAAGAGTGAGACTCCTATCTTTAAAAAAATTAAATATTGCTTCTCAGCCTTTTGGCTAAAATCAAGCATAGTAAAAAAATAAAAACAAAAATAGAAATACATTATGCAACAGAATGGTACACAAAATGGTACACAAAATCCTACCCCCCATCCAGAAAAAAAAAACACTGTAAGACAGAAACAAAATAAAATAATTTATAATGAAATAATATTTATCTCATAAAATTACATTAGAAGACAAAGATACTCCTATAAATTTTCATCATGTCCTATGAGGGGAGATTCCATGTCTAATAAGAACTGGTTTCAAGAATTAGTGTACCTAGAATACATGGACTCCAATTTAGGAGAATAGTTAATCTTGAAATGTCTAGTATTTGCTAATTTTGTTTCTTTTTGTATCATGTTGTAAGGCAGTTTTCATAGTTACATTAGTATTATATTTTTATTCTAACCTTTTTCCAAAATGGACTTAGGTTTGAAAGCTTCATAATTTCCCTTTTGTCCTTCTCCTCCTCAATTATTAAGTACTCACTGGGTACATGACACTATTTCTTGAAATTAATTCTCACAATTAAGTAGACCTTTAAAGCTTCTAATTCATTTCCCAACTCACATTTTTCAGATGTGAAGAGAAAATCATCATCATCTAGTAGCTCATTATACATGCTATAAAATATTTCACCGTTTCACCCCATCTGTGAAGTTGGCCACAGTAAACATGTTTTGTTGCCTTAGTCAAGATTTACGATAATATAATAATGTAATTTTAAAGGCCATATGCCAAAGTACTTCCTAAATTAATAAAAATACTTAGCATTTAACCTATAACACACTTTAAAATCATCACATAATCTTGCAGGTAGCTACTTGCCCATTTGCCCAGGGCTAGTAACAATTGATGGAGAGCCTGTCACCAAGCCTATTTACTTGATTTATTTTACAGTAGCTTTCTAAGGCCACATACATAATGGGTACTCACTTTGTGATGGGAAAATAAATTATTTGGTCTGGACAACCTGACAGTGTTACTATTAAGTTATTAATTTGCTAAGAGGGAGTAATTCCCTGAATAGCCTTCTTTCCTGCCCAAACAAGAACACAATTAGTAAATATTCACAGATTCCTAGAACATAGAGCTGAAAAGAATTCAAGCATCATAACTATGACTTTTTACAGATGAGAAAACTGAGGGACTTGTTCAAAGTCACAACATTCAAAGGCAGAACCTGAGATAGAATAAGGAGAGATACAGCATCTCAACTTTCTCATTTAGAAAATGGTCGCTGCCCCTAAAGGGTAACTATGAGGATAAAATAAAACACATGAAGGACATAGTACAGTGCTTCACATGTAACAGTCATTTCATACTATCATTTTCCTTCTCACATTTTCTTTCTGACATGTATATTGCACTGACAACAAATTACACTCCATTCAGGAACAGGAGTCACCTGAAGGCTACAGAGGAATCACCTAACCCCAACTCTCATAAGTTAAGTCTATACTCCCAAAAGTTTCAAGGACTTTCAATTTGTTGGACTGAGCCCAAGCCAATGTCCCCAGAGTTGAGAGTATGCAGTTTACAGCCAACTGTTCAACCTTGTGCTCCACACATACTTAAAAAAAATTTTATTATTTAATTTTTGTGGGTACATAGTAGGTATATACATTTATGGGGTACATGAGATGTTTTGATACCAGCGTGCAATGCATAATAATCACATCATGGAAAATGGGGTATCCATTCCCTCAAGCATTTATCCTTTGTGTTACAAACAATCCAATTATACTCTTTTTAGTTATTTTTTAAATGTACGATTAAATTATTATTGGCTATAGTCACCTTGTTCTGTTTTCAAATACTAAGTCTTATTCATTCTTTTTTGCTTGTTTGTTTGTTTGTTTGTACCCATTAACCGTCTCCTACTAGACTACAAGTTTTTTTGTGGGCAGGAACCACAAATGATTCTCCTTTGGACCCAGAGCACCTAATATTACCTAGCAAGAGGTCAACACATGTTTGCATGGATGAAAGAGAAGCTGCCTGGGCATCTCCTTCCCAGCTCCACCTGAATTAGGTCAATTCTTATCATAAAGGAGCCACACCATACTCGAATTCAACTTACATGAATTTAACTATTTATATGGAATAAGTTAGAAATAGCGGGGCCTACTCACCACTCCACTTAGTGACTACATGCTCTTTGCTGCAATCAAGCCTAAAACAAAAGGTGTGAGTGATTTTAGAAGTTTCTCAATCACTGGTAAACAAGTGAGGAATTAAATGAAGGCCCTAAAGAAGCACTGACCACAAAGAGCTAGAGAAATAGTAGAACACAGTCATCCCGCCTTGAGAGAATTAACCTTCCTTAAAAAACTCATTTGGTGATTTCTCCACATCAAAAGAATTTAATTACCACTGAAATAAATGGCACACAATTACTTCAGTAAAGTATACATATTTTAATGTTTACGTAATTAAACTTTCAATCTAGGGGTGACAGACCAGTAAAGAGAGCAAAGAAATCAATGAAAACTATGCAAATGCATACAAGATTATTACCACTTTAAAGCAGCAAATGAACTATCTGAGAGAACTTCACCAACCCACCAATTACACCACGGCAAAGATGGCTTCACAGTGGTGCTTATGATGCAGGTCAGAAAATAAAGGTGGCACTCATGAAATGAGGTGCTGATAAGCCAGATTAGGGGTGTCTTATAAAACTAGTAAAATTAAATTCTCATAATCCAAATTAGCTCATTTTTGGACAAGCTTGTATTAAGAAATCCATGACATGGTGCTCTGTAGGCATTAAGGTACTGATATGGAACAGCCTCCAAGATATAATGAGAGAAAAGCAAGATGCAGTACAATATATATGGGCTTAAGAATAAACATTAGAATATGCCACATATACACAGCATGTTTCTGAATAGATATGCAAGAAACTTTATTATTTTCAATCTCCCCCAGTAGAATGGACACTCCATTAAGGCAGATCTTGGCCTATTTTGTTCACCCCTGCATCCCCAAACACAAGAACAGCACCGGTGTTGGCAATGAACCAATGGTAAGCTGTTTCAAAGAGGTGGAACTGGATGTCTGTGGGGTCAGGATGGGAGGGCGACTTAATTTCCACTGTAAATGCTGTCATATTTTAAAATTTTGTACCATTTTTATAAATTACCTCCTTAAAAAGTGATTTTTTTTTAACAAATGAGTCGCTCAATGAGATGTTACAAAGATTTATTAGGCTGACTTTCATCTCCAGGACTTTAGCAAGGTACTAACTAAAAACTGCAGCATGAGTATTAGCAGGCTTGACAGGAGTGAGACTCATGCTGTTACTAAAAAGGATCAATAATAACTAGAAAATTTTAACTGGTTTAACCACCTCAGAAAACAGTTTCCTACTATTTACTAAAATTGAAGCTCTGCCTATCATATGACTAAGCAATTCTATTCCATATATCCTAAAGTAAGGTGTATTTGTGAGGCATGCGCAAAAAGGGTCATAACTTTTTTATTGATAAGCAGATTATCTATCTGGGAGTGGGTAGGAACAAAGTAGAAGGGACAGAAGACATGGGAGTGACACTTCTCTGAGAATAACTTCAACTTTTGGAACCATGTTAACATTTCACATACTCAAAAAAGGACAATAAATAAAATGAAAAATAGAGAGAGGGGCACCTAACATGAAACATAAACAGAATCAAATGAACCAAACTGTAGTTCAAATGAATAACATAACCACACAGAAGAAAGCAGGGGAGAAGAGAAGTACTAACTCCTATAACTCTGAATACAGTATTTGGACTACAGGTCCCCACGCTAACATTTGTTAAAATGCTAACCTCTAGTTAGTGGGTTTCTTTTTCACAAAGGTATGGGCTAACAATTTTGAACCTACTTTCTGGGTACATTAAGAGTATACAAATAAGTAAATATGTTGTCAATAAAGGGAGTCAGGTTCTTACTGTTGAACAAAGGCGTTACAAACACGAAAAGGGGAATGGGTAGAATAAACTCCGCAGTGTAGGGTTGAAACTGGAGGTGTCAGTATGAACTTATGGTTAATATAGATATACAAAAATATAGAAATGTGTGGAATACACATACATTGAAACTGAAGGTGTCAGTATGAACTCATGGTTTTTAATATAGATATACAAAAATATAGAAAGGTATGGAATACACACACACACGCACATGCAACCCATAACATCTATTTGCTAAGAGGGCCTAGAAGCAATGATACCTCAGTAGCTCTGAGCACACCTAGCACTGAGATCTTGTTTCTAAATATAATTTTCTACCAAGTGTTCCTTGGAGAAATAGCTGATTCCAGGGAAGGGGTAGGGAAAATATGAGATAAACCTGGTCTCTCTTGTTGTGCCAGAAAATAAGAAAGTGATCAAAGAATCAAGGGGACATGATAGACAGACACAGACCCAGCTTGAAAAGGCTGGTCAAATACGGAACAATATGAGTTTAAAAAAAAAAACAAAAACAATGATAGTAAAAAATTAAACCCATTGAATAACATAAGAATCCATGAGATCACTGAGATATTAATTAACTAGTTAATTAATGGGGGCAAGTCAACTAATAAATGTAAAAGGAGTGATGGAATTAGGAAATCTTCATTTGGCAACAATCATGACAATAATGGATTCAGCAAATAGTCATCAATGAAGCCTAAAACTAGTCGGTGAAAGTTTGAGGAGTAACAGGATATTTACATCCTCTCAAAGTATCTCCCAGAAGATACCATTTACAAAGGAAAGGCAGAAACTTTACAGTGGAGAAACCAGGCAGAATCCATCTTAACTAAGTGATCAAAATTAACATCACCAATAATAGAACAAATCAACATTAGCATCTTCAAATGAAGCACTGAGAAAAATACATCACATCTATATTACCGCCAAAACTGCATAATGTGGATCTAATCATAACCAGATAAACCTCAAGTGAGAGACATACTATTAAAAAAGTAAATAGGCCGGGCACGGTGGCTCATGCCTGTAATCCCAGCACTTTGGGAGGCCGAGGCAGGAGGATCACGAGGTCAAGAGTTCTAGACCAGCCTGGCCAATGTGGTGAAACCCTGTCTCTACTAAAAATACAAAAATTAGCTGGGTGTGATGGCATGTGCCTGTAATCCCAGCTACTAGGGAGGCTGAGGCAGGAGAATCGCTTGAACCCAGGAGGTGGAGGTTACAGTGAGCTGAAATCACACCATTGCACTCCAGCCTGGGCAATAAGAATGAAACTCCATCTCAAAAAAGAAATAAATAAATAAAAACAAAACTGGCCTAAACCCTTATATAATGTCAGTGTTATAAAGACAAGATTGAGGCACTATTCTAGATTAAAGGAGACCAGGCCAGGCGTGGTGGCTCATGCCTGTAATACCAACACTTTGGGAGGCCAAGGTGGGCGGATCACCTGAGGTCAAGAGTTTGAGACCAGCCTGGCCAACATGGTGAAAACCCCGTCTCTACTAAAAATACAAAATTAGCCAGGCATGGTGGTGCATGCCTGTAATCCCAGCTACTTGGGAGGCTGAGGCAGGAGAATTGCTCCCGGAAGACAGAGGTTGCAGTGAGCCGAGATGGTGCCACCGCACTCCTGGGCAACAAGAGTGAAATTCCGTCTCAAAAAAAAAAAAAAAAAGGAGACCAAAAGAAAAAAAGAAAAACTGAATGCACCACATGGCTGGTTTTTTGTTTTGTTTCACTTTGTTCTTGTGTGTTGGATTTTTATTGTTTTTGTTGCTCTAAAGGGTATTCATTGATAAGTCAATTGGGATAATTGATGAAATATGAATAAAGCCTATAGGTTAGCTACAACGATAGTATTTAATGATTGTAAAACAGTTAATAAGAGAATATCCTTGTTTTTAGGAAATGCACATTGAAGGATTGGGTATTATATCTGCAACTTTCTCTTCAACAGTTCAGTGGGGCAAAAGGAGAGAGAGAAGGATAAAACAAATGTGGTAAAATGTTAACATTTGGGAGATGTGGTGAAGGTTATAAAAGAATTCTTTGTACTATTCCAGCAATTTTCCTGTATGTCTAAAATTAGATTAAAATTAAAAACTAGAATAAAAGAGTTAAGCAGGTAATTTATACTTGTTAGGGGTCAGGATAGTGAAAGTTAATATCTGACATGAAGTGCCAAAATATAAACCTAACTGCAATATGTTCTGAAAAGGTTGCCTAAGCCAATTATGTCCTACATACACCTTCTAAAGAATGAGACTTGAAATAAAATGGATCTACTTAGGACCTTACTTGAGGATAAAAGTTAGTAAAGTACCCAAAGGACTGGATTATAAATTAGCAGACTCATCTAAGCCATGCAGCCCAATGTCACTGTACCATATGGAAATTGAAACACGTGCCTTCAGACAGTGGTTGAGGAAGCATTTTTCTTCTAAAAGTTTGGAAAGTGAATTACCTTACCTAGAAATGTTTGGTTCTATTTTAGATTAATTTAAAACCATTAAATATGAATACAATTGTATAAGAATAAATGTATAGAATAGAATAGGATAAAAATGAAAACATTCTGGCTGCATTAGTACTAAAGCTAATGTGATGGATATAAAACTTCAAGGAATCCACAACAAATCTGTAATTTGTGAAAACTTTCCTTAAAATTTAAAAACCACTACCTTTTCTTCAGAGCATTTCCAGAAAATACCATGAATATACAAGTCAGAAAAATTATTGCATGTGCTAAAACAGAGACAATCAACATCAACTGAAGAAATGGCTTCACGGGAAAAAGGATTGATGGTTGTTTGGAAATATGCCCACAAATTATTTGACTCTCCCCTCAAAAAAGGTGGAACCTAACTGCCTTCCTCCCTGAGTATGGGCTAGACTTAGTGCCACGTTATAACAAATCAAATATAGAAGGAGTAACAGTGTTATATTCAAAACAGGACATAAAAGGCACATGGTTTCCTCCTTGCTCTCTCTTGCATCACTTGCTCTGGATGAAGCTAGCTGACATGTTATAAGGATACTCATGCAACCCTATGAAATTTCTGAGGTCCCCTACCAACAGCCAGCAAGGAACTGAGGCCTCCTGTCAACAGCCATGTGAGTGTACCATCTCGGAAGCAGATCCTCCAGCCCCAGCCCCAGCCCCAGTCAAGCCTTCAGATGACTGCTATAGCAATGGTCAAAAGCTTGATTGCAACTCATCAGTGACTCAGCCAGAACTACCCAGCTACGCTGGTTCTGAATTCCTGACCCACAGAAATCATAAGATTAAAAAATGTTTGTTGTTGGCTGGGCACGGTGGCTCACGCCTGTAATCCCAGCACTTTGGGAGGCTAAGGCGGGCAGATCATCTGAGGTCTGGAGTTTGAGACCAGCCTGACCTACATGGAGAAACCCCGTCTCTACTAAAAATACAAAATTAGCCTGGCGTGGTGGCGCATGCCTGTAATCCCAGCTACTCCAGAGGCTGAGGCAGGAGAATGGCTTGAACCCAGGGGGCGGAGGTTGCTGTGAGCCGAGATCGTGCCACTGCACTCCAGCCTGGGCAACAAGAGCAAAACTCCATCTCAAAAAAAAAAGTTTGTTGTCTTAAGCAGCTAAATTTTGGGATAATTTGTTACACAGCAATAGATAACATAGAATTTGATTTAACAGTTATTCCATTTGCAGAATTATAAATTTATAGAAATATTTCTTGTAAAATTAACTGAAATTAACTATCATTTACAAAGATAGTTACAGTCTATATTTCCAGGAATGTATAAAATAGGACCAAAGAGTGACTTAGTCAAACTGCAAGGAATGAAAACCTTGCAAGTCAGAATAACTACACTGAACCATAAATAGAATGTATTAATTTTGTAAATAGGTTTAAAAATAAACACCTAAGTGGAGGAAATAAGTAATGTGCAGAGAAGGGAGATTAGCTGGGAAATCTCAGGTAAACATTGTTTGGGGTGAAGTTTTAAGGGATTTTTTAAAAGAGTTGACTTTACTAAAATGTAAACTTGAAAAATGTAAACTTGAACTGTACTTGAAAAAGTACAGTTCCTCCTCTAGAAAACTTGGCACCTATACATAAAGAAGTGGGGCTGGGTGCAGTGACTCACACCTGTAATCCCAGTACTCTGGGAGGCCAAAGTTGGAGGATCCCTTGAGCCCAGGAGTTCAAGAACAGCCTAGGCAAACAGTGAGACCCTGTCTACATAGAAACAAAAATAAATTAGCCAGGCATGGTGGCATGCACCTGTCATCCCAGCTACTCAGAAGCCTGAGAAGGGAGAATTGCTTGAGCCCAGGAGGTCGAGGTTATAGTGAGCTAGGATCACACCACTATACTCTAGTCTGGGCAAGAGAGCCAGACCCTGTCTCTATTTGAAAAAAATAAAAATAAATAAAAAGTGGGAAATCTGAATATTCATGTAAGATCTCCTGTGAGTCAACTAAAAAATAACTGGGGTCAAATACAGCACGTCTTCATAGGAGAATCAGCACTGGGGCCATTAATTATCCAGCCCCCATTCCCTTCCATCCCTAACTATATTATCAAATTGTCTTCAAACATTTAGGCAGTTACTAAAATTCTAACTTCCTCCAGTAACTTTTCCTAAAACAGTAGAAATGAGACTGCATTTCTACATCAAGATATTAACATGCTGAAGACCCATGGTGACATAAGGAATTGGCATGAAGTAAAAAGAACACAGGCTGCAGAGTCCACACCTGGGTCTGTACTGGAGCCCAGTCCCACTTCTCACTGGCCACAAGCTACAGACAAACAGTTCCCATTCTGGAACTCAGTTACCTTATTAGTAAAATGGAGATAATGTCAAATTGACAAGGTTGTCATTACAAGGATGAAACAGTATATAGAAAGGGCCTTGCATAATGTAGCCATTAGATAAATAGCACCTTGTTTTTAATTACTCTTTTGCTTATATGCATTATGCATATACTTCCCAAATCAAGAAAATAGGGACACAGACTGCCAGAATATTTTTGTGTCTCATATTCAGATGCAAAGGCAGCCCAGGAGGTTAATGTGGACTTATGACATGTTATAATTTCTGAAACATTACAATAGCTTATGAGTTGCTGTTAAAACTGAACACTTAGCTGCTTAAGAAGCCAGAGTACCTAGTCTGTAATCAATATTTATACAGTACTTATCGTATTCTTTTTATTACTCCAAATATGTTCTTTCTCCTCTATCAAATTACAAATTTGATTGCTAAAAAAAAAATATACATCTCTATACGCGTCATGGCCCCATCCCTATACTCGTCATGGCCCCTTGAATACATAAGGCTGAATGAATTTAACTTCAAGTCCTCAATGTCTCTTCCTTCAATATAATCTTAAGATTATAAAAGTCAGGCTCCTTCACCCTGACAATATGCATACATGTGTGCACATTCCTTTCCCCAAGTAAAACCAGAATTAGGTGCACAAGGCAATTATTGTTTTCTCTATGCCCAGCACTTCACACGATTTCTGGCACACTATAAATGCTTAATGAATGTTAGCTGGGAGATAAATGAGAGAGAACAAGCACCTAGGCAGAATAGTGAGTAGCTAAGCTGTCAGTCATGAAGCTCCAATTTAACTCCAATTTCACTCCCTTTACAAATGTGTTTATAATTTTGCACAGCTACTGTTTTATTTCCTTATATAGTGGAACTCCCTTATAACTTCCTCTCACTAGGACTAACATGTGTGCTATATGCCAAAAGTCTTCAGTATATGAAACATGTAAAACCCAAAGAATATTGGCAAGCAAAGAATATGTCCTTAGATTCAGATTCTCTACATCCATGTTTCTGTGATTATACCTCTTCCTGTTTCTTTCCTGTGGGTTTTGCTCATTTCACCCATCTTATCTGTAAACTTCCCAGGAACAGGGAATATATTATTTGCTTCCCTTTTAAGACTCAATGTGCCTAATACAGGACACAGACTGGAATCCTGGCACATATTATTAAAAATTATTTTGCAAACTGGATTGTTCCTTTTTTTTAAAAAAAAAGGGGGGGGAGAGGGCATCTAACACAAAGTCAAATGCACATAGCTACACACCAGATATATGAAAGAAATTTTCTGTAGTTATTTTGTGTGTGTGTAAAATTAGAAATCATATCCTCCCCATGACTCATCAGAGATAAAAGAGGATAAATGAAATCTGTGTGTGAGGTACATGCCATCATGCACCAGGACAGTATTAAGCAGCTTCAAAGGTTATTGCTATGTATCAGGCATTATAATAGATTCTGGAGAAAACAAAAATAAGAATGAGATAAGCTCTACGAAATTGGAAATCAGACTGGTAGACCTAGAGAGTCTGGAGGCTGTTAAAATTCTTATTCTTCTCTAAACTATCTCCTGGTTCTCCATACACTTCAACCACTTTGTTAGTGCTGGTTCCTTTTCTTTCATCTATCCTCTAACAGCACCATCAGCATCACCTGGGAACTTGTTCAAAAATGCAATTTTTCAAGCCCCAGTCCACACCTACTTAATCAGAAACTATGGGGGTGGGACCCAGAAATCTGTGCTTTACCAAAGCCTCCAGCTATTTCTTTTTTTTTTTCTTTTTTGAGATGGAGTCTCGCTCTGTCACCTAGGCCGGAGTGCAGTGGCCTAATCTCGGCTCACTGCAATGTCCACCTCCTGGGTTCAAGCGATTCTCTTGCCTTAACCTCCTGAGTAGCTGGGATTACAGGTGTGCACCACCCCACCCAGCTAATTTTTATATTTTTAGTAGAGATAGGGTTTCACCATGTTGGCCAGGCTAGTCTCAAACTCCTGACCTCAAGTGATCCACCCACCTCAGCCTCCCAAAGTGCTGGAGTTACAGGCATGAGCCACCACACCTGGCCACCTCCAGGTCTACCCAATGCATTTTCAAATTTTAGAACTACTATGGTTTGCATGTGTCCTCCATGTGTTAGAGGAGACATGATTCCCCAATGCAACAGCAGTGAGTGGTGGGATCTTTAGTGATTAGGCCATGAAGACTCTTTTCTCATGAATGAATTAATGCCAGTAGAGTGGGAATAGGTTGACATGATCAGTTCAGCCCCCTTCCCTCTCTCTCTCACCCATGTGATGCCTTCTGCCATGTTATGACACAGCAAGAAGGCCCTCACCAGATACTGGCACATTGATCTGGGACTTCCTAGCCTCCAGAACTATCAGGAAATAAATTTCTGTTCTTTATAAATTAACCAGACTGTTCTTTATAAATTAAACTTAGATCAGTTCTTGTCTTAGTTTGTTTTGTGCTGCCATTATGAAACATAAAATATGAAATAGCAGCACAAAACAAAGACAAGAACTGATCCAAGTTTAAATACTGATTTAAACGTCCAAAAGTTCCATTCACCATCTTTTCCAGTTCTCACTCTCCATTTTTCTGGCATTGGGGCCTCTCCTACTATCTCTACATCTATAACTACTACTAACAATAACAGCAACAGCTGCCATTTATTATATTAAGCATCTATAAGACAGGCATTGTGTTAATCACTGTGCACATAGTACCTTTGTGTTAATCACTGTGCACATGTATAATCTCCACAATTCTTTAATTCAGATAAGAAGCCTAGGCTTAGAGAAGTTAAATAACTTGCCAAAGGTCAGCCAACCAATAAACAGCATAACAGAGATTTGACCTGCCATCTTCCTAACTCCAAAGTCCACTAAGTTAACTACTATACTAACATGCCTCCTAGAAGGTTGCTACTCCCACAGCCTCAGCGGACATCTATATTACAATTGTCCCTAACCATCTCATAAACTCTGAAGTAGCATTTCCAGTTACTTAGTGGATCTCTCTTTTTAAACTCCCCACAGAAACCTCAGAATTAACACTGCCATTATTTCTTCTCTCCACTTCAAACCTGTTCCTCTTCCTGTGATTTCTAACTTAATGTCATCATAAGCAAACAGTTGCTCAAACTAGACATATTATCTTTGACTTCTCACTCTCCCTTACCTCTAGCTGGTCATAAATGTAGAGATTTTAACATCTAAAAATGTCTCCAAAATCTATCCATTCCCATTGTCCAACATTTCTCACCTACACTCTAGTCTCCCTGCCTCTCTACTCTAATGCAATCTGCACACGAACTGTCAACTTTCTGATTATTCTACCTTCTATGGCTCTCCACTGCCAATGGATGGGAGGAGTCTAGACTTTTTAGGATGAAGTGGAAGACCCCCTCATAATTTGGCTCCAAAAACAGCTTCCTGCCTCATCACTTCCCCCATGCAATAAGAAGTGATTAGGCCCTCATGAATGGATGAATGCCATTATAGCAGGAATGGGTTCATTATCTCAGGAATGGGTTCTTGAGATGAGTTCAGCCCTCTCCCCTCTCTTGCCCACAAGAAACAACTCAAGATATTTCCAAAAGCGCTATTTAATTTTAATATTCAGCAACTTTGCTTATGCTGGCCCCTGGAATGCTCTCTTCCACCTCTACATGTGGCGAAATTTTATTTAACCCTCAGAGCTAAGCTCCATCCCCTTCTTCTCAACATGTTCCCTATCAGTTTTTTCTCCAGCCAAAGCACTCTACTCCCCCAGCACATTATTCATTCCAAAAGTGATTAATTTGTCACAGCACATAATGGTTAGTGGTTTATCTCTTCTGATGAACACTTAGTATGCTGAGCATATACTGTGTCTTAACTTCTTTGTCTTCCCAGCACCCAACGAAGTGTCTCGCCATAGCCAGCACCCAGTAAGTATCTGCTGAGTTGTTAAATAATGCAACATTTGCAGTTGTAACTTTACACATCTTGGTTAGCAATTCAACTTCAGGTTTACATACCACTCAAAAGAATTTTCACATAACAGAAGATGTTATAAATAAAGACCAAGGGTTCAATATTCAGCAGCAGGGTCTTTAATTATTCTGAAATCTCTTTGGTCAGTATTTTTAAGCATCGTTCATCAGAAAGACTCCTTTCCCAACTAACATTTGTATATTTTACAGGATCAGCAGTAAAGACAAACCTCAGAGAGATAATCCCAAGCAAAACTATGTCACTGAGTGTGACTGGATGACTATTGGTACATCATTTCAGTAAATTTCCAATACAATGGCCCAAGTACATCAGGTAGATTTTAGATAATGAGACATGCACCACTGACTACCTAAAATACATGCACATTAGTGAGGCATCGATTCCAATTAGTAATTGAAATCAAAAGTATATTAACAACCTGATATTGGTTCAAGCGTAATATCCTTTACTTTCAAGTAAGGATAACACTTATTCTTGTCAAAGACTGTACTCTGATTAATACAACCTCTATCCCACCTTACAAGAAGGCTGTATCTTGTTAACAGTGGGATGCTGATAAGCCCGCCTTAATCCTTAACACTTTGCCTTCCCAACCTGCTAAGCCATCTCTCTCCAGTATTCCCCTATAAGAGACGTTCCGCTCCAGTTACCAGACATAAAAGTCGTCTTGGTATATCCTCCAACAACCAAATTCACATTATTATTTTCTCAGCTCCTGGTTTATTTCCTAACAAATTTTAACTTCTTTCAGAGACCAAGTCAAATCTTGCCTCTTTCAAAGAGTTCCCTAACTCAGCCTACACATCCTATCTTTTCTGATTTTCTACCACATTTATAGTCCTCAAACAGCACTGGTTACCTGCTACTTAACTTGGTTTTATAATTATTTTATACATCTCCTAGCTAGACTACTGCTCTCAAAGGGAAAAAAAAGACAGGTCTTCTATGTCATTTTTCACTCCATAATCCTCCTCCCACACCTATCATGATACTGGGCAGAGGGAGGCACATGTATTAAGTACTTGATGGACTGAACTCAATGCTTTCTATACATAGATACACCACTTGAGCATAGTGTGCTATATAACAAATATCCATTGCATGCCTACTCTGTGGCAAGCACATTTTTCCTATGTGTTAGACATAGGGCAAGGAGGAAAACACAGATGACTCCTGTCCTAAAAGCTATTACAGTGGAGGGAGGAAGACACTTTGAATTCCGAGTAATCTAATAAGTGTTACAAAGCAAGGTTATTACTGGTTCCAAGAGGTAACATACTTTACAGATTCTCAGTTATGAAACAGAATCATAGAATTTTAGACCTAAATGAGAACCTTGAACTTATTTTCCTCTATCCTCTTACACAAAACATTAGATTTCAGTACAGCCTATCTTTTCACTGGTTCTACAAATTGCCTTAATCAACAGAAAGAAAAGACTGGCTTCTTCCCTGTCTCCAATATTCCTCGCTCCCAAGTATGGTAACCACAACCCCTATACATCTACCCATGATAGAGTCCAGAGCACTGAGAAGACAGCACAGGGCTGAGGATGAGCTACACCTTTACATGCTGGGTTCTCCCATCATCAACACTTTCCGCCCACACAGTGAACAGAATCCGTATTTTCTGCCCAGAAAATAGCAGCCTGTACTGCCTTTAGGAAAAACAAACAAAACATGCTTCCATACTTCCTTGGATCTACTAATGACAAAAGCACAACACGGTTCTGGGAAATATAGCAAGATAACTAAGTCTATGAGGAAGTAAGAAATGAGGATGCCTATCAGCACCTTGGTCTCAAAATCTGTAACAACAATGTACTAAAACGCCAAGGAAACACATGCACATACATGTGAAGTTAGAAACTCTAGGCAACAGGTTGGCTGCCCCGGATCTATACTGACAGGTCGCCCTCCCAAGGTCGTGGGTGTGTCTGATGCCGCACGCAGGCACTGATTCACAACTCTCTCCATAACAACCAGCTCCTACTCAGAGGCTGGCCAGGGCAGGGGAGATGAGGGCCCCAGCAGTCCCAAACTTTCCAAACCCCCACCCCGGGGTCCCGGGTTTCGCCTCCTCAGTCCCAGGCAACGTCGTCTCAGACAGGATACGAGACTGCTAGGGAACCTGGGCTGCCCCTGATTCGAACTCCTCTCTTTGGGAGGCTGGTAGAGCCACCCCGAATCCCCGAAACGTCTACTTCCCACTACACCTTCGTGGACTGCGAACGGGACGGCTACCGCTCTCCCAGAGCACCCGGGCCCAAGAAATGACCCTCGTCAGGCCCCGTCCCAGCTCCTCCCCCGCCCCCGGAAAAAGCGGCGGAGGGGCGGGGGGCGGTGCGCGCGGATACGGCGGGGGCGCGCGTCCCCGCGCCGCAGGTGCGGCCAGGCCCCACCTCCCCTGCAAGGACCCGGCTACTCACCCCAGCGATGCTCCTCTGAGACCAAGCTGCGACACAGACGCCTCTTCCGCCCGCTCCGCACCCCTCTCTGCGCCACCGCCCCCTTGGCCGCTTCCGTGGCCGCCGTCCTCGCCGCCGCCCCGGCTGCTGCGGCGCGCGTCCGCTTTCACGCACTCCGCCGTGGCCGCGCACGCGCCACTGCGCGCTGGCGTCACTTAGCAACCGATCGACAGCGGGCTGCTGGGTCCGGCGATGCAGGCCCAGAAAGTCGCCTAAGGCAGCTTCCGCGGCTTTTTCGCATCGGCCCGACCCTCTGCCCCTCCAGAACAGGGGGCCCCAGGGTGTGGCTGCCCTGCCGGCACCTGGCTCCGGGTAAGTCGAGTCACCACACGTCACTGTATGGCGTCACCGGCGCACGTCACTACGGATGAGAAGGTCCTGGGCGCCTGTGGAGTGACCTCGTCCAGACCGCCGCAGACCCGATCGGCAAGTTCTTGGAGGTGCAGGAAGGTTCTCCAAGGAGTAGGACCAGAAAGGGATGAGAGCGCGAGCGCGGTTAATGTCGAGGCTGCTAAGTGATGCTCGTTAATTTCGCAGCAGGGTGTGACTGGCCCAGCCTTGACTCTCAGTTTCCTCTCTCAGTAAATGGGCATAATAATACCGGTCCAGCCTACGCTGGAGAATTGTGAGGTGAAAATGAAATAAGGTATGCAAAGGTACTTTGTAAGTATAAAGCCCATTTGACTTGGTGGCTCAAGCCTGTAATCCCAGCACTTTGGGAGGCCGAGGTGGGCGGATCGCTTGAGCTCAGGAGTTCGACACCAGCCTGGGTAACATAGTGAAACCCCGTCTCTACAAAAAAGACAAAAACTAAATGGGCATGTTGGCGCGCGCCTGTAGTCACAAATGCTCGGGGGGCTGAGGTGGGAGGATCGCTTGAACCTGGGGAGTTCAAGATTGCAGTGAACCGTGATCGCGCCGCTGCACTCCAGCCTCTGCAGTGAGAGCAAGACACTGTCTCAAAAAAATGTATTTATCTATCTACATAGATAAGAGTCCTAGAAATCCGGGTGCAGGTCTGACTGTAGCTGGTGTAGGAAAGTCAGTTATCCCCGACGCTGGAGCAAGCTAGGGGACCGCCCTTGCAGTTGTTGGAGGAGACAAATTGGGAAGGACTTAATTCCGGGCAAAGGAAGCTTCATGAGTAAAAGTAGAAAGTGAAAATGGTCAGGAAAAGCAAGGCTTGGGGCAGGGAGACCCATTTTTAGGCCATTGCAGTACTCCAGACAAGTGATAAGAACATTAAACAAGGCATTGGCAGTGGGAATAGAGGAGGGGATAGATGTTAGCGCCATTAAGGTGGTAGAATTCACAGCACTGAGTGCGGATAAATGAGTAGGCCAGGTTTCTAGCATGAGTGCTGAGGTAGACAGTGGTAACATTTAGCAAGATGGCAAGCTACATGAGTCTTGATTATCCACAAGTGTCTAAGTTACTATTATAGATAGTGATGGTGACATTTCTTAGGAGGATGACCAGATATGTGGAGTATGATGATGAGTTCAAATATGGATATGTTTGTTAGGGAAACATTTACTCTCCATTCACAATGTCTTTCTTCCATATGGAATGATATCCATTAGTGTAATACTCTCCTGGTTTCTCTTATACCTGTCTGCAACTCACTCTTGCCTAGAGGAGTGACTTCCTGATTGGTGAACTTAAATGGGAGAAACTGGACATGTGGCATCTATCCCATTCTTTTTCTCTTAAAAGATAACTATCTTCAGGGAACTGTCCTGGTGTTCTTTTCCGTTTCTTCTGGAGCAGGGCCTGTGGGTAGGGACAAGGGTGCCTAGTCCAGGGCTACAAAGAGAGTATATGTATTTAATTCCAGAGTTTGGCATTAGGAAGCTGTCTGTCCACAGATAATATTTAATACCAGCTTTGTCAGCTGTGTTACACAGAATAATGATCCCCCCCAACCAAAAAAAAAAGGATGACCACACCCTAATACTCAGAACCCATGAATATGTTATATTATGTGGCAAAAGGGACTTTGCAGATATGATTAAATGATGTATCTAGGGAGATTATCCTGGATTGTCTGACTGGGCTGGAGGCAGGAGGGTCAGAGTCAGAGAAGGAGATGTGATGATGGAAGCAGAGGTCAGACAGAGATTTGAAGATGCTATACTGTTGGCTTTGAAGATGGACCCAAGAAACGCAAGCAAATTGTAGATGCGGGAGAAGGCAAGGAAATGGATTCTTCTCTAGCACCCTAAGAACACAGCCCTGCCAACACCTTGATTTTAGGACTTCTGACTTCTAGAACTGCGAGATAAGAAACTTGTATGTTTTAAGGTACCAAGTTTGTGCTAACTTGTTACAACAGCAATAGGAAACTGATACAGTCAGTAATAAAGATAATAGTTGGTTTCCTGCAGCTTTCTCCATTACCTGGAAAAGAAGGGTACAATTCAGTAGGTCCCCTCAGAGACTATAGCAATATGACTGTGACCTGATGGAACCTCCACATCTAGAGAAAAATGTCCAATAAACACTCAAACTGTACAGGTCTATGAATGAGGAAAGAGGTTGAGTTAAAATAGATTTGGAAGAAATAAATTAATAATTGGTAATTTAAGCCCGAGGCATGGATGAGATCAATCAGGGAGAAAATACAGAAGACATAATAAGGAGAGGCAAGGATAGGGCCCCTGGAGAGCACTAACTTTAAAAGGAGGTGCAGATGATCAGAAGCCCAAAAAGAAGTCTGAGGAAGAATGGCCAGAGAGAGAAAAGGAGAACTAGGTGAGCCTAATGCCTCTGAAGCCAAGCAAGCAAGATGGAGAGGGGTCAACAGAGTCAGAGACCACAAAAAGGCCAAGTATATCAAGAACTGGAAAGCATTCACTGGATTTAGCAACAGAAAAGTGATTGGTAACCAACAATAGCAAACTTCAGTGGGATAGTGGAGATAGATACCAAATCACTGAGATCTGAAAGGCAGATCAATATAGTGGATTGGCCTCTAGACTAGTTTGATGGGAGTTTTGAGATTCTAGTCTTGATTCTGGCCATTAACTAGCTAGATAACTTTGAACAAATCCCTCAACTACTCCAGGCTTTGGTTTTCGCATCTGGCAAAGGATGAGATCAAGCTGAGTCTATGATTTTCTCATTAATTCCTAGATAATCCCCCCAGTTTTATTTTTTTATTTTTTGTCATATCTGATTCAATACTTTTATTTATTTTTATTTTTTATTTTTGAGACAGCATCTTGCTCTGTTGCCCAGTGTGGAGTGCAGTGGTACAATCTTGGCTCACTGCAGCCTCAACCCCCGGGCTCAATCACCCCAATTTCATATCAGACTCACTTGCTTATAACAGCACACTTCAAATCCTTCTCAGACCATTTTCCAACCACTAAGAATCAGTATATTTCATGCCAGCTTCTGTCCTAGATACTATGGCTATAACACAGTTTTCAAGGAACTCACAATTTGGAGAGAGAGAGAGAAATACTAAGTATGTAACTAGCTGTCATAGTTCTTTAAAAAAAAAAAAAGAAAAAAAAGTAAGGCCAGGCGCGGTGGCTTATGCCTGTAATCCTAGCACTTTGGGAGGCCGAGGCGGGTAGATCACCTGAGGTCAAGAGTTTGAGATCAGCCTGACCAATATGATGAAAACCCGTCTCTACTGAAAATACAAAAATTAGCCGGGCATGGTGGCATATGCCATCATCCCAGCTACTCAGGAGGCTGAGACAGGAGAATCACTTGAATCCGGGAGGCAGAGGTTGTGTAGAGCCAAGATCTCGCCATTGGACTCCAGCCTGGGCAACAAGAGCAAAACTCTGTCTCAAAAAAAAAATTAAAATAAGTAAATAAATAAAAATAAAAAATAATAAGATAGACCTGATTGTGGTGGCTCATGCCCCGTAATCCCAGTGCTTTGGAAGGCCAAAATGGGAAGATCACCTGAGGCCAGGAGTTTGAGACCAGCCTGGGCAATATAGCCAGACACCCATCTCTACAAAAATTTTCTAAAAATTAGCCAGGTGTGGTGGTGCGCACCTGCAGTTCTAACTACTTGGGAGGCTGAGGCAAGAGGATTGGGTGAGCCCAGGAGTTTGAGGTTACAGTGAGCTATTACCAGATTACAGTGAGCTATGACTGTGCCAGTGCACTTCAGCCTGGGCAACAGAGCAAGACCCTAAAAGCTAGATATAAATATATTGTAAGTATAATACAATATACTATAACAGAATCTGTATGAAGTGAAATGAGGGATATATAAAGTGATACAGATAAGGGCGCAGTTAGCTCTATCTAATGGAAGTCAAGAGTGTTGTACTTACCTACACTGTTAAGTAAACACAGTATGCCTCAAAAATGGACACAAATATATTAAGGCATTTCCATGGAGGTAAAAAAAGAACAGGAGAATTGTGCTAAACCAGCGTTGTCACCTAACATTCCTTCTAGGTAGTTTTGTTGTGATCTAAATGAATATTTATATATAACTGTTTCTAAACTAAAATTGGTTAGTTGTTAAAATGGACACAAATAAAAGTTAAATGCAAGAATAATTTATATTTTTCCAGTAGATTCAAGAGGAAATATTTTTTGTCACTAATGCCATGCTTTAATACATTTGCTTGTCTAATCCTCATGTATTATCTTACTTAATTTTGTAAACATTAGCTTATTGTATAGATCACTGACAAAGTATCTGTTTTAGCAGATAGGGACAAAGTTTAAATAATTTGGCCAAGGTCATAGTAGACCAAGATTTGGACCCAGCACAAGCATCCTCTTTCCAGGAAACCTTCCCTCAGGCCCTTAGTTGGTTTAAGTGCCCTCTCTCTGTACTATTAGCATATGCACACACATTCATTTTAGCGTTGACTTTAATAATAAGGATGTTTACCATGTACCAGATACATAGTACTTGCACCTATGTTATCTATGTTTAAGTGTTTTGTAGGCATTAGTTCATTTAAGCCTCATAACTGCCCTTTGAAGTAGGTGATATTATTCACAATATTTTATAAAACAGGAAGCCAAGGCATAGAAAGTTAAGTAATTACTCAAGGTACAATTAATAAGTGATAAAGCTAGGATTCGAATCCATGCTTTTAACCCCCCAGGCTTCATACTATGTACCCTTTCCCTTATACTGAGGAATTCTAGAAGGCATAGTTGACAGGTTGTTGTGTGTGATATCACTCTGTGTTCCTCATATGAACACAAGAGAATTTTCTCTCTGAGCCACAAGTCATGAAATATTTGGCTACCCTTGAGTAACTGATGTGTTTTCTCTTTATAGGCAATGTGAATTATATAACTGCCTGTTTTTCACTTTTCACTTTGCCAAGAAGCTCTGAGTAAATTTGTTGGCTCAGCGTTTGTAAGTGGGTGAATTGGCCTGCATATCTGTATTCTGTTGCTTTGAAATTTTTAAAAATAAATAGTTGAGAGAAAAATAATGTAAATTTTCTTTATTTTCCAAATTGTTGACAATGTACAATGATAATTTTTATAATTAGAAAAATAAACTTTGTTCTTAAAAGAACGTTTGAAGCTTCAAATGATTTCTCATGCTTTGACTCTGTGAATAAGAGCTGGTTTCAGGTTAAGTTGCATGAGTTAAATATAGAATCCAGGTTCATATAAAACCAAGACTTCTGTATGACCTGGAAAGTCCAGATCAATAGAATTGTTCAGACGGATCAAAAAGTATTTTAGGTAGCATAAAATAGTTGTAGCCCTTCTTGTTTTTAACTTATGTTTAAGTAATTTGAAACCACTTTTAGGTTATTTGGACACATGCTCCCTCGCTTTAGAAATCAAAAAACCCATTATCTTCCTATATGCTGATGATATTTTATTATAATAAACTTTATGGCTGATTTTGTTGCTCACCGTTTATCAGAAGGAATGGATCAAGATCACCTGTTCCAAAACTAAAATAATTTTTTAGGGCACATGTCCTCAAATTTAATTGGCTTAGATCCAGTAACTAAATACCACGTTAATTTATTTACTTAAGGGTATGTTTTGCAAGTAATTCTTCCAGGTAGATTTACTGGCCAGCCACTTTGCTAAAAGCCATACATTTCATGGGAGCATTAATTAGATTTTCCTACCGTCAGAGTGAGCAACTGATCATTTCTTCTTTGAAAAATTTCAATCCAAATTTTGATCATTCTCCAACAGAGCATTCTAATGCCTAAATGGCCTAGGCAGGTGGGTAAGTACTCTATACTCAGCCCAGCAGATTGTTGCTATGTGGTATAAGCATCCAAAGTTGCCAGATTTGAAATCTGTTGACCTCTAAATATTGGTAACTAATGGGAATTTTTTTTAAAGAAAAGAAAAACATGACTTGTCTGTGAGTTCGCAGACCTCTTGCTCTATTGGATGGAACTTGATGGTCTTGAACACTTATTTTTTTTATTTTTGAAGTGTTGTTTTTTTAAGGAAAATCCTAGATTGCCTGCAGGGGCTCTCTCTATTCACTACCATATGGAGAGGAATGTTCCTATTTAGGTGAGAATCTTAATAGGGTGACTCACTCTTCACAAAAGGCTGTCAGCCCTCTACCATCTGCTTTTTAGATTACTGAATTCTAAACAGTATGTATCTGCCTTTAGTCAGCCACACAATATTAGCTGGTCCATCAGGACACTGCATACCTGACCATATTGTCCTGAGCACACACACAGAAACTTTCCTCATCCACCACCAAGAGTGTTTTCATGGCTTGTATTTTGAGTATTGTGTCTTCTGCATATGTTAAGCAATTCTGGAAGAGACAACTCCACAGAGCCCACCAGTGCATTGTGTGGGCAAATAGGCAAAGCTTCCCCTCTGCCCTCTGAAGCTGTGCTGAAAATGAACTGACAATATGCAGATTAGGAGAAAAGGGTATGCAAATTTATTAACGTGCATAAGCACAGGGGAATCACAGGAGAATGATTATCCAGTAACACAACGAGGTCCAGATGCTTATATACCCTTAATAAGAGAAGGAGAGATGGGGGAGATGTGGTAATTTTAAGGGACAGTAAGTTATTTTTAGGAGGAATAAATGGCTCCAATGCTCAGGCAATGGTTAGTAAATGATTCTCTTTGGGAATTGAGTGGGAAGGGAAAGTGGATGATAGTTTGGGACAAAGTTTGGGCTCTACATGTGGTGTTTAATTTTCAGTCTCTTCCTCTGATGTGAGGTTTAATCTCTAGTTAATTTCAGGGAGGGAATCAAAGGCAATTGTGTTCCTCTTTGATGGGTCCAATTTATAGGTATATAAGGGAACTAAAGAGAAGAGCCTCATCCTGAGCTTTAGGAGAGATAAGATTGGAGATGGGATGTGGGTGAAGAGGTGTCAGATTTTGAAGCTGCTTCTTTAGTACTTCAAAGTGCCATATATTGGGGTATCATCTTCTAAGCTCCAATAGCTTTTACTATAGGATTGTTACTGTGCACTTGATCACATGAGAATTTTCTTTCAGAGCCAGGTATCATGAAGAGCTTGGCTACTCTTGAATAACTGATGTGTCTTGCTTACAGCAAGTGAATTGCATAGCTGGATATGTGTTCCTTTTCACCTTAGCTGCCATGAAGCTCTGAGTCAAAGTGTGGCTCCATTTTAGTGCCTGAGTAGAAACCTGTGGTCTGTATATCTGCATTCTAATTTGTTTTCTACTGGTACTGAACCTTGTACTTAAGTTTGGGTTTTCTCCTTCTCTGGTTTATCTATAATTTCCTTTTGCGACGGAATCTCACTCTATTGCCTGGGCTGGCTGGAGTGCAATGGCGAATCTCAGCTCACTGCAACCTCCGCCTGCCGGGTTCACGCAGTTCTCCTGCCTCAGCCTCCCAAGTAGCTGGGATTACAGGTGCATACCACCACGCCTGGCTAATTTTTTGTATTTTTAGTAGAGATGGGGTTTCACTATGTTGGCCAGACTGGTCTTGAACTCCTGACCTCATGATCCACCCACCTCGGCATCCCAAAGTGCTGGGATTATAAGGGTGAGCCACTGCACCCAGCCGGCTTACCTATAATTTTCTACATTCTGTTTGTAATTTCACTAGCCACTTCAAGTTGTTTGTGAAAAAACTAGGAAAATGAATGGTAAATACACTTATGATGACTATCTTATTCCTAGTCCCTTTCCCTCACTTCAGGTAAAAGTTAAAACTTATACACCTGGCCAGGCACAGTGACTCATACCTGTAATCCCAGGACTTTGGGAGGCCAAGGCAGGCAGATCAACTTGAGGCCAGGAGTTTGAGACCAGCCTGGCCAACATGGTGAAACCCCGTCTCTACTAAAAATACAAAAATGAGACAGGCATGGTGGTGTGTACCTGTAATCCCAGCTACTTGGGAGGCTGAGGCACGAGAATTGCTTGAGCCTGGGAAGCAGAGGATGCAGTGAGCTGAGATTGTGCCACTGCATTCCAGCCTGGGTGACACAGCGAGACTCTTCTCAAAAAAAAAAAAAAAAAAAAAAAAAAAACGTATACACCCTTCTCTGCTAAGAGTATATCTTGTTTATGAGTTCTCTAGCATTTTACATAAGATAAATAGAGCTAAAACGATGAATTGTCTTTTAATGTTATTGCAGCTCTGCAGCATGTCATTCTCTTAACTTTGCTTTTTTTTTTTTTTTCCTGAGGGAGATGGATAGGTGAAGTAATGGTTGACAAGCATAAGTGGGAAGCTTCAAGTCCCAGGTTCTCCCATCAAATCATTTTCTCACAATCTTGCTCAGTATTCTCTTCTAGTAGGCCAGAATTTGAAGGATTAGCTCTCTGTATATCTAATCTAAATCCTACTCCTTGTTTTAAACTCTTTGATTTCAAATATTAATGATCTGGTACTATTCACTAGTGTATCTATTTCCACATACTTTCTTTAACTGAAGGTACATGGAAGATTCTAAGCAGGATTCATTGTTGTCTTAATACATCTTTTATATTTGCTAAGTTGAAGGCAGAAAGGTAACTGAGTGCTATGACTATTCTTAGGCATTGTCATCAACACCAATGTGTCTATGATTTAATATTTTAATACTGTACTTACCTTGAGAACTGGACAGTAAAGTTGCTTTGTAAATGTAAGGTAAACATTTCAAATATACTATAATCTTTGTAGTCATATTTTGTATTTTTTCATTGCTTAATATACCCTGAGCCAAAAACAAAAAAAATAGCCTAGGCTATTTTCTACTTCAATTTTCATTTACTTGGCTACTTTGTGCCAGGCACAGAGGGGATACAGAGATGGAGGATATCGTTTCTGATCTAAAGGAGCTAACAGTCTAGAACTGCACTGTCCAGTATGGTAGCCTCTAATCACATGTGGCCATTTTAATTTAAATTAAAAATCCAGTTTCTCGGTCATACTAGCCATATTTCAAGAAGCCAATAGTGGGCGGGCACTGTGGCTCACACCTGTAATCCCAGCACTTTGAGAAGCCGAGGCCGTAGAATTGCTTGAGCCCAGGAGTTCGAGATAAGCCTGGCAAAATAGTGAAACCCCATGTCTGCAAACATAAATAAATAAATAAATAAATAATAGCGGGGCACGGTAGTGTATGCCTCTAGTCCATGCTACTTAGAAGGCTGAGGCAGGAGAATCGCTTGAGCCCAGGAATTTGAGGCTGCAGTGAGCCAAGATCTCACCATTGCACTCCAGCCCAACCAACAGAGGGAGACCCCATCTCAAAAAAAAAAAAAAGAAAAAAAATTGTCAATAGCTACTGTATTGGACAGTGCATGTATACAACATTTCTATTATTGCAGAAAGTACTTTTGGATTGTGTTGGTCTAAAACTCATATAAGACTCAGACATGCAAAGTAGGGCAAGGCAATTTCAGACAGAAAGATCGTGTGTGAAGTATGCATAAGAATGACTTGGGGGGCATGTTGATTCCTGCTGCCAGATATTCTCATTTAAGGGGTAGCAGGAGAGCCTGTGTTTTTAACAAATACCCCAGGTGATTCTGATGCGGAAGGTGTGTGGACTACACAGAAAAATCATGTAGGGTAAGTGGCAATCGCCTAATAGAATGATTCTGAACTTCCTACTTAAATGGCATCTGGTGCTTGAGCCAATCTAATTTTGACTTAGCCAGATAAGAGTGCAGTGAATACATTTGTACCTCAAGTGTTGTAGAGCATTTTGTACTCTTTAGGTGTCTAAAGACATATCAAAGGTTATAGGTGTCTTGAATTTGTCATGTACATTTTGAATACTTTAAAAGGATGTGTTTAGGTCAGGATAGGCTAGGTTATGCAACAGTAAAAACCCCAAAAACATCAATGTATTTTTCCAAAAGGGAAAGAGAGAACTCTAGAGGATCTCACACTACCAAGAGTCCAGAAAAGACAGACATCACTTCTCACAAGTCATGTCAAAACTCAACACAGAACCAACCCTAAGGAAGCCAGAAAGTGCAGTCCTACCATGTGTTCAAAAGAGAAACAGAACCAGATAAGGGTGAGCAGCACCTATGATTACCACGTGATGGTAAAGGAAATAATGGTGATCGTGCTGCAAGACAGATGAGACTTCCAGACACACATAGTGGTGGTGAGTGGCAGAGATGTGTAGGACTAGGATGAGTTTTAGAGAAATTCTTGACTGAGAGAAAGAAGCCAGCATGAAATGACGAAGAACTGAAAGTTGAGTTAGAGTGTTTTGTAGACAAACACCGTTGACTACCTCTCTCTTTAAGACAAAGGCTTGATCCTGAAAGGGATCTTAATCTAAGGTTTTGGGTTTTGTTTTGAGACAGGGTCTTGCTGTGTCACCCAGGTCAGAGTGCAGTAGTGCAATCACAGCTCACTGCAACCTCAACCCTCTGGGCTCAAGCAATCCTCCTGCCTCAGCCTCCCGAGTAGCTGGGGCTGCAGGCATGCACCACTGTGCCCAGCTAATTTCTTTTAAATTATTATTTGTAGAGATGAAGTCTCGTTCTGTTGCCCAAGCTGGTCTGGAACTCCTGGGCTCAAGCAATCCTCCTGCCTCTGCCTCCCAAAGTGCTGAGATGATAGGCATGAGCCACCATGCCCAGCCTGAAGCTTTGGGTTCTTGAGAGGATGATGTAAAATATTATGATATAGGCAAAGGGACACATCTGTAAGCTGACAGTGCTATGTCAGAGAAGGATCAAAGAGCCAGCAGTCTCAGAAGAGTCCTGCTTCTGTCTAATCTGGGGAGAAGACTGTTCAGTCCAATGCTACCTGAAGGGCCCCGGGCAGTAGACCCTGGTGTAGAAGGAGAAAAGTAGCTCCAGGAGAAGCCATTTAATTCCACTGATAGCAGGAGTCAGCTATTCTGGATTTTGGTGGTTTTGTTTTGTTTTGTTTTGTTGTGTTTTGGTCTTGGTTTACTTTCTTCAAGCTATTGAATGCCCCTATATATGACTATGATTTTTCTAATGTCTGCACACATCAGTGTGTGTATCTAAACTGTATAACTCATAAATATTCAGTGACTCACCTTGTAAAAGGATTTCAGTCTCTTGCTCTAGTGAAGCAAGATCATGTGAACACTAATCTTGACCAGCGAAATGTAAATGAAACTAATGTGTATTAGTTCTAGCTGAAGTTTTTATGCTCTCTGTTCCTCTGCCAAGATGACCAACAGTGTTCCAGAAAAAAAACTGCCATTGATTTTAGCTGAGACCCTCAGAGGCCTGTGTAGTGTGAGGAGAAATAAATCTTTGTTGTTGTAAGCCACTGATTTCGGGGATCATTGTTACTGTAGCATAACCCAGCCCATACTAACTGATATTATGTGGATTCTGTCACCATCTGTGCAGAGTAGGCCATTGAGATACATCAGGCAATGATGGATTAGAATGAAAAATAAAGGAGAAATGTATGTTCCAAAATACTGTTTTATAATGATAAAAAGCCAAATGAAGAAGATATAATTGGGCCAGGCATGGTGGTTCATGCCTGTAAACCCAGCACTTTGGAAGGCCAAGGTGGGCAGATCACCTGAGGTCAGGAGTTGGAGACCAGCCTGGCCAACATGGAGAAACCCTGTCTCTACTAAAAATACAAAAATTAGCCAGGCGTGGTGGCACGCGCCTGTAATCCCAGCTACTTGGGAGGCTCAGGCCGGAGAATCGCTTGAACCCAGGAGGTGGAGGTTTCAGTGAGCCAAGATCACGCTATTGCACTCCAGCCTGAGCAACAAGAGTGAAACTCCGACTCAAAAAAATATATATATAGTTGTTATAAATCTCTATACATCAAGCAGTTTAGTAGCAAACTACATAAGGCAAAACCTTTTAAAAAATACAAGGAGATTTTCATAAAACTATAATTTTATTAGAAGGCTTAATACGTGTTTCTAAACTTTGATGTACCAAATGACTAATAATAATAACAAGGCTATGGAGGATTTTAATTAAACCCTCAACGAGCTTGATATAATAGTTTTGAATAGAACTTAGTATCTTATAATAGAAAATACAACTATTCTTGTCCAAGGAACATTCACAAAAATCAATCATACACTTGTTCACAAAGAAAATTTTAAAATGGTAAACTTCAAAAAGAAGAAATGATACAGTGTATGTTCTCTAGCCACAATGAAATTAGAACTAATATTAAAAGATTGCAAAATAAAAATTATCTTGAGATAGAGGAAATATAAATTGCAATTATTTTCTTTTAACTTTTAGGTTTGGGGTGCATGTGCAGGTTTGTTCCATGGGTAAACTTGTCTCACAGGGGTTTGTTGTACAGATTATTTCATCACCCAGGTATTAAGCCCAACACCCAATAGTTATCTTTTCTGGTCCTATTTTTTTTAATTACAGAAGAATAGCAATGGGCACTTTACATATCAAAAGCTGTCTTGTGTAACCAAAACTATTCTCAGAGGAAAAAAATAATAAATTAACTTTTGAGACCAAGCATGGTGGCTCACACCTGTAATCCCAGCACTTTGGGAGGCCGAGGCTGGTGGATCACCTGAGGTCAGGAGTTCGAGACCAGCCTGGCCAACACGGTGAAACCCTGTCTCTACTAAAAATACAAAAAAAAAAAAAAAATCAGCCGGCGTGGTGGCACATGCCTGTATCCCAACTATTTGGGAGGCTGAGGCACGAGAATCATTTGAACCCAGGAGGCAGAGGTTGCAGTCAGCCAAGATCGTGCCACTGCACTCCAGCCTGGGCAACAGAGGGAGACTCCATTTCAAAAAAAAGTACTTTTGAGATTTAAAAAAAAAATTGTAAATAAGTGAATTAATCATTCCACTTAGAAAAAAGAAGGGAGGTCGGACACAGTGGCTCATGCCTGTAATCCCAGCACTTTGGGAGGCCGAGGCGGGCGGATCACCTGAGCTCAGGAGTTCAAGACCAGCCTGGACAACATGTTGAAACCCCGTCTCTACTAAAAATACAAAAAATTAGCCGAGCGTGGTGGTTCATTCCTGTAATCCCAGCTACTCAGGAGGCTGAGGCAGGAGAATTGCTTGAACCCAGGAGGCGGAGGTTGCAGTGAGCCAAGATCGCGCCACTGCACTCCAGCCTGGGTGGCAGAGCGAGACTTTGTCTCAAAAAAAAAAAAAAAGAAGAAGGGAAACTGAGAAACTGGGGATGGAGGTGGATATAGAAGTGTACCAGTTAGTTATGGCTACAAAAATGCTGCATAACGAACACACACAATCTCAGTGGTATACAGCGATAAGCATTTATTTCTTGCTCATGCTGATCAGCTAAGATCCCTGTGCTTCAACTGTGGAACACTCTGGAGTCCAGGTGGGAAGGGCAGTGGCTCACTGGAGCATGGTTTTCTCATGGTGACGGCAGCAGTGCAAGAGCACAAGCCTGACCACAGAAACATGTCGGGTCTCTGCCCAGGTCACATCTGCTAACATCCTCAGATCCTACCACTCTCTTTCTCACTCACTCCACTGTAATTGCTTTGGCCTCTTTGCTCTTCCTGCTGCTCTCCCTGTGCCACCACGCCAGCTGATTTTTTTTTTTTTTTTTTGTATTTTTAGTAGAGACAGAGTGCCCTCCCCTAGCACATTCATTCCCATGGCTCACTACCTCACTTCAGGTTTCAGCGTCAATGTCTTTTGTCAATGAGGTCTTTTCTGACCAACCTGTATAAAATAGCAACTTTACCTGTATTCCACCTTTCTCCATAGCAGCAACTATCAACAGCAACTTATATCTACACACATACATGTATACTTGTTTATTTATTGGCTTCTCCACTAGAATGTAAGCTCTGTGAATTTAGCACTTTGATTTGCTCACTGCTGTTTCCCCAGCACCTTTAGCAGTAACTGGCAAATAGTAGAACCTAAATAAAAATGTATTAAATGAAGAAGTGAGAAACCATTTCATACCAATCAGATTGCAAAAAGTAAAGTTTGATCCCTCCTGTTGTTAAGTTTGTGGAGCAACTTAACTCTTCAACACTGCTAGTAGACATGTATAGTACAATAGTATTATCAGTGTTTCAGAGACTGCTCATTTACTTCCAATATCAGTTTTCCCTTTCTTCCTTAGTAATAGAATCCACTATTTTTTGTAGAGCATTTAACCACCCAGAATAAAGATGACACATCCCAGTCTCTCTTGCAGCTAGGTGTGATCAGGTGACTAAGTGCTGGCCAACAGTATATACTTGGAAGTCTTTCTTCTCCTCTTCTCCCTTCTTGCTGGCTGGAATGTGTATGTGATGAGTGAAGTTTGAACATCCATATTGCACTACAAGATGAAGACCGCATGCTAAAAATGGTGGAGCAGCAAGACGGAAGTCTCCTGTATCCCTGATGATTTTGTGAAGCCACCACTCCACCCTTGCACTGCCTAGCTCTGGATTTATTTTATGTAAGTGAGAAATGTTTTGCTATTTTTAAACCCGCTATTATTTTGGGCTTAGTATCACTTGCAACTAAACCTAATCTTAATAGATAAATCACTTTGGAGAATAATTTGACATATCTAATGAAGTTGAAGATGGCATGTGCCAGGACCCAGAAATTTCACTCCTAGGTGTAACTCCTAGATGTAACCCTAGATATAGTTCTCCCAGCTGGGCACAGTGGCTCACGCCTATAATCCCAGCACTTTGGGAGGCTGAGGCAGGCGGATCACCTGAGGTCGGGAGTTCGAGACCAGCCTGACTAACATGGAGAAACCCCATCTCTACTAAAAATACAAAATTAGCCGGGCGTGGTGGTGCATGCCTGTAATCCCACCTACTCGGGAGGCTGAGGCCAGAGAATCGCTTGAACCCAGGTGGTAGAAGTTGCAGGGTGAGCCGAGATCACACCATTGCACTCCAGCCTGGGCAACAAGAGTGAAACTCTTTCTCAAAAAAAAGAAAAAAAAAAAAGAAATAGTTCTCCCATATCTATTCATGGAGACATGTACAAGCATATTCATAGTAGTGTTGCTTCTAATAAGAAAAATATGAAAGGCCGGGTGCGGTGGCTCATGCCTGTAATCCCAACACTTTGGGAGGCTGAGGCAGGCGGATTACCTGAGGTCAGGAGTTCGAGACCAGCCTGGCCAACAAGGTGAAACTCCGTCTCTACTAAAAATACAAAAATTAGCCGGGCGTGGTGGCACATGCCTGTAATCCCAGCTACTCAGGAGGCTGAGGCAGGAGAATTGCTTGAGCCTGGGAGAAGGAGGTTGCAGTGAGGCAAGATCATGCCACTGCACTCCAGCCTGGCCGGCAGCACGAGACTGTCTCAAAAAAAAAAAAAAAGAAAGTCTTTAATATCTAGAAACAGAAGAATGGATAAATAGTGGTATTTACAAATAAATATTTACAAAAAACAGTATACAACAGGGGATATGAATTAACTAGCATATACATATCAACACAGATTAGCTGTATATTATATTTTTGCATACGTTTTTTAAAAAGCAAAAGAATATTACATATTGCTAAGAAGAGAACACTCTTCATCTTGCTCCTAACCAAAAGTGTTCCTCCTGGCTGGGCGCTGTGGCTCACGCCTGTTATCCTAGCTCTTCAGGAGGCTGAGGTGGGCTGATCGCTTGAGTCCAGGAGTTTGAGACCAGCCTGGGCAATATGGTGAAACCTCACCTTCACTAAAAAGACAAAACATTAGCCAGGTATGGTGGCATGTGCCTGTACTCCCAGATACTGGGGAGGCTGAGGTGGGAGGATCACCTGAATTTGGGAAGTCAAGGCTGCAGTGAGCAGAGATTATGCCACTGCACTCCAGCCTGGACGACAAGAGTGAGATCCTGTCTCAAAAAACAAAACAAAACAAAAGTGTTCCTCTTACTCGTTTTTTTCCCCCATTTATAATTGTTTCCTTAAAACAGGATCTCACTCTGTCGCCCAGACTGGAGTGCAGTGGCACGATCTCGGCTCACATCAACCTCCACCTCCGAGGCTCAAGCGATTCTCTTGCCTCAGCCTCCCGAGTAGCTGGGATTACAGGCATGCACCCCTACCACCTGGCTAATTTTTATATTTTTAGTAGAGACAGGGTTTCACCATGCTGGCCAGGCTGATCTTGAACTCCTGATCTCAAATGATCCACCTGCCTCGGCCTCCCAAAGTGCTAGGATTACAGGCGTGAGCCACCGCACTCTATCAACCTTTTGTTTTTAATTGAAGTCTAACATATATACAGTAAAGTGTACAAATAATCATTATGCAGCTTCTTGGATTTTCACAAAGCAAGCCCAGGTCAAAAAATAGAACATCGCCAGCACCCCAGATAGCCCCTATTATTATTATTTTATTTTTATTTTTATTTTTACTTGTTGAGACAGGGTCTTGCTATGTCACCCAGGCTGGAGTGCATTGATGTGATCATGGCTTACTGCAGGCTTAACCTCTCAGGCCCAAGTAATCTTCCTATCGCAGCCTCCCAAGTAGCTAGGACCACAGGCATACACCACCAAGCCCAGCTAATTTTTAAATTTTTTTGTAGAGATGAGGTCTCACTATGTCGCCCAGGCTGGTCTCCAACTCCTGGGCTCAAGGGGTTCTCCTGCCTCGGCCTTGCAAAGTGTTGAGATTACAGCCATAAACCACTGCACCTGGCCTTACCAGTTAGCCCCTATGATACTGAAGAAAAGGATTTTGTTCAGTCACTGGAGGAGAGTCGCTCTCTCTGTGTCTCCTGCCAGATGAAAATCAAGAAGCATCTATCCTAATTGTAACTAACAGCCATCCTTAAACCAAGAGGAATACCAGCTGTAGGATGAAAAAAACAATACTGAAGGTCAGAGTAAGGAGACAGAAAGAGCCTGACACCTTTTGATGACATTATTGTTTGAACTGTGTCAACCAAAACTGAAATGTACTTTCCCTCTGTACCCCAGTTACATGAGCTTTTAGTTTCATTATTAAATCTGATTGAATTGATTTTTCTGTTTCTTGCAGCCAAAAGCATTCAATGTGATACAAACAGGTTAAAATCTATCATTATTTTATTTCATTGATTTAGGTCAGAACTTGAAATAGCTAACATGTCTTTCTTTTTAATTCTATTCAAAATTCACCAAGCCAGATATTGTTTTCTTTCATTTGATGACTATTATTAGAGAAATAATAATAGATAATGCTGTTTATTACATGCCCGAAACTATTCTAAGCATTTTTACATCTATTAACTAATTTCACGTCTTCAGCAATCCCGTGAAATATAGAATATTATGGTGATTACACCATTATACAGATGAGGTTTAACCAACCCCAGCCCATTTCAAGAAAGGAAAATATGAGAATACTCTAGTACATTACAGTACAGTAGCCACTAGCCACCAACTGCGGCTATTGAGCACTTGAAATGTGGTCTAAGTATAGTGCTGTATGCACCAGATTTCAAAGACTTTGTATAAATAATAGAGTATAAAATATCTCGTTAATAAGTATATCATATTGACTATCCATTGAAATATATATATATATTTTTTGTTGTTGTTGTTTTTGAGATGGAGTCTCGCTCTGTTGCCCAGGCTTGAGTGCAGTGGTGAGATCTTGGCTCACTGCAACCTCCGCCTCCCAGGCTCATATGATTCTCCTGCCTCAGCCTCCCGAGTAACTGGGACTACAGGAATGCACCAGCACACCCAGCTAATGTTTGTATTTTTAGTAGAGATGGAGTTTCACCATGTTGGCCAGGCTGATCTTGAACTCCTGACCTCAGTGATCCGCCCACCTCGGCCTCCCAAAGTGCTAGGATTACAGGTGTAAGCCACCGTGCCTAACCTATTAAAACTATTTTTGATAGATTCTGTTAAAGCATATTAAATTAATTTTACTTTTTTCTTTTAAGAGACAGGGTCTCATCGGGCCTCCCAGCTGAAGTACAGTGGCACAATCATAGCTCACTGCAGCCTTGACCTCCTGGGCTCCAGTGATCTTCCCACCTCAGTCTCCAAAGTAGCTGGGGCTACAGGTGTGCACCACCACTTCTGGATAATTTTTTTTTTAATTTTATGTAGAGATAAGGTCTTGCTATGTTGCCTATGCTGGTCACAAACTCTTGACCTCAAGTGATCCTCTCACCCTGGCCTCTCAGAGTGCTGGGATCACAGGCAGGAGCTACCACGCTCGGCCTACTTGTTTCTTTTTATATTTTTATGTGGCTCCTAGAAAAGATGTTTAATTCTACATGTGGCTTGTGTTACCTTTCTATTAGACAGTGCTACTCCAGTGTGGTGGTCCTCACAGTGTGGTCCTGGACCAGCAGCATCAGCATCACTTAGCAACTTGTTGGAAATGCAAGTTTCTGCTAAATCAGAAACTCTGAGTAGAGATCTACTACTTTCTGAATCAGAAACTCTTGGAGTGAGGCCCAGGAATCTGTGTAACAAGCCGTTCCTGTGATTCTTTTTTCCCCCCTAGCAACTGTGAGATGTAAGTTGCCTGTTTAAAATGTGTAGTTTAGTGGTTTTTAGTATTTCAGAGAGTTGTGCAAACATCACCACAAAAAGCAATCTCATTCCTGCTGTCAGTATTCCTCATTCCCCCATACCACCATCCCCATCCCCAGGCAACACCTAATCTGCTTTCTGTCTCTACAGATTTGCCTATTCTAGACATTTCATAGAAAATGGAATCATACACCATGCAGTCCTTTGTGGCATCTTTCACTAAGCGTAATGTTTTCCTCTGTAAATTCTTATATGCTGAAGTCTGAGAACTGCTGTCCTAGGGTAGAAGTGGAAAGGAAGTAGTCAGAGAGAGTGTGAAAAACCAAGAGTATGAAAAAAGAAGAATGCCCCGATCATGAGATAGAGAAAAGAAATGACACCAGAAGGACATTAACAGCAAAAGGTAAAAAGCAGTTTTTTCCATGTGGGAAAATAAGCTACCAGCCTTGCTCCCAAAGTCCAGGAAGACTGACACTGAGGCCAAATATAATTATATATTATATTCATGTTTTGCTCTGCCTATATTATAGCTTTAATCTTTTTATCTCCTTAAATAATAATCAAACAGATGATAGTTAAAGCCATGAGAGTAGGTGAAACTGTCCCAGGAGGAAGATATTACAGAAAAGAAAAGGCTACTGCTGAGGACAGAATATTGGAGGAATGTCTTTCATTCCTATGTTGCAGTTTTCAAAATGGTTCATGCCCACTTTCTCCCTTGAATCTATCCGTAACCCTGTTAGGAAGTAAAGTGAGTATCACTATCTGGACTCCTTATTTAAGACGTGATTTCTCACACGGATATAATTTGCTCAGGGTGTCATGTTGAGTGGTTGAGTTGAGGTTTCTTCTCCACTCAGTATTTCTCATCTGTATTTAAAGGGAAGAGGAAGAAATGGAGACAGAAGGGCCGGTCAGGAAGGTAGGAGTAGAACTAGGTGGGTACAGTTTCATGGAAGCAAAGGGAGGAGTGTTTCAAGGAAGGCCATCTTGTTTGCTCCCTTGAATTAAAAAAAAAAATTCTTCTAATGAACAGAGTGTGTTCTTTGTTGAGTGACCAATCATACTGTGCAGTAAAGAGGTATCGACGTGAACAACCCGGGGAGAACATGCTTTCTCTTGGTTCTAACCTACAAAGTCCTCCTCTTGGCATTAGTTTTCCATTTATCATAGGTCTCTTAAAAAAAAAACAACTTTTGTTTTTAATTGAAGTCTAACAGACATAGAATGAGGTACACAAATAATTATATAGCTTATTGGATTTTCGCAATCCAGGTCAAGAAATAGAACATGACCAGCACTCCAGAAAACCCCTATTCTCTCTCCCAGTTACTATCTTTCTCTCTTCCCCAAATATAGCTGTTTTCCTGACTTCCAAATATAATGGATTATTTTGAGAAGAGGGCATGCCAGAGTGGATGGTCTATGTGTGGCCAGAAAACCTATCAGTTGACTGTGTCCCTCAGAAATGCCTGTAAGACATTTCATTTACCAAAACAATAAAGAGTGCCAGTGATGGCACTGGTGTCATTGGAAACTCAGTGGTTGCTCTGTACTCCAGAGCTGATGGCAAAACATGCTGTTGCAGAACTGAGCTGCCTGACAGTAATGGGGATGAAAGGTCTTGTAATAATAGAGGGCATGCACTTAGCCTTCAGAAATAAGGTGAGTGCAATTATTATAATGAGCAGCAAGGTCAGGGTGGCAGTGGTGAGGAGAGGAGGATCATCTGGAGAGAGCTATGGAGAAGATTAATAGAATATGGATTCCCTAGGGGGAAGTAGATGGACAGCAAAAAAAAGTATTGCTCAATCTATAAACCTGTGAATTATGTCAAGTAAAATAAATGTATTACTCAATCTGTACAATCAAAAGAAATCAAAGATAGATAATGAAAAAATGAAAAGGCTAGTGCCATTGACCCAATATTTTAAAAAATCACAACTTCTTGCCTAGTTCCCAAGCATGAGCCTGTTTTCAGACCCAGAATCTACTGACTGAGTGAGAGGCCAGGTTAACAGAAAGAATGACCCTGCAACACCATAGAAGTCATATCAGTCACGACTTCCCCCCAATCATTCCCCAGAGGAACTACAGTCATTTACTAGGGTAGCCATACGTTGGTGAAAGAGGAATACTCAGTATTTTGAAGACTGTTGGACACAAGGCTCAAGTTGTCATTGATACCTGGGAACCCGAAGCATCATCATGGCCCCTGGGGCTTAAGGGAGTCAGATAATAAATGGAGTCCTGGCCCAGGGCCAGTTCACATACCCAGCCAGTGGTCATTTCACTCATCTTCTGCTATATAATTGGAACCCACTTTATAGTTGACAGAACACCCATGTTGTTTCCTTGAACTGGGGGGTAAGAGCTATCCTAGTGGCGTAGGTTATGTAGAAATTTCTGCAACATACCCCACTCTGGCCAAAATAATAAATAAAAAATCAGTATCAGATCCTGGGAGGAATGGCAAAAATTAATACCAGCCTTAAAGATGTAAGGGATGCATGGGTGGTGAACCCCGTCTTATCTCCATATAATTCAGCAGTCTGGCCTACATAAACACCAAGTCGATCCTGTAAGATAACTGTGTTCTACTGCAAGTTCCACAAGTAGTTGCCCAGTTACAGATGCCCTACCAGATGTGGAATCTTTGTTTAAGCAGATTAACACAGCTTCAGTTATACATTGTGAAGCCATTTGATCTAAATGTATTTTTCCAGAGGACTAGAAGCTAGTTTGCATGTTCATGGGATGGACAAGATGATACATTTACTATCTTGTTCTGAGGCTATGGTGACTTTCGCCCTGTGTCATAGTTTGAAGTGATCCGGACCACCTGGACATTCTGTAGAATACCACATTAATTCACTCTATCAATGACACTATGATCACTGAATTAGATGAGCAAGAAATGGCAAATATATTTAAGGTCTTTGTAAGACACAGGAACACTAAGAAGCATGAATAAAACACACAAAGATTTAGGGACCCAACATATCACTGATGGTTTTAGGAATTCCAGGGTCTATGGTATGACAGGTCATCCCCTCCAAGGCAGAGGAGAGGCTGGGCACAGTGGCTCACACATGTAACCCCAACACTTTGGGAGGCTGAGGTGGGCAGATTGCTTGAGCCCAGGAGTTTGAAAACAGCCTGGGTAACATGGTGAGACCCTGTCTCTACAAAAAATACAAAAATTAGCCGGGTGTGGTGGCTTGCACCTGCAGCCCCAGCTACTTGGGAGGCAGAGGTGGGAGGATTGCTTGAGCCTGCAAGATCAAGGCTGCAGTGAGCCATGATTGTGCCATGGCACTCCAGCCTGGGTGACAGAGTAAGACCCTGTCTCAAAAACAAACTAACAAAAAATGACAACAATAACAACAATGGAAAAAACAAAGCATATCTCATACTTGGGGATACTGCTCTGACTCATTTATTGAGTACCTCACAAGGCTGCCAGCTGAGTTCAGGCCAAAGTAGGAACAGGCAATGCTGCAGGTAAGGGCGGCAGCCCCACTGCCTCCTAATGATAAGGATCACTTACTTCTTTCAGAATGGTGATTCTTCTTGTTGCTTGAAGTAGCAGGGCAGCAATCATAGCTTAAAAATTAATAGTACTCATTATATTGGTTCCCTTTGGGAACCAGGACCTCTAGACAAGCAGAGCCCAGAGTTGTGGGGCTGGGAAGTACACAGGCCCTGAGTGGATAACTGGGAGCAATGTTGAAAAGGGGGTTACTCGTGTTTCCAACCCTTGGTTTCTGAACCCATGTATAATACCTTTTGGGAATATGGCACTAATAATGATCATTTATTTAGGGTATTTAATGTGTCCTGGAGGATAGCACCTCATCATCACAGAGTATGGTCTCCAAGATGGCACCTCAGCTGTACCTTGAAAAGACCAGCAGCTTCTGGGTGGTGCAGCATGTGGTAGGCCTAGTGGATCCCATGGTCATGTACGCATTACCATTAGGTTGGGGCAAAGGTAATTGCGGTTTTTTCCATTGAAAGTAATGGCAAAAACCTTAATTACCTTTGCACCAAGCTAATACATCTTCTTTTTGTAAAATGGGCCTCTCGGTCTAATGAGACATTGTGTAAAATCTTGTGTTGCTAAGGATCAAAAACTCTCTAGGCCCTTGGACACTCATGCTAGCTGAGGTCCCGTGGTCAGAAAGGTAAGCACATACCCAGAATACATGCTGATTCCAGTCAAGATGCATTACTGCCCCTAACAGATGGAGATGGCTCAATGAAATCAACCTGCCACCAAGTCGCTGATTGTTTTCCTCAAGGTACGGTGTCATAGCAGGGGCTCAGCACTGGTCTCTGCTGCTGACAGGTCGGCAGAGTTGAGTGGCAGTAGCTTGGAAAGTGAGAGCCAATGCTATGGGACCCATGAATGGCTTTCGTCTCTGCCACTGTGACCAGTTCATTTGTGTTGTCCAAAACTGATGGCTTATGACAGAGGTTGGCTGGTGTGAACTGGCCAGGTTATCTGTCTTCTTGGTTGTTTAATGCATCTTCTATGGTGGATGCACAGTGGCCAGTTAGTAATACGCTTAGCATTCTTCAGTCTTAGTATCCATTTAGGTCTTGGTATTCCTATGCTCAATTTTGATGGCAAATGGACAAATGTAGGAACCCTGGCTTGCCTTGGAGAGACATGGTGCCAGGGGCTTGACCCTCCAGAAATGACAGTCTGGATCACTCCATCAGGTGAGCTATGCAGACTAGTGTAGATGTTAGCCAAGGACGAAGAGAATCTATAGTGGCAGTAGAAGAGATAGATGATGTGTATCGGTTGTGGTCACAAAATCAGCTGCAGAAGTAAGGTCAGTAGTTAATTCCATTTAACCTTTCCCTTACAGTAAGTTTCTCTAGAAAAAAAGATCAATCAGAATCCTAGAGGAATGGCTTCCAGATAGATTAAACTTATTATATAAAGTAAGGATCTGAGTGGTGCAAGGGGTACACTCTATTGTTGGCTGTGGTGAGCTTTCCAGATCTCTGTTTCAGGACCAAGATACCCACTCCTGCAACTACTGGAAGTGTTGCCTGCTGATAGCTTATAACTGAGTCTTTCCCCAGGAATTTTCCTTAGTGGAAGAGAGCTGCATCATCCAAGGTTAGATTCCCTTGTTTGCATCTAATGACTGTTTAGCATAGGGGTACACACGCCAAGGATGGTCCCCTTGCCTCAAACTGCAGTCTCTCTAAAAGGCCATTGGAATTGGCTGAGACCTCTGTTGCAACTGCATTACAGTTAAATCTCTCCTTCTGCTCAATTGTGCTTGCTTTATTTCCTTACAGGTGTTGTTCCTGAAAGCACTCCCCCATAAAACACCTGCATGTGAATCTCCATCTTGAAGCCTGTTTCCTGGGAACCTGCCTATAGCATTGTCCTTTACCTATTTCTCTGCAGTGCTACCTTTGTTTTATTTTTATTTATTTATTTATTTATTTATTTTGAGATAGGGTCTCACTCTGTCACCCAGGCTGGATGCAGTGGTGTGGTATCAGCTCACTGCAACCTGCACCTCCCAAGTTCAAGTGATTCTCGTGCCTTAGCCTTCCGAGTAGCTGAGGCTACAGGCTTGTGCCACCACTCCAGCTAATTTTGTATTTTTAGTAGAGACAGGGTTTCGCTGTGTTGGCCAGGCGGGTCTCAAACTCCTGGACTCAAGTGATCCACCTGCCTCGGCCTCCCAAAGTGCTGGGCTTACAGGCGTGAGCTGCCATGCCTGGACTGCCTTGTTTTAAATCTTTGTTGTACACAGATTATATGAAGATCTGTTCCTGAACTTTATATTCTGTCCCTTTGATCTATTTGTCAATACCACCCTGCCTTAATTATTGTAATGTCATGATAAGTCTTGATATCTGGCAGAGAAAGTTATCCAATTTGCTTGATCAGTTCCAATTTGCAGATCAGATGTGATCCAATTTGCTTTGATCAGACCAAAAGGACTATTTTGGTCCTTTGCATTTCCATATACATTTTAGAATCAGCTTGTTAGTTCCCATAAAAATCTTTCTGTAAGTTTGATTGGAATTTCATTCAGTCTAAAGATAGATTTTTGGAGAATTTACCTCCTGTTAACTTCCAATTTATAAAAATGATATGTCCCTCCATTCCTTTAGGTCTTTAATTTCTGTCATTACAGTTTTACAGTTCTGTAGTTTATAGAGGTCTTGCACATCTTGTTAGATTTATTCCTAGGTATTTGACATTTAGATGCTGTTTTAAATTGATTTTTTTTTTTTTTGAGATGGAGTCTTGCTGTGTTGCTCAGGCTGGAGTGCAGTGGTGTGATCTCGGCTCACTGCAACCTCCACCTCCTGGGTTCAAGCGATTTTTCTGCCTCAGCCTCTGAGGTAGCTGGGATTACAGGTACGTTCCACCATGCCCAGCTAATTTTTGTATTTTTAGTAGAGATGGGGGTTTCACCATATTGGCCAGGCTGGTCTCGAACTCCTGACCTCAAGTGAGGAGGCGGTCTTGCCTCGGCCTCCCAAAGTGCTGGGATTACAGGTGTGAGCCACCATGCCTGGCCATGGAATTATTTTTAATTTTTTTTATTTTGAGAAGGAGTCTTGCTCTGTTGCTCAGGCTGGAGTGCAGTGGGGTGATCTTGGCTCACTGCAACCTTCGCCTCCTGAGTTCAAGTGATTCTGTCTCAGCCTCCTTTGTAGCTGGGATTATAGACATGCGCCACCATGCCCAGCTAATTTTTGTAGTTATAGTAGAGATGGGGTTTCACCATGTTGGCCAGGCTGGTCTCGAACCCCTGACCTTGGGTGATCTGCCCACCTCGGCCTCCCAAAGTGCTGGGATTACAGGCATCAGCCACCGCACCCGGCCAGAAATTATTTTTAAAATGTTATTGTCTAATCGTTTATCACTGTTTTATTGAAATGCAATAGATTTTTGGCTGGGGAGGTGGCTCATGCCTGTAATCTCAGCACTTTGGGAGGCCGAGGTGGGTGGATCACCTGAAGTCAGGAGTTCGAGACCAGCCTGGTGAACATGGCAAAACTCCATTTCTACTAAAAATACAAAAATTAGCTGAGCATGGTAGCACGCACCTGTAGTCCCAGCTACTTGGGAGGCTGAGGCGGGAGAATCGCTTGAACTTGGGAGGCAGTGATTGCAGTAAGCCAAGATCACGCCATTGCATTCCAGCCTGGGCAACAGAGTGAGACTCCATCACAAGAAAAAAAAAAAAAAAAGAAGAAGACGAAATGCAATAGACTTTATGCATTGAGTCTATATCCAGCAATCTTGCTAAATTCACTTATTCATTCCTCACCCTCTGGTCGCCAGTCTATTAACAAGCATCATCATATTGAGGTAGATCTCTGGAAGCAGATTCTGGAAATCTTGCTGAACAAGGAGAGCAGGTAGAAATGAAATGCTGAGAATATGGGAGAATATGTTTACAATGGAACAAACTTTCCGTGGGTATACTGGGAGGAACAGGAAATGGAGGGAAAACAGAGCGAGGAGTATGTTTCTTAACTTTAAGTCAATGCATAGATGAGGGACTATCAAGAATAGACTTCAGCTGGGCACAGTGGTACACACCTGTAGTTCCAGCTACTCAAGGAGGCTGAGGCAGAGGATTGTTTAAGCCAGGCTCTAGTGCACTGTGATTGCACCTGTGAACAGCCACGGCACTCCAGCTGGGGCAACCTAGCAAGACTCTGTCTCATTAAAAAAAAAAAAAAAAAAAAGAATAGGGATTTCATTTATGCCATTTTTGGAAAGAGAATTGAGACTAACCAAAGGACACATCTTAATTATGTTGAGTGGGTCTGCAGGTGAAAGGATGAGGGATATCAGGAAGGGCTGCAGAATAGATGATTTTACAGCGAGTTTGTAGAGTGGAACCCACAAATCCATGGAACATGTTGATAGTGCAGTTTTTCTCAGTGTGGTCCATAACAAGCATCAGCAGCACCTGGGAACTTGTTAGAAATGCAGATTCTAGGGCCCATCCCAGATCCACAGAATCAGAGTGGGGCCCAGACACCTGTATTTAGGCACACCCTTCAGGGGATTCTGATGCATGCCAAATTTTGAGAACTGTCCATTTAGGAGTGAATGCCTCAAACTAGTCCTTCAGGTGCTATAACTTGCCACTAATAGCCCCATGAAGAGTCCCAAATAGGGTAGTTAGTATTGCTTTTAAACCTACTTTATTCTTGTTTATATTTTGCTTTGCCGTTGTGTCTTAGTTTTATGCACTTTGCTTCCATAGATTATAATATTCTCAGTATAGAATCCATGTCTCATACTTGCAGTCCTCTGGCTCTATAAGAACACTTCATGTGATTGTGTAAGGATCTCTCGATCATGCTGTGCATACCCCACTAAGTCCTTTATCCTATTATTCACATGACAGGATATTTTAAAATGTTTTCTCCGTGCATTTCTATGTAACACAATGCCCATCCCCATTCAGGCAGCTAGATCATGGGTCCAAGGATGTTACCAAAGGAAAAACAAAAAAAGGCTTTGACTTCCAAAAATCTAAATCTAAACCTTCATGCTCTGAGTTGTAGGGAGGGGAGTCAGGAGGGAGAGCCCTTAGGTCCAATGAGTCCCTATGAAGAGATGTTACTTTCTGTTGGGAGCAGGCCCCCCCCAAAATCTGGCCATAAACTGGCCCCCAAACTGGCCATAAACAAAATCTCTGCAGCACTGTAACATGTTCATAATGGCCCTGACGCCCAAGCTGGAAGGTTGTGGGTTTATGAGAATGAGGGCAAGGAACACCTGGCCCGCCTCGGGTGGAAAACCGCTTAAAGGCATTCTTAAGTCACAAACAATAGCATGAGCGATCTGTGCCTTAAGAACATGCTCCTGCTGCAGTTAACTAGCTCAACTTATTTCTTTAATTCGGCCCATCCCTTCGTTTCCCATAAGGGATACTTTTAGTTAATTTAATATCTATAGAAACAATGCTAATGACTGGTTTGCTGTTAATAAATACATGGGTAAATCTCTGTTCAGGGGTCTCAGCTCTGAAGGCTGTGAGACCCCTGATTTCCCACTTCACACCTCTATATTTCTGTGTGTGTCTTTAATTCCTCTAGCGCTGCTGGGTTAGGGTCTCCCCGACCGAGCTGGTCTCGGCAACTTTCCTCTGCACCTGTGGTTTAAGATAAAGAGAAATCATGGAGTCCTGAGACTTAGGTGTCTGGGAATCTAAAAGGAGGGGGTGATCGGGAGCGGGGCTCACAACTGTAATCCCAGCACTTTCGGAGGCTGAGGTGGGAGGATCACTTGAGTCCAGGAGTTCAGGACCAGCCTGGGCAACATAGTGAAACCCCATCTCTACAAAAAAATTTTAAAAATTAACCAAGTATGGTGGCACACACCTTAGTCCCAGCTACATGGGAGGCTGGGGTGGAAGGGTCACTTGAGCCCAGGAGTTTGAGGCTGCAGTCAGCTAAGATGATGCCACTGCACTCCAACCCTGGGTGACAGAGTGAGACTCTATCTCTAAAAATAAATAGGTAAATAAATAAATAAAAATAAAGAAGAGGGGCCTCGTATTTGACTTCCCAAGTAGAACCCTTGGAACTCAGCAAGATCCCTGAGAAGAAATGGCTGTGAAATGTGCCTATTAAGCAAGACCTTTTATAAATTTCATAGAGTTAGTTTCCCATGATCTTGTTTGATGTTAGAGCAACCGATTCAGTGCTCTGTGGGTAAATGTAGAGAAGAAATCTAAGCTCCAAAGATTTCTCTGTATGCCAACATAGCATGGAAATAGCAGAATCAAATAGCAAGGGAGACTTGAAGTAGCCTCAACAATAAGAATGAATGATGGTTTAATAGCAGTCTACAAAGACTTACAACAAAGGACCAAATGGGATATTTGCCATTTTGTCAAATGCCCATAGAAGGGGTCACCTATGGAAGACTAGATGCTCAGTCCCCTCCAACCTTCTAGACATTACAGGAATTTAAGACTACCCAGGACAGGTGTGGTGGCTCACGCCTGTAATCCCAGCACTTTGGGAGGCCGAGGCGGGTGGATCACCTGAGGTCAGGAGTTCGAGACCAGCCTGGCCAACATGGTGAAACCCCTTCTCTACTAAAAATACAAAAATTAGCTGGGCATGGTGACGCGCCCCTGTAATCCCAGCTACTGGGAGGCTGAGGTGGGAGAATTGCTTGAACCCAGGAGGTGGAAGCTGCAGTGAGCCGAGATCGCACCACTGCACTCCAGCAGCCTGGGCAATAGAGCAAGACCCTGTCTCAAAAAAAAAAAAAAAAAAAAAGAAAAGAAAAGAAAAGCAGCAGGAAAAATCCTGAATTTCTTGAGGTTCAATTTCTAACCTCTCAGATAATGGGGGGTGGGGGCTTTAAAATTAGAATAAAATAGAGAAAAATTCCACTTGTTACATTCCTGTGTTTATGGATTATATACATAAAACACTTTTTTTAATAACAAGAGTTTTACTATATTTAAAGAGTGGGAGAAAAAAATCATATTTTGGAGATAAATGTACTTCTCTGCTGACACTAGTGACTTTAAAAAGGAGTCTGTACCACAGTGCCTCTCAAAACTTATTGTGCACACAGATCACCTGGGGATTCTTTGAAAATACAGATTCTGATTCAGAGGTCTGAGATGAAGCTTGAAATTCTTAATTTTTCACCAGCAACCAGGTGATGCTGATGCTGCCGGTACAGGGGCCACCCTTGGAGTAGTGAGGCTGTTCAAAATACTGATGACTCTACTGTGCTGGTTTTCAACGTGCACTGGCTATATTTTCTTAAATAAACACAGGGCAGTACTTGTGCCAAATTATGTCATAGGTTTATGGTACAATTTTAGACTACAGTTTTAAAATGCAAAATGAATATTAGCAACAAAGAAAGTTCCTTCAGAATCAGCTAAGAGAAGGCAGTGTAGATAAAAATATAATGCTAACTTCCTTCATGGGCTTTTACTTACCTGTGTCAACTTAACAACAACAACAAAAGAAACAAAAAACTGGGGCCAGGCACCTGGTGGCTCACGCCTATAATCCCAGCACTTTGGGAGGCCAAGGCGGGTGGATCACGAGGTCAGGAGATCGAGACCATCCTGGCTAACAGAGTGAAACCCGTTTCTATTAAAAATAGAAAAATTAGCCAGCCAGGCATGGTGGCGGGCACCTGTAGTTCCAGCTACTTGGGAGGCTGAGACAGGGGAATGGCGTGAACCCAGGAGGCGGAGCTTGCAGTGAGCCGAGGTTGCGCCACTGCACTCCAGCCTGGGCGACAGAGTGAGACTCCATCTCAAAAAAAAAAAAAAAAAAAAAAAAGAACACAACTAAACATTATCCTTAAATGATTAAAGAAATTTTGCATGTCACTAAATGGAACTTGATCGTTTGGAATTATAAGTCATTTTAACCATACAGAGCTTTGAATAACTTAATATATAAAAGTATCTTCTAAGGCCAGGTGCGCTGGCTCACACCTGTAATCCCAGCACTTTGGGAGGCTGAGGTGGGCAGATCACCTGAGGTCAGGAGTTCGAGACCAGCCTGGCCAACATGGGGAAACCCCGTCTCTACTAAAAATACAAAAATTAACTGGGCGTGGTGGTGCACACCTGTAGTCCCTGCTACTTGGGAGGCCCAGGCAGGAGAGTCACTTGAACCCAGGAGTTGGAGGTTGCAGTGAGCAGAGATCACACCACTGCACTCCAGCCTGGCAACAGAGCGAAACTCTGTCTCAAAAAATAAAAAAAAAAAGTACCTTCTAATCTTTAATATGTTACCATCCTGAATAGAAGTTTGGGTAGCAGAGATGTTGTTAAAATACCTCATTTTACTCAAAAGGTAAAAATGTAAATGTTAGCAAATTAAGCAATATCACTTAATTATTCCGTGTTATAAAAGTGACACTTGTTCATTTTAGAGAATTTGGAAAATACAGAAAAATATAATGAAGGAAATAAAATCATTGGTAATCCCAGCAGCCAGCAATAATCAAAATTTGGTATATTTCCTTCTAGTGATTTCTATGTGTACATGTATCTTTTCTAACAAAAGCATAATGTACATAAACTTGCTTTTTCCACTGGATATCTCATAACCATTTCTCTACATCTTTAAGCATTCTTTAAAGACACAATTTAGTGGTGTTAAAGTAGAATAGATAATATTCTATCATTGTGGGTACTATAAAAGTTAATGATTTCCCAAGTTTTGGACATTTGTTTATTTTTTGCTATTATGAAAAGTGATACAAGCAATAAATTTTCAAGGATACAATATTTTCTAGGATACAGAATTCCCAGAATATCACATTATTTCCAGATAAGATGTGAACATTTTAAGTCTTTATAAAATAACTCGTGAAACTTACTGTAAAATTGAAGTGGTTTGGATGAAGTCTATAAAAGTGCCTATTTCATTACAACTAGAGCAATCCTAGGTACTGGCATTAAACAATCTTCTGTAATATTTTCTTATATATATATTTTTAGAGACAGAGTCTCCCTCTGTCACCCAGACGGTAGTGCAGTGGCAATCATAGCTCACTGCAGCCTTGACCTCCTGGGCTCAAGCAATCCTCCCACCTCAGCTCCCAAGTAGCTCAGACCACAGATGCACACCACCACACTCGGCTAATTGTATTATGTTTTCTAGAGATGGGGACCTCCCTATGTTTCCCAGGCTGGTCTTGAACTTTTGAGCTCAAGCAACCCACCCGCCTTGGCCTCCCAAACTGTTGTGATTACAGGCATGAGCCACCGCACTCAGCCTTTGCTAATATTGATAGGACTCAAATCGATGCATTTACAGTAGAAATTCTCTTAACCAATTTCCACTTAACCTGTTATTGGATTAACCGCACTCACCATTTCCTCAATAAAGAACTGATGCCCTGTCAGGCTGAGTAACTATAACCAGTTGGCCACTCTGTGCATTTCTACTTCCTCAGATGAGTTACTTGTCAAGTCGATTGTGTCTACTGCCAATGTGCTCAATCCAATCATCCTTGTAATTTTAAATATATAATTTAATTAAATATTATATAAGGCAATAAAATATGAGTTCATGTAAAAAGAAAATGAGTTTATGTAAAATATGAGTTTTTGTAAAACAAAGTTATATAAAAGAAGAACACTCAAAGGCAAATACCTAAAATAAATTCCTGAATTAGAGGCAGGAAAAAAGCATCTGTAAATAAGGAGGAAAGCATAAAATTAGGAATTCTGTACTCAGATTTCTTTATAAATGCTTTAAATTCACACTCTAAGGAAACTTGAATTGGAAATCTTAGACCAGTGGTTCTCAACAGAGCAGTACTGACCCCTAGGGGTTACTTCGGAGACTTGTGGGACATTTTTGGTTGGGTTTCACTATTGGTATTTAGTGGATGGTGAGCAGGGATGTTAGACATCCTGTAATGACCTGTATAACTTTGGAAAGTCCCACTGAGTATTCATATAGGTAAAAAGCCTACTTTTCCCCTCAAGGAGATGGAGCATAACTCCCCCCAGCCAGTGTGGGCTTTACATAATGAGTTTCTTCCTCATCACTACCACTGCCAGGTGATTAAGGTTAACATAGTAAGATCAGGGACATGTCATGTTGATAGTATGTCCCCTTGATGTGACAAGAGCACTTTGTCTCTGTGGTATTCCTCCAAAAAACAATAATCCCAGTTTTATCATGACAAAAAAAATCAGAAGATCCCAATTGAAAAACGTTTTGCAAAATACCTAGTGAGTACTCCTCAAAGCTGTCAAAGTCATCAAAAACAAGGAAAGTCTGAAAAACTGTCACAGTCTGGAGTAGCCTAAGGATACATGGTGACTAAATGGAATGTGGTTTCCTGAATGTCACCTGTAAGGAAACAGCAGGTAAAAATGAAGGAAATTGGAATAAGTATGGACTTCAGTTAATAATATCAATATAGTTTCATTAATTGTGATAAATGTCCCACACTAATGTAAGATTTTTAAAATAGGGGAAACTAGGTATGTGGTGTATGTGAATTCTGCACTATCTTTGCAACATTTCTGCAAATCTAAAACTATTCTAAATTTTAAAAAAGAATTAAAGCCTGCTTTTTATTATCTGAACTTACAACTTGTATCTTACTTATTTGCATTTATAATTTTAATATTTGCTAGGGAAAAAACTATTCTATAAACAAAAAAGTTACTCTTTTATTCGAAACTTTAGCAAGAATTGATCACCATTTTGGGAAATATTTCCAACATAACATCATGTTTTTGAGTCATCAGTAAAATGCACCTGTTATGAATATGTATTTAAATTTGTAAAATTATAGCTCTTCATGAATCATAAATTCAGTCTTTATTTAAAATATCAAAGAGTGTCAACAATACTCTGATGTTTTCTTCTTCCATATGTAAGGGCAAGCACCTGACTACTCCATTGTCTTCTAGTCTATGTGGGCACTGACATACTAAAATGCACAATTTTATTGCAACCTGATTATATTTCTCCTTCATATTACCATAAAGGTATTGACTGATGTTTCTTCATGTCGTGCCAATAAGTAGGTTATATCATGTGAATGTCATTTCAGGATAGTGGATGTGATAGATATTATGTTACAATGTTATTATAAACAGGGTCAGCTAAGTCTAATATGATTGAGAACCACAATCTCAGACCTAAGCTCTGAGGGCAAGAAATGTTTCATTTCTTACAGTACTCTGCACCTAATATCTAATTCTCAATATCTAATTTGACTCTGGGTGCGGTTTCTGTTTACACCTACCCAGAAGCCCCTATTTGCTCCTCCATTCTGGCAGTCTCAATTCTGATTCACTGTCCACCCTCATGCAGCCAGCTTGGGTAAATACGATCCATCTAAGTCAGAGTGTTCCCACCCCCTTGGCCAGTGATTAGACAGGTAAGTGACCCAGTACTGGTTGAGATATGACGGGAATTTTGCTGAGGAGCTTAGGGAAAGGTTTTTCACTCCTTATCAAAGACACATGAGGAATAAAATGATATTTTCTTTCACTGGACATTTCTATTAGTCCGTTCTCATGCTGCTATAAGGACATGCCCGAGACTGGGTAATTTATAAAGGAATGAGGTTTAATTGACTCACAGTTCTGCAAGGGTGGGAAGGTTTCAGGAAACTTACAATAACGGCGGAAGGGGAAGCAAACACATCATTCTTCACAGGGTGGCAGGAAGGAGAAAGGGGAAGCCCCTTATCAAACCATCAGATCCCGTGAGAACTCACTATCACGAGAATAGCATGGGGGAAACCACACCCATGATTCAATTACCTCCCACTGGGTCCTTCCAATGACATGTGGGGATTATGGGAACTTCAATTCAAGGTGAGATTTGGGTGGGAACACAGCCAAATCCTATCAACATTGTTGGTCTACACATGATACCTAGAATCATGGTAGGCATCTTTGATCATATTATTGGTCCAGTGAGAAAAAATGCTAAAAATGACAGGATGGGAAAGATGGAAATAATCTGGGGTTCTTGTTATCTCTGAACCCTCTACCAACCCATTTTATTATTATTTTTGAGACGAAGTTTCGCTCTTGTTGCCCAGGCTGGAGTACAATGGCGTGATCTCAGCTCACCCCCCAGGTTCAAGTGATTATCCTGCCTCAGCCTCCCAAGCAGCTGGGATTACAAGTGCCCACCACCATGCCTGGCAAATTTTGTATTTTCAGTAGAGACAGGGTTTCATCTTGCTGGTCAGGCTGGTCTCAAACTCCTGACATCAAGTGATCCACCTGCCTCAGCCTCCCAAAGTGCTGGGATAACAGGCGTGAGCCACTGCGCCTGGTCAACCAATCCATTTTACAATCTCTTAAGTGCTGGCTTTTTTTCTTATTGCCAATAGCAAGCATCCTTACTAACACTCTTCATAATCAGTTGGATGGCTGAGGATTATTTATATATACTGTACTATGGACTGAATGTTTGTGTCCTGCGGCTCCCTTCCATACATATGTTTAAGCCTAATTTTCAGTGTGATGGTATTCGGAGGTGGGGCCTTTGGGAGGTAATGTCATGAGGGTAGAACCCTCATGAATGGAATTAGTGCCCTTTTAAGAGATGATTTATCTTGGATGTGTGAGAACACAGTGAGAAGGTGCCTGTCTACAAGTCAGGAAGTGGGTCCTCACCAGACACTGGATCTGCTGGTGCCTTGATCTTGGGACTTCCCAGCCTCCAGAACTGTGAGACATAAATGTTTGTTGTTTAAGCCACCCGGTCTATGGTATTTTTATTAAAATTGCCTCAACTAAGACACACTCTATGCAATCATGGTCAAAATACTGTGTGGGAAAGCCTCAAGTGATTCCCTTTCAGCCATCTGCTCTTCATTCAAACCACCTGTATTATAATCATTCTAGCCTTAGCTATGTAGGGCTCATAGGAGACTGACTTGTTTTACATTGACCATGATCATGGAAAATAAGAAAACTTACTTCTTGTGACCTACTTTGTACTTTCGTACAACTTCTCAGGTAAGTGAATTTGGAAGTGAATTGTTCTTTTCCCTAACAAGGCGTAGTGTTACCATATACAGTTGTCCCTCGGTGTATGTGGAGGATTGGTTCCAGGACTGCCCATGGATACCAAAATCTGTGCATACTTAAGTCCCACAGTTGGCATATGAAAAGTCAGCCCCCTTTGTACTGTATTTTCAACCCACATTTGCTTGAAAAAAATCCCTGTATAAATAAACCAGTGGAGTTCAAACCTATGTTGTTCAAGGGCCAACTGTACATTTAAAAAAAATGCATATAGGAATGAATTTAAAGAATGAGCAAGGGCTATCTTTTGGCAAGTTTTACTCAGCAAGTGGAGAAGGCTTCTTTCCTTGGAAATAAAGCTTAAATTACTGAATTTGTGAATGTATTAGCCCTCCCGTTTGTCAGTTCTAGCACTCAACATGTGAAATTGGTCTTCATAAGTTCCTTACCTTTTGATATTCTTCTGTTTGCACTTTATCTACCACAATCCTTTATTCCGTATTCACTTTCTTCTTCCCACCTTTCCCACACTCCCTTATCCATAGACACTACCTGCTTTACGGGCTGTACAGAATCACAATTGTTCTCTCTTCAGAATGAGCCTACAAGCCTTTTCAAATCCTTTCAGTACTCACTAAGGGGAGTTGTTTTTTTTTTTTTTTAAAGAAAGAACATGATGGACAAAGGTTTACAAATTAAACATAGTCTTATTTGAAGTTTCATTTTATTTCAGTCTATAAGTATTGCTATTTGTTTAAAGCACTCACATAAATCCATTTCACCCAAAAAGGAAACATAAAGTGCTTCTAGCAGTACAAGCACGGTTGGCATGGCCTTTCCAAAGGTCTTCCACTAGAGTCTAGAGAAATCTAAATATAGTCATCCACAAACTGGATGTTTTTATTTTCTGAGCCATTAGAGATTTTCAAAATCACTTTGATTTTTAAAAACTCATCAAATGTGAATCATGGCGGGGAAGACCACTGAGCTGATTTCTGATAACTAAGTTATCACTGAACATAATTTATCATATATGGCTACTGGCATCATGAAGACCTTGGGATAGGGAAGACTCTTTATGAGAAATATAAACATCACTTGTGTAGGAATCACCAGGTGTCCCTAGAGCAGTTTTGTACTAAAGACTTCTAGTGTTTACTCCCTCACCACGGTACTCCAGCCCAAGAGCCAAGAGCACAATGGTCAAACTCACTGAAGGTTTTTACAACAGGAAACCAGTGGAGGTATTGTGAGGTACTACAACTTTGAGGCACAATCTAAATACTAAAAATGATTATGAAATCTTGAGTTGAGCTGATTGATGCCCTCTTAAATCCATTAATAATCCATGAAAGTGATTTCACATGCCTAGCCTGCTTTCTTTCTCACATGACAGCTGGGAGTATTAAATGAGATAAAGTTGCAGCCTAGCCCAGTGTCTGGGTACCATATCATTTCCTTCCTCCTCCCCTTTCCCAAATAAATAAGGTTAGTCCTTGAACTTTAAATGTACTTTATAATAAGAAGAAATCACTTTTTCTATCAGTATCCTTGTCAGCATGATTTGAATTGCTCTCAAGAGTACCTACTCTTTTGTAAAATAAACACTTTGTACTTTACTGAAAGAACACTAGTGTTCTTTCCTTTCCGTTGTGAAAAAAGTTGTTTCTGAGGAATTGAAACCCCAGAAGATAACTACAACAAAAACATGTTAATTTTTTTTTAAAAATGATGATTCAAAGGCAGATTTGAAGGGAAGTAATATTTAGGTGGCAGAAGAAGGCAAATGCAGCCTCTGAAGGGAACTGTTCTAATTATTACCTAAAAAATAAAGTTACACAACTATATTCAAGGACATGAGATAAAGCACTGCTTGAAAACCAGAATGACTGAACAGTTAGGTGAAAAGGAACAGCTGAAATAGGAAGGGGAAATGGACTGAAGAATAATTTGAATCGGGACAGTGATCCATCAGTCCTAGATGCTTCTGGTATGTAAATATCTTGAATCACATTGTTTCCTTTCTTCTGAAATCTCAAAGGAGAATTCTCACAGCACTACATTAAGGTTGCCATTTTGTTAGGATTCAAAATTTCAATCCAGTAGCCATCAGGATCTTGAATAAATGCCAGGCCTTTCATTTTACCTGTAAAATGAAAATTTTCATTATTGAAAAGACTAAAAAAGAAAACACCATAAAAATGTTTTTCTTTCTTTGAGACAAGGTCTTGCTCTGAATGTCAGGCTGGAGTGCATGGGATGATCATGGCCCAAGGCAGGCTTGACCTCCTGAGCTCAGCCTGCCAAGTAGCTGGGGCGACAGGCACGCACCACCTTGCCTGGCTAATTTTTTGATTTTGTAGAGGCGGGATCTCAATGTACTGCCCAGGCTGCTATCAAACTCCTGGCCTCAAGCAATCCTCCTGCCTTGCCTCCCAAAGTGGTGGGATTACAAGCACAAACCACTGCACCTGGCCTTAAAAACTTTTATTAATTAAAGATTTACTTTGCATTTTAATGAAGTACATTATTTTGTTTACAGTTTTAAATTTTAAAAATTCTTATTGTCAGAAAAGTATGAAAAGTCATACTTTTCATAATGACTAAAATGTTATCTTGCACACATTGCAAATACCAGCCCTCCTGAAATAAACTGTGGGACTGGCTGCATCTTTTAGGTATCAGGCATTTGCCTCACCTTCATGATACCACACTACCAGTTCAGTAGTTACAGAAATTGTCTTATTTTAAAGAAGAAAAAGAAAATAGGGAGGTGCTGAAGGGAGCTGGTAGCATGGCTTACCCCCACAACCAAAAGACCCAGATGCTTGGGTCATACAAACCCTTTTAAATACTATCCTAGGCAACCCAAGCTCTGCGAGAGTCTTTCTCCCAGGAATTCAAAACTGAGATTGAGAGTCTAGTATGTCAGAGCTGTTTGCTTAAATGGAAAAATATGACCTCAGAAATTTATTTGGGGACCATTATGTTGAATTGGTTTGACTCTTATCTCTGCCTCCTTTCTCCAAGATCAATCCTAGAGGAACATAGATGGAAAATGCAGGAAAAAGAAAGAAAGAGAGAAAGAGAAAGAGAAAGAGAAAGAGAGAAAGAGAGAAGGAAGGAAGGAGGGAGGGAGAGAGAGGAAGGAAGGAAGGAAGGAAAAGAAAAGGAAAAGAAAAGAAAAGAAAAGAAAAGGAAAGAAAGAAAGAAACCCGGCTGGTGACAGCTGGGGAGAATGGGTGAGGATGGGGCCGGGTGACTGTTTTAACTTGGGCTGTGTGGGAGGTGGTAGTTCTGGCCTGGACCAGAAGGCAGTGCATAATGGCTGCGAGAGAACAGAGTTTTGCTCTTGCTCCTCCCTCACTGCTGTGTGCATCGGCACCTGCCCTCTCGCTTGTTCAGATGTCCTTACCAGTAAACAAGGGCAGTGCAGGAGCCTTGTGCTTGTGAGAAACTGAGAAAAACTGGTAGGGCCGAATGATCTCCCCAGCCCTCTCTCCACGCCCAGGGCTAGGGAATAACACTATCGGAAGTGTCTCCTACTAATACTCTTCCCTGAGGGATGAAGTGGGAAGATCCAACCTGAAGAGGTGTTTTGTGGAAGGTGAAATAAATTTAAGTCTCATTTCTAGGTGCCTAGGAATCTCTGGCCTAGGCTTATCCAGCCCATTGTCCTGAGATCATGTGGGTTGTTAAGGACAGGGATCTGGCCATTCTCCTATTCACACTGCTTGATGTGTTAGAATAGCGAACAGTTGCAGGGGAAAAAAGCTCAGAGGCAAAAAATAATAATTTGAGAAACATAACCATAAAACACCCCCAAAGCAATGGACTGTAGATTCAAACAGAAGAAATATTAGAATAATGGACCAAGAGCTATTTTTGTTTTTTTTCTGGAGACAGGGTCTTGCTCTGTCGTTTATACTGAAATGAAGTACAGTGGATCATAGCTCACTGCAGCCTCCAACTCCTGGGCCCAAGCAATCCTCCCACCTCAGCCTCCCGAGTAGCTAGGCATACAGACTACAGGCATGTGCCACCATGCCCAGATAATTTAAAAAAAAACCTTTTTGTAGAAACAAGGTCTTCCTATGTCACCCAGGCTGGAATGCAATGGCACAATCATAGCTCACTGCAGCCTTGAACTGCTGGCCTCAAGTGATCCTCCCGAACCTCCCAATCCTCTGCCTCGGCCTCCCAAAGTGCTGCAATTACAGGCATGAGCCACCATGCCCAGACCCAAGGACTATTTAGACATGTAAAAGTAATGACCGGCCGGGTGTGGTGGTTCACATCTGTAATCCCAATACTTTGGGAGGCTGAGGCAGAAGGATCACTTGAGGCCAGGAGTTTGAGACCAGCCTGAGATACATAGTAAGACCCTGTCTCTACAAAAAATAAAAAATTAGCCATACATGGTGGCATTTGCCTGTAGTCCCAGCTACTCAGGAGGCTGAGGTGGATTATTGTTTGATCCCAGGAGTTTGAGGTTGCAGTGAGCTATGATCACACCACTGCACTCTAGCCTGGGCAACAGAGCAAGACTCTGTCTCAAAAAAAAAAAAAAGTAATAAACAATATGAAATATTACCAATATGAAAAAAAGAACAAGAACATATTAAGCAAACTAAGCGAAAATTAGAGATCAAAATTATAACAGGTGTTTAAGAACAAAATAGATGAATTAAATATCAGAACAGATACATTTGGGAGAAAATTAGCTAATTGGTATTCCAGTTTGAGGAAATCTCCCAGAATGCAGGCAGTGACAAAGAAATAATATAAAAAGCTTCTAGAATAAAACAGAAGAATATACAAAGGAACATGAATTGACAGATTTTTCAACAGCAACATCATATGCAAAAAGAAAATAGAAGAGTATTTTCAAGACTGAAGGAAATTAAACCTAGGCTTTTCCATAAAACTGTCCTTCAGACATAAAGGCATCATCCTCAGTTACACAGAATCTCAAAAGTTTTGCCTTAAAAACCCTTTAAAGGGCTGGGTGCGGTGGCTCATAGCTGTAATCCCAGCACTTTGGGAGGCTGAGGCAGGCGGATCACCTGAGGTTGGGATTTTGAGACCAGCCTGACCAACATGGAGAAACCCCGTCTCTACTAAAAATACAAAATTAGCCAGGCACGGTGGTGCATGCCTGTAATCCCAGCTACTCGGGAGGCTGAGGCAAGAGAATCACTTGAACCCAGGAGGCAGAGGTTGCGGTGAGCCAAGACCGTGCCATTGCACTCCAACCTGGGCAACAAGAGCGAAACTCCGTCTCAAAAAACAAAAACAAAACCCCTTTAAAGACCATTTTGGTTGAGGTATTTAAATAAAAGAACAGAAAAATCCAAAAGATGCTAAAAAGGCTGGGCATAGTGGCTCACGCCTGTAATCCCAGTGCTTTGGGAGGCCAAGGTGAAAGAATCGCTTGAGCTCAGGAGTTTGAGACAAACCTGGGCAACATAGCAGGAACTCATCTCTACAAAAAAATAAAACAATTAGCTGGGTGTGGTGGCATGTGCCTGTGGTCCTAGCTACTTAGGAGGAGGCTGAGGCAGAGGATTGTTTGAGCCCAGGAGTTTCAAGGCTATAGTGAGCTATGACAGTGCCATTGCAGCACCCCAGCCTGGATGAGAGTGAGATCCTGTCTCAAAGGAGACACTACAAGAGATATATGAAGAAAAAGTGATCAAACACCGTGATATATTTATTATTATCTTTAAAAAATAAAATCAATACTATCCCACTCTAGGTAATAGTGACACAATGAGGACAGAGTGAAGCAAATTCCTTTCTTATTGGGGAGAAGATTTGGATATTAAATATATATATATTTTTGTGACGGAGTCTCACTCTGTCGCCCAGGCTGGAGTGCAGTGGTGCGATCTTGGCTCACTGCAACCTCCACCTCCCAGGTTCAAGCAATTCTCCTGCCTCAGCCTCCTGAGTAGGCGGACTATAGGCGCCCACCACCATGCCTGGCTAATTTTTTCTATTTTTGGTAGAGACAGGGTTTCACCATGTTAGCCCAGATGGTCTGGATCTCCTGACCTCGTGATCCGCCCGCCTTGGCCTCCCAAAGTGTTGGGATGACAGGTGTGAGCCACCACGCCCAGCACTGGATATTAAGTATTTTAATTTTTTTAAAAAAGGATTGAAATTAAACAGTGAAATATTTCAAATGTTTAGATTGAGACTCTGAAATATTTAATATTTCAATTTTAATTTGAAATAGTTCAGAAAGAGATCTAAGTAAAATAATAACAATACATGTAAACCCAGCAAAATCCATACGTAGGCTATTTCAAAAAACCTACCTAAAACTTAAGGACATACAAAGGTTATAAAAGATGAAAAAGAAATACCATGTGATTATAAACTAAAGAGAGCTGGTGTCATTATATGAGCATCAGATAAAATGGACTTTAAGGAACTTATTTTTGGGCGGAAAGATATACACTGAAATAGTGAAAGCTGGTGGCCAATGAAAGAAAGTGGTGGGGTCGGGCAGTGGGAGAGGAAGCGTAGGGTTTTGATGGCTGTCCAGGTCCTGTGTCTAGTGCCTTGGAAAGCCACCCTAGTTGCTGTCTTTCAGTTCCCTAAAATACCCAGATATTCTTCCAATCATTTCTCTTTTTTAAAACTCTGGTTGAAGTGGAGACTTCTGTTACTTGTAGCCAAAAGGGTTTTACTACAACAGTGGCCTCTGTAGGTGGTTAGTAAATATCAACTAAAGACAGGCCTGAACACAGTAAGTAGTAGACTCACCATCATCAGGTTTCTTCACAAATTTGACTCCCAGTTCTTCAAACCTTTTACAAGCACTGTATACATCAGGAACAGCAATTCCAATATGACCTTACGTGATACCCCCCGAAAAAAGCAGAGAGAAGGAAGAAATAATTATAACAGGGTGTCCAAGTACCACAAGTAGATTCCAAAACTTGTTTATTTCAAAACATAAGGCACTTGGGAACAGACTTAGGTAGGTTCAAAATCTATAATACATTAAAGAACAAATATAGATCTAATGGGCTGGGTATAAGTAGTTAATTAGTTGCCTTGAATTATAAATTATTTAAAATTAATCAATATCAGCTCATATACAGTCTAATCAGTTAAGAATAATCGACACCAAAAAACAGTAATCATTTACTAATACTTAATAGGTTTGTGGTTGGCATTGACTATAGCAGCCAGCTGAAGCCTGCAATACTGTCATCTTGATTGAGAGACTGGAGATCAAGGCAGAAGTGTATGTGCTAGCAGAAACTGGGATTAGTATTAACTACAGCTTTTTTAAAAAAAAAAGTCTACTGGAAATTAATTCTGAGACTTAAAAGTAAATCATGGTGAGATGGTAAGTGTAATTTTAGATCGAGACTCTGAAATTAAACAACTCCTAAATAAGATTATTTGTGGAAAATAAAAATAATCATATCTCTAATAAATTGATCATACTTAATTAGGACATTAATGTTTTAGGTTTATTAAAATCATAATTATATACATAATACAAAATCACACAAATCTACATATATCACATAAAAACAGGCAAACTTACCGAATCCTCGAGGGTCTGAATTGCCATTGTGGTAACTCTGGGTCTCATCATCTTCAGTGCCCCAATTGCTACAAAAGGAAGGAAAACATAGCTACAATGTCCTAGGGAATAGATATTCTGAAAAGCAAGTAACATCTTTGAAATCTTACCACGTTTATATGCTACTTTACATAATTGGCCTAACCCCTGCTACAAAAATATTAAGTTTTCAACTATAGAAAGGACAAATGGCCAAAGTATGATTTTAACGAGACTAAAGAGACAGTAAATACAGGTACTGGACAAGAACAATAATAAGAATAATAATAATGCTCATTTATTGTGCTAAGTACTTTATATTTCATTTAAACCCTTAAAACAGCTCCATGGGCTAGGTGTGAACATCTCCATTCTATTGATGAAACTGCCACTTACTTGTTTAGAGTCACAGACTCATATCTAAGCCTGCCTGATTCCAAAGCTTTATTTTGAATCAAGGGACACACGAAATCACACACTCTGAAATCAATCTCTTTTAAAGTATGCAGATAAACAATGTAAAGAAATTGCCTACATTTTTAAGTGCTCAAGTTATAAAAATACCAAATTTGAATGTTAATTATTACAAAATGGTTTGAAGAATTTTTAAAGGAACACATGATATCACATTTCTGGATCCAAAATGTAGCAAAATAATAAAAGAACAAAATTTTGGATGCTGAAAGACTAATTATAGTACCTAAAAATTAGTTAGAGACAAACAGGCAAATATCTTACAATTTCAGGGTCTTATATTCTCTTATCTAAAAGACAAATGGAGGCCGGGCGTGGTGGGTCACGCCTGTAATCCCAGCACTTTGGGCGGCCGAGGCAGACAGATCACGAGGTCAGGAGATCGAGACCATCCTGGCTAACATGGTGAAACCCCGTCTCTACAAAAAATACAAAAAATTAGCTGGGCGTAGTGGCGGGCGCCTGTAGTCCCAGCTACTTGGGAGGCTGAGGCAGGAGAATGGAGTGAATCCGGGAGGCAGAGCTTGCAGTGAGCCGAGATCGCGCCACTGCACTCCAGCCTGGGCAACAGAGCAAGACTCTGTCTCAAAAAATAAATAAATAAATAAATAAAAATAAAAGACAAATGGGCCAGGCGTGGTGGCTCATGCTTATAATCCCAGCAGTCTGGGAGGCCGAGGCGGGCGGATCACTTGAGGCCAGGAGTTTGAGACCAGCCTGGGCAACATAGTGAGACCTTGCCTCTATGCCTCTACCAAAAACAAACAAACAAAAACTAGCTGGGTGTGGTGGCACACATGTGTAGTCCAAGGTGCTCAGGAGGCTGAGGCAGGAAGACTACCTAGAAGTTAGAGGCTTCAGAGAGCCTGTCTCTAAAAAAAACACATCTCATTTGCCCAAGAACAATACAAAGATCAAAAGATGCATGAAAAACACTTCAATATATTATTAAAAATGTGAAGTCATAGGCAGATCTGGTTTGAATTATACTGGTCAGTAAACAAAACAAAAAAGATTTTTAAAAACTACCTTAAAAAATCTATAATATATATAAATATAGAAACTCATACTCACTGTGTCAGCTCAAGTGTAGCTTTTCTGGAGAGCGCCCAGGCTATTTTTTCATCTTTTTCTTTAGGGATGTCATTTTTATCCTCATAAGCCAAGAAGTAGAGTGAAAACTTCATAATGGGAAAATCACATTTTTGGATTAGCCTGCAATGAAAAAACAACAAGCCTGAATCATTAACAACAGGAAAGGCTAATTCATACTATAATCAACATAACTTAATATTCAAGTTTTACTAAAAAGAAGAGCTATATGTAGTAAGCCTATTTTAATGGAATAAGCAGGAGGAAAAATCAGTGAAAAAATATCATGAAAAATGCATCTGTAAATATTTGAAATACAAAAATGAAAACTTCTGTAATTCATCAATTCTGTAAATATAGTAACATTTAGCTGAAATTATGGTACTTGTTAATAAATAGAAACGGCTATCTCCAAAAGAGAACTGTGTTTATTTGTACTGAAAAATATAAAGAACCTTGTTGCTATTTCATATATATACACACATACAAACACATATATAAATATGTCATTCAGTTAAATAAACACATTTATTGAGTTCTTACTATGCCAAAACATCTAGGAAAGGAAATTAAGGATAGGTGGTAAGAAAGAAGGAGGAAGGACAGACTAGTATCACAGAAGACGTGAATGTCAACAGTAAGGTGGCTAACAGTATCAGATACTGTAGAAAGGTCAAACAGTATTAAGACTAAGAAAAGGTCATGAGATATGGAAAGGTCCCATGAGAGCAATGTCAGCAGAGTGGGGAAGCATCAGCTGGATTACACTGTACTGGGGAGAGAGAATGGCAGGTGAGCAGGTAAAACAGTAGCAAGCATGGCAGTGACAATGGGGAGGTAGGCGAAGGAGCAGAGGGCAAGAAATATTCTGGAACAAAGAAGACTTACGCTTCTCTGAGGGGAAAGAGACAGTAGAAGAGACTGATGGGAGAGAGAGTGAATGAATTATGAATCCTGAGGTTTTAAGAAAGATAACTGAAGTCCTGAACCTTAAATGACTTTAAATGGTATAGGATTATTTGGCAAGGAGTAAGGTGGCATGAGAATGCATATATGATTTTCTTTAGATTATTCAAAGATGACTTTGTTCATAATCAATAAGAGCAAATGGCTGTTATTGCCATATAGCAAATGGAAAGTTTCTAGAGTTCTGCTTCCAATCTTTTATTTCATTATCACTGCTATATAATAGACCTTGGCCCACTTAGATCCTTGCATTGACTTATCACAAATAAGATTTACTCTAACATGTTTATAATAAAGTATCAAACACCTCAAATACTCCAATCATGAAAAACAATCTCTGCACCTACTAAAGCAGACTACACAACCCTCATGGACCAATCAGTTGGGACTGAAGGAAATGAAACTGTTGCAACTTGCTTTTCTCAGCTGTTCAAATCTTCCAGCTTACTGTCAACTTGTACCCTATTTGGGGGCTCTGCACAGGAAGTCTACATTAGAGCCCATCAGACAATGGATACAGGTTCCAGCCCTGCCATATGCCAACTGTGGGATTTGGAGCTAGTAACTTCATCTCATTAAGCTTTGGTTTCTCCGTCTGTGAAATGGGGATAAAAGCTACCTCCTAAGACTGGTGTGAAGACTGAACAAAATAACATTTGAAGTGCCTGGCAAAAGTGTTCAATAAATCTGTTTTCATTTTGTCCTTTAAATATGTCATAAATATATTCATAATACCTTTTTCTAGAAAAAAATCACAAGAAACTGGACAGCAGTTATCTCTGGGGAGAAGAACTTGGGGAGGGAAGCTATTACTTTTCATTTTGTATTTTTCTGAACTGGTCAAATTTTCTAAATATAGACATATATTACTTAAATTTTTCTCTCAATGTGAATGGAAGTTATCTAGGCACTAAATTTAAAGATTATTTTATTATTCATGTATCTATATGCTCAAAAGCAAAATGCTCACATAACTTAGGGAAACAAATCAACAATATGACAAAATTATTTCTCAATATACCTCAGTAAAGCTGGAGAAAAAAAGAAAAATAAACATGCTTTAGAAAAATAAGTATGCTTTAGGATTGCAAGATCAGTGGATATGACCTGTTGAGCAAAAGAAAACACAGCCTAGAAAAATAGAACAGATGGTCAGTTTTAAGTAAACCCATTGGTTTTCTGAGTAGTAAGTTCTTATTATCTATAACTTTTCTGAAGTAAACAAGAGGCTAAAAGTGGCCAGAACATCAAAAGGGGTCTGAACACATTAAGGATTTAGCTGGGAGCGCTCAGAGAAGGCAGACTGGAGAAAATGCAACTATTTGTGTCTTGTTTTGCCCTTTCAGGCTGGCTGGGATAGAGAAGAAAAAGAACTTACGAGAGAAGCCCTGTCCAGCCAGGCCTAATCACAGACTCCTGGCCAAAAGAACTTCTGTTACTTCTGAAACAAACTTTAAGATGGGTCTGAAAACACTCTCTAGATTTGCAAAGCTATATATTTAAACATTAAGGTGCCAATAAGTACTTGACTTACGTCATTCCAAGAACTCTAGTATAAAAATCCAGTGACTTCTTAGGATCCTTCACTCGTAGCATGGTCTGCTGCAATAGAAAATCCTATGGAAAAATATTTATATTAAACATCTTTCACTTTTACCATTTATTACCAACATTAATTGTGCTTTCTGTAACAAGATACAAACACAATTGTTAACCTACCACCTACAACTTGCAAGGGCTCTCTGCTCAGTGGTATCTTCTGGTTGCAGGCCCCTGTGTGATGCAAGTCCAAAGTGTCAGAAAGTTTCCACTGCAGGAATGACCTTCAACCAATGGTCGATAAAAAACCTGGCATCCCTGTCCCTTGGTGGGACAATTCAGAGGCAGGTACCACAAAGTCCCTCAAAGAATCCCCAGCAGGATTGAACCTCAGTTGCCCACAGTGGTAATCCACTCGTATACACCTATGATCACCCTCTCTCCCTAACTCTGCAGAGCTCTCTGTGACCACTTCTCAAAAACTTAAAACCACACCATTCTCTCTAGTCTGCTTTGGGGCTACCCAAACTAAGACACTGATTTTACACATAAAGAGGTTGATCACTACAATATTTGTTGAATGAAGGCATAAATGCCCTTCTAGAACCATTTACTGGTGACCACGCAAATTAGCAAAGAGTTACTCACAAGATCCTAGACTCCTAAATAACTAAAAGGGTAAAAAGTTACTGTTGCTAACACCTTTGGGAAATTCAACTTACTTATCAGGAAACAGAAGGCTTGACTGAGAAAAGGGTAGAAGGTATGTAAATTCATGGAGTTAAGATTATTAATAGCATTAATAATTCTACTTAGGACTTAACTAGGTGTAATAACTCTATATGGTATTACTGTCGATATTCATACCCCATGTTGTAGATGAGAAGCTGACACTGAGTAATTAACTGTTTAAGGCCTCTAAGTTTTGGTCTCCCTTTACCATTGGTATGTACCTTCCAGACCATAAGTCTGTGAACCTCACTGGTGCTTCCTAACAGATTTTTTTTTTTTTTCTGTTAAACCCATGGCTTGACAAAACAGGCCTGAAAATTCTGACCACTTACTTTGGAGCCACATGCCATCTTTCTCCTATATAACTCACATCATATAAAATACAAATATAGTTCATTCAGCCTCATTAGGAAATTATATTTTTCTCTTTTGCTAAATTTTAAGTAAATGAAACATACTCTTTTAGGCATTAAAATTCTCATTTAAAACAAAACTAGCCTAAAAACTACTTTATCTTATTAAAACTGATCTTAATAAATATAATAATTAAATTCTTTATTCGCAGCTTATAATCACATGCCAGGCAGGTTACATGTTTCTAGAACATTTGGGTTGCTTTTCTCAGTCAGATGCTACAGTCCTAAAGGTCTCGATTTTATCAAGCAGCTGAGAAAGAGAAAAGTAGCTCTGCACATCCAAGTGCTGGCCTGGTACTCACAGCTGGGCCTTGGTTTTCTCCTGTTGAACATATATAAAGTCACTCTGTGGCTGCCATGATGTGATACCAAAATAAAAAAAAAAAATTTAAAGCAGCAAGACCATGTCCACTTCATATTCCGGTCTAAGTATACATTAAAACAAGGCACTATGAACACTACCAAAATAACAAACATCCTTCTTTCCCAGCTAATATGAGTGGTAGCTGCTTCTCTATTGATTACAATGTTTGCTTGAGGAAGCCACCTGCAGGACAAAGTCTTATGTATGATCTGTCAGGCCCGACCACACACAATCACACAGACTTTAGCTGGCAGGCCTCATGGGGGAGATCTGTCCTCCCAGCACTGGTTCTCAGTCTCAGGAGGGAGCACTGCAGTCCCTGGAGGGAGGTGCAAGCAAGGACTAAATTCTAAAGATGTCCTTCCTTATTCTCTCAAACACTAACCTAGGTGCTGCTGTGAGAGACTCTGAGAGGAAATTAAGGTCACTCATCAGTGGACTTTAAAATGGGATTAGCCTGGATTACTGAGGTGGATTCAATGTAATCACACAAGACCTTAAAAGCAGGAGAGAGAGAGAGCGAGCGTGCGCGCGCAAAGAAAGTAGAAGAGGAGTGTGGCATAAAGGGAAGTGGGACAGATTCCAAGTGTGAGAAGGGGCCAACCTGCAGGTGCTGGCTCTGAGACATGGGGCACATGTGCCAGGAGTTAAAGGCAGCTGCCCTCTGCTCCCACCCCACCATACCCATCCACGCCTGACAGCCAGCAAGGAAGCTGGGACCCCTGTCCGACAGTGGAAAGAAACTGAATTCAGGGAACAATCTAAATGGATTTAGATGCAGATTCTTCCCCAGAGCCTCTGAGTAAGGAACACAGTCCTGTCAATACAGTGGGACAGACCCAAGTCGGACCTCTAGCCTATGGAATTATGAGATAATATATTTCCAACCAAGCTGCACCCAACATTATTTGTTGCTCAGTTTTTTTAAAAAAGGATAAAATCTAAAAACTATCTTTTAAAATCTGCTTTGTAGTGACCCTGTTTATGTTTTGTTTCTTCAACATCTTTCTAGTACCAACATTAGTATTGGTACTTTACCAACGACTTTATCATTACTTCTGTTCACACTATACAGGCTATACTCAAATCCATATATCTTAGGCACAGCATGTATTTTTTGTTGTAGATGCCATGCCAAGTACTTGCCAAAGTTAGACAACCTTAACTATTCTATCCCATAGTCTATCATATCCTTATCTTACAATCTTTCTGGAAAACAACTGGAATATCAAGAGTCCTCAAGAATTCATATTCTTGGCCAGGTGCAGTGGCTCACGCCTGTAATCCCAGCACTTTGGGGGGCTGAGACGGGCGGATCACGAGGTCAGGAGCTCGAGAAACAGACTGATCAACATGGTGAAACCCCGTCTCTACTAAAAATACAAAAAATCAGCCAGTAGTGGTGGTGCACGAATTAATATTCTTTTCTTTTTTTTTGAGATAGAGTCTCCCTCTGTTTCCAGGCTAGAGTGCAGCAGTGAGATCTTGGCTCACTGCAACCCGCCTCCCGGGTTCAAGCGATTCTCCTGCCTCAGCCTCCCGAGTAGCTGGGACTACAGGCGCCCGCCACCCAGCCCGGCTAATTTTTGTATTTTTAGTAGAGACAGAGTTTCACCATGTTGGCCAGGATGGTCTCGATCTCTTGACCTCGTGATCCGCCTGCCTTGGCCTAAGAATTCATATTCTTTGACCAAGATGTTCTCTTTCTAAAATTCTAAGGAAATAATTACTCTGACAAAGATTTATGTACAAAGGCATCCATCACAACACTTACACAATAACTATGTGCCAGATGCTGTTCTAAGAGATTCAAAGAAACTAATACATGTAATCTTCACAACAAGCCCATGAGATACATATTATTATCATCCCCATTTTACTGCTGAGAAAGTAAGTGGCAGAGAAAAAATTCTGGCCCAAGCAATCTGATTCCAAAGTCCTTGCTTTTAAACCACTAACTGCCTCTAACAAAGGAATAGTTAGATAGTATGACACAGGCATAAAAGAATATTATGAAAAACATTTAAAATGCTGCGTCGAGGTATATTAAATGGCATGGAGATATATACAGATGGTATACTAAGTCTAATGGCATGGGAATATATAAAATGGTATATTAGCTTTTAAAAACATTATATATATATACACACACACATGCATATGAAAACAAATACCACTTAATATGCTATTGAGATTAATTATATCTTAAAATTAATGTTACAGACTTTAACTTTATTATTAAGAGAACTATGTACTGTATCTGCCTAAACACATACACATAAAGAATATTAAAATTCACTTTAAAAAGTCTATACGTGGCAAAAAAAGTAAGATATATTCAACGTTAGTGAATTTATTGATAAAATAGAGGCTTATAAATCCTTTGCTACAAATTGTTAAATGGATATAAAAACAAGAAGGGCTTATTTTTAAGAAAATGATCAAGTTATTCTATGCTCAGATAACAGTTTTATTTTTATCACCAAAATAGTCTGTTAACTCCATGTGCCTCTTGTGAACACTTGCATGATCTTGAGAAAAAGTTCCTGTTTTAAAAAGTTAAGTTCCTAAAAATTATTGCTTTATTGGTATGGTTCTAAAATATCGTTTAAAATACATGTATCTCCTGTTTTAAAAAGTAAGACTTATGCTATGCTCATGTCTTGTCTCACCTGATAGTCCTTAATTTTGTCTTTCCCTTATCATGCTTTAAATTTAGAACAATAAAAATAAGGTGTCTTTTATGCCTAAACTATCTTTGGTTTTACAGGGATGGCTACTGGGTGACAAAGATTTGCTCCTGTGCCTTATCAAAAGGTGGACAATAGAAATAATAAGGTTTTTTTCGGGGGGAGGGGAAGTGTCATTCTCCAAATTTAATTAAGAAAACTACTGTAAGAAAACTTTTTTTTTTTTTAAGATGGAGTCTCGCTCTGTCACCCAGGCTGGAGTGCAGTGGCGCAATCTTGGCTCACTGCAAGCTCCGCCTCCCGAGCTTCAAGCGATTCTCCTGCCTCAGCCTCCTGAGTAGCTGGGACTACAGGCACCAGCCACCACGCCCAGCTAATTTTTATATTTTTAGTAGAGAAAGGGTTTCACCACATTGGCCAGGCTGATCTCAAACTCCTGAACTTGTGGTCCACCCGCCTTGACCTCCCAAAGTGCTGGGATTACAGGTGTGAGCCACCGCAACCGCCAAGAAAACTTTAAAGGTACAATCAAGGATGTTTCTAGTGCATGTCCTACCTGCCTACAATACAATCCTTACAAAACTGTAAAAGTGAGGCAAGGATGTGAACCAAAGGATTAAGGCCCCTTTAAGCACCAGTAAATGGATTTTTTTTTTTTTGGTATAAGGGATGAGAATTGAGTAGAGCTTCATTTTTAACCTAAGGATGTCCAATTGCTTCAGCACCATTTGTTGAGGCTATCCTCCCTCTGGTGAACTGCTTTTTCATCTTTGTCAAAAAGCTGTTGGGCATACTAGTGTGGGTATATTTTGGGGTTCTCTATTTTGTTTCAATGTTCTATCTCTCTGCCAATACCACAGAGTAGTGATTACTGTAGCTATGTAAGTCTTAAAATCAGGTAGAAAAATTCTTCCCACTTTATTCTTTTCCAAAATGGTTTGTTATTCTAGTTTTTTTGCCTTTCAATCTAGAATAACCCTGTCTCTGTCTAAAAAAGTTTGATAAGGAGTGTGTTAAACATGTATATTGATTTGGGGAGAATTGATATCCTTACTGTGCTGAGTCTTCCAATCATGAACACAATAAATCTCTCCATTTATTTAGATCTATGACTTTTTGCATCGCCATTGCTGTTTTCAGCATATGTGTCCTGTAAATGTTTATTAGATTTATATCTAAGTATTTCATTTTATTGGGCAATTGTAAATGGTAATGTATTTTTTAATTTTTGGTGCCTGTGTGTTCTTTGCTAGTATATAGAAACGCGATTGATTTCTGTATGTTTATTTTGTACCCTGCAACCTTGCTGAACTCATTTATGAATTCTGGGAGTTTTCTGTAAATTACTTATTATTCCCTATGTAGACAATCATGTCATCTTCAAATAAGGACAGTTTGATTTCTTCCTTTCCAACCTATATGTCTCTTATTTCCTTTTCTTGCTTTACTGCACTGTCTAGAACTTTCAGCACTTTGTCAAATAAGAGTGGTAACAGCAGACATCCTTGTCTTATTACCAAAATTAGGGAGAAAGCATCACCACTGAGTGTAATATTAGCTCTAACTTTTCAAGAGAAGCTCTTTATCAAGTTAAAGAAATGCCCCCATTCCTATTTTTTTCTGAACTTAAAAAAAATAATGAATGAGTGTTGAATTTTGTCAAATGCCTTTTCTGTACCAACTGATATGATCATGTGATTCTTCTTTACCCTCTTAATATGGTGGATTATACTGACTGATTTTTGTATACTGAACCAGGCTTGCATCCTAGATATAAACCTCACTTGGTTAAGGTGTATAATTCTTTCTATATATACTGTTGAATTCTGTTTACTAACATTTTGTCAAGGGTTTTTACATTTATATTCATTGGAGATATTGGTCTGTAGTTTTCTTGTACTGTCTTCATTTGTTTTTGGTATCAGGGTAATATTAGCTTTATCAAATGAATTGGGAAGTGTTCTCCCGTCTTCAGTTTTCTGGAAGGGGTTGTGTATAATTGATGTTAATTCTTCTTTTACATTTGGCAGAATTCTCCAGTGAAATCACCTGGGTCTGGACAAATCTTCTTTGGAAGTTTGTTAATCATAAATTCAATTGCCTTAAGTTATAGGACTCATCATATTAGTTCATATTGGATGAGGAATTGGTCCAATTCAAGTTGTCAAATTTATGTATACAAAGTTGTTTTTAGTATTCCCTTATCTTTCTTATGTCAGAAAGGTCTGTAGTGTATCCCCTATTTCATTCCTGATATTGGTAGTTTGTGCTTCTTTGTTTTCATTGTCAGTCTTGCTACAGGTTTGTCTATTCTACTGGTCTTTTCAAAGAACCAGCTCTGTTTTACTGATTTTCTGTTCTTAATTTCATTAATTTCTGCTTCTCTAATTCCTTCCTTCTGCTTCCTTTGGGTTTACTTTGCTTTTCATTTTCTAGTTTCTTAGGAGGAAGCTTACGTTATTAATTTGAGACTTTTCCTCTTTTATAATGTATGCAGTCAGTGCTATACATTTCCCCCTTTGCACTGTTTAGCTATGATCCCTTTTTCATTTTCATTCAGCTCTCTCTCTCTCTCTCTCTCTCTCTCTATATATATATATATATATATTTGTTTTGTTTTGTTTTGTTTTGAGACAGAGTCTAGCTCTGTCACCCAGGCTGGAGTGCAGTGGAGCGATCTCGGCTCACTGCAAGCTCCGCCTCCCGGGTTCACGCCATTCTCCTGCTTCAGCCTCCCGAGTAGCTGGGACTACAGGTGCCCGCCACCACGCCTGGCTAATTTTTTGTGTTTTTAGTAGAGACGGGGTTTCACCATGTTAGCCAGGATGGTCTCGATCTCCTGACCTCGTGATCCGCCTGCCTCAGCCTCCCAAAGTGCTGGGATTACAGGCGTGAGCCACTGCACCCGGCCTCAGCTCAAAATATTTTTAAAAAGTTCCCAAGACTTCCTTTGTAATCCATGGATTATTTATTTAGAAGTGTGCTGTTTATTTTCCCAGTGCTTGAAGATGTTCTTATTATGTTTCTGCTACTGATTTCTAGTTTAATTCCACTGTTGCTGAAGAATACATCATTCCATTCTTTTAAATTTGCTGAAGTTGGCTTTAGGACCCAGGGCATGGTCTACTTTGGTATATTTTCTACAGACACTTGGAAAAAAAAAGGGGAATTCTGTTGTTGTTCGGTAGAACATTCTATAAATACTAATTAGATCTTATTTGTTGATGGTATTGCTGAGTTCTTCTGTTTCCTTGTTAATTTTCTGTCTAGTTCTATCAATTGTTGAAAGAGGAGCGTTGGCTGGGCTTGGTGGCTCATGCTTGTAATCCCAGCACTTTGGGAGGCCGAGGTGGCTGGATTGCTTGAGCCCCAGAGTTCAAGACCAGCCTAGGCAAGATAGTGAGACCCCATTTCTACAAAAAATAGAAAAATTAGCTGGGTGTGGTAGTGTACACATGTAGCCCCAGCTCCTTGGGAGGCTGAGGTAGGAGGAGCCCTTGAACCCGGGAAGCAGAGATTGTAGTGAGCTGAGACGGCACCACTGCACTCCAGCCTGGGTGACAGGAGTGACACCCTATCTCAAAAAAAAAAAGAGCAGTGTTGAGGTCTCCAACTATAATTTTAGATTTTTCTATTTCTCCTTTCAGTTATATCAGTTTTGCTTCATGTGTTCCCTAGCTCTGCTGTTTAGTAACATATATTTATGATTACTGTGTCATCTTGGTCAATCACAACTCTTTTATCACTGTATAATGTACTTCTTATGTCTGGTAATTTTCTTTGCCCCAAAGTCTACTTTATCTGATATCAAGATAGCCACTCCTGCTTTCTTTTGATGAATATCTGCATGAATTATCTTTTCTACCCTTTTACTTTTACCTTGTCTCTATCATATTGGAAGTGAGTTTCATGTAGACAGCATACAGCTGGGGCATGTTTTTTAATCCATTCTATCAATCATTGTCTCTTAATGTATTTGTATCTAATGTAAGTACTGAAATGTTAGGGCTTAAGTTGGCCATTTTATTCATGTTTGTTTTCTGTTTGTTCTTCCTTTTTTAATGTTTTCTGTCTTCTTTTTGCCTTTCTCTGGGTCACTGGAACTTTTTAAAATTCAATTTTCATTTATCTGTAGTGTTTTTGCATGTATCTCTTTGTATAGCTTTTTAAATGGTGGCTCTAGGTGTTACTATATATGTATATACATATGGCATATATATACATATACGCATACACATATATACAGACATACATGTATATATGTATATACATATACCCATGTATATGTATACACACACACACATAACTTATCAGTCATTTGGTGACATCATTTTATTAGTTTGAACAAGGTACAGAAACCTCACCTCTCTTTACATTCCTGTACCTTCTCCCGCTTATAATTATCTTAAATATTTCCACTGCTGGGTTGGGGTGGAATTTTAGGTTCCTCATGTGTCTCCATTGATATGGCAAGAGGGGAAAGCCTGGCAGGATGAAAGTCCTGGCTCCCTACCCAGCCTTCCCCCACATCACCTTGGCAGGGGAAGGCTGGGCAGCTCATTACATCTGGTTGGGTGAAAATCTAGGCTCCCCACTCAGCTTTTGCTGGCATGGGTGGGACTGAGGCCACAGTTTTCTCTATGGAGTTTAGTTGGAGTAGAGCAGTTATTGTCTAAAAGTTTTCTTTCTTGCCAGGAAATGCTGCCCATTTCCAGGTCCTGTGGCTAGAGAGCAGGCTTTCATTAGGCTTTTTTTTGGTCTGTGTCCATCAGCATTTCCAGGTTACTAGCTTCTTCAGCTTCAAGTCTGGGCAATATGAGGCAAAAAGAAAACTTAGGAAACTCATTGCCTTGTTGTTCCTAGGGTCTCAAGGTCCCTAGCCAGTCTACCTTCTTCTCACCACCTTTCAGAGTCTTCCAATGTTTGTCTTATATATCATGTCCAGAGTTTTTAGTTGTACTTAGCAGGAGGAATAAGGAAAAGTATGTCTACTTCATCTTGTCAGAAGCAGAGTCTCTAAATGAATTTTATACAACTGCCTCCCACAATGGGATATGAGTGTATTTGGTTACAATATGTCTATTTTCAGGATGAATCAAAACTGGTCAAAAAGCTACAACAATGATAAAAACGTTGTTTGACTTTGTGTTTTCTCCCTACAAAATCTCAAATTTGCTTCTAGTGATGAAGATACTTATTTCTCTAGAAGTATTACTAGAGAGCTTTGTAAGAGGTTACATCTTAAAGTTAAAATCTCCATTGCCTCTTATCTTAGTCCATTTAGGCTGCTGTAACAAAAATTCCATAAACTGGGTGGCTTATAAACAACAGACATTTATTTCTCACAGGTTTGGAGGCTAGGAAGTCCAAGATCAAGGCACTTGGAGATTTAGTGTCTGTCCTCATAGATGGTACCTTTGCACTGTGACCTCACATGGCAGAAGGGCTTGATCATTCTTTACAGTCTCTTTTATAGGATGCTAATCCTAATCATGAAGACTTTGTCCTCATGACCTACCTAATCACTTTCTGAAAGGCCCCACCTCCTAATACCTGCCTCAGGGATTAGGATTTCAACACATGAATTTTGAGGGGACACAAACATTCAGACCATAGCACCTTTATTACCCTCAGTCTGCAGAAAGGAGAAGTTCCACACTTGCATTAGCCATATTTTCAGAAATTAAAAAATTTCTCTGGTTTAAAAAATGTTGTCTTTCGACCTTAATAAGACTGAGACCAATTCCCTTTAGAGACTATCTACTTTGTCTCTCAAATAACTTTCAAAAGTGTTATATTGCCCCCAACAGAAAGCCTTCTTCTTTTTTTTTTTTTTTTGAGATGGAGTCTCACTCTGTTGCCCAGGCTGGAGTGCAATGGCACGATCTCGGCTCACTGCAACCTCTGCCTCCCAGGCTATTCTCCTGCCTCAGCCCCCTGAGTAGCTGGGATTACAGGCACGCGCCACCATGTCTGGCTAATTTTTTTGTATTTTTAGTAGACACAGGGTTTCACCATGTTGGTTAGGCTGGTCTCGAACTCCTGACCTCATGATCCACCCACCTTGGTCTCCCAAAGTGCTGGGATTACAGACGTGAGCCACCGGGCCTGGCCCAGAAAGTCTTCTTAAGGCTCAACTAAACATCCAGACTTATAAGACAACCATAGCCATAGGCCATACATGGTGCCAGTTTACTCAAAACGGTATCTGTTAGGAAAACACAGATTGCCAACAAAGAAGTATCAGGTGTTCCTCTTCAGTGGGAGTCCTTACAGGAGTCGACACAGATCAGGTACAGGGAGAAGATTCACACTGGATATGAATGAGAATCACCCTAGGGCAGAAGGCCCCATGTACCACAGGAGCCAGTATCTCTAGTAGCAACTCCATAGGCAGAACTTCTAGAATTTCCACAAGGGACAGTTATAAGAGTCACTACAATCAGGGAAGTCCAAAGCTATGGCTTCCTTTCAAGTATTTACAATTCTCCCTCTCCAGATGCAATTTACCAATTGGGTTATTTTTACCATAAGCAACAAACACAATTTTTCATTGTTTTCTGGGAAACTAGGGAGTTAACGAAAAGTCAAATTTTCATAAAAGGGGAAAGGGTTTGTTAACTCTTTATTACTAGGTGTCACATCTCCCACAAAACAAAAGTGAACAAAGTGGTTTTCACCAGACTTTTAAAAATGAGCTTTTCAACTGCCTTCAGTGTATCTTGAGGAAAGCAAGAAGTCCTCACTACTTCCTGCCTAGACAATTATCTCTTTGCTTTTCATAGGCTTATCTACATGCAATTTGGAGTGATCTTTCCATAAAGAAAACCCTGTCATGTCATTTTTGGCTTAAAAATCAATACTTCAGTGGTTCCTCAACACATTTGAGAGACAGTCCCAAAAGCAACCACATATGTAGCTGCATACTTCTCTAACACCAACGGTTATCACCACTCCCCTAAACCGGTCATCTCAAACATTTTCTATTTCATACCCTTATCACTTAAATAGCAACCATTACAGGGTGAGAAAAACAAATGAATATAATGGGAATTCTCATCTTTTCTTTGAGTACCCTAATGATTGTTTTGGTCACCCTTCCCTCAAGTCCCACTGCTTATAACTTCATTCACTGTGTTACCCGTAGGTCCCTGCCTCAGTTCTCTGATGTCATTATGCCTTTATATATATTATGATTCTCTATGCCTTGAATAGTCAGCCATTTATCTGGCCATTGTCCTTCTTCCTTCCTCCTTTCCATTCCCTATTCTCCTTTCTACTGCATTCAATTCCACCAATCTACCTGATTGGAGAGGGACCCCATCATATATATATATATTCATATATTTATAGATATATTTATATATTAATATATATTAATTTTTTATATTTTTATATATTCATATATTTATATATGGAACGATGTGAAAATGGACATTGGCAGTGGTGGTAGAAATAATGGCAACACTGAGGACATTGTCTACTGTATTAGTGGAGACAGATACAGATAGTAAAAAAGAAAAGATCTCCAGATCACTACTTGGAAGGAGAACCTGACCTTTTTTTTTTTTTTTTTTTTGAGACGGAGTCTCTCTCTGTTGCCAGGAGAATCTGACCTTTTAAAGAAAGTTAGCCCAGAGAGATTGCCCAAAATGTGACATAGCCATACATTCTCTGGACTTCCTTTATAATGAAGATGCAAATGATCAAAAAACAAGTCGACTTTGTGCCATTGCTGCTGTCTTCTTTACAAACGAGACCCTCATATCACTTATCTCACCTTCTGGAAGAGCTTTTTAAGTGGCCTAATCACCTCCAGACTTGGATCCCTCCAATCTACTTTATAGAATACTTCAAAACCCTGACTCATTCCCCACTATGTATATAAAATCTAACTTCCTTAGATGTGACACTCAAAGCTGTCTCCACAATCTGGCCCCAACCTACCATGTTAGCCTCTTCCACCACTGCTTAGATAACCTGAACTGCAACCAATAACATTTAACTAACTCTCCAGTACCTGCCCTGCATTGCAATTCTACCATCCTAAAACTGTTGTGGGAAGTCAGGGACCCCGAATGGAGGGACCAGCTGGAGCTGTGGCAGAGGAACATAAATTGTGAAGATTTCATTTTAATATGGACATTTATCAGTTCCCAAATAATACTTTTATAATTTCTTATGCCTGTCTTTAATCTCTTAATCCTGTTATCTTCGTAAGCTGAGGATGTACATCACCTCAGGACCACTGAGATAATTGTGTTAACTGTACAAATTGATTGTAAAACTGTGTTTGAACAATATGAAATCGGCGCACCTTGAAAAACAACAGAAAAACAGCGATTTTAGGGAACAAGGGAAGACAACCATAAGGTCTGACTGCCTGAGGGGTCGGACAAAAAGAGCCATATTTTTCTTCTTGCAGAGAGCCTATAAACGGACGTGCAAGTAGGAGAGATATTGCTAAATTATTTTCCTAGCAAGGAATATTAATATTAATACCCTGGGAAAGGAACGCATTCCTGGGGGGAGGTCTATAAACGCCCGCTCTGGGAATGTCTGTCTTATGAGGTTGAGATAAGGACTGAGATACGCCCTCGTCTCCTGCAGTACCCTCAGGCTTACTAGGGTGGGGAAAAAACTTCACCCTAGTAAATTTGTGGTCAGACCGCTTCTCTGCTCTCGAACCCTGTTTTCTGTTGTTTAAGATGTTTATCAAGACAATACGTGCACTGCTGAACATAGACCCTTATCAGTAGTTCTGCTTTTGCCCTTTGCCTTGTGATCTTTGTTGGACCCTTATCAGTAGTTCTGCTTTTGCCCTTTGCCTTGTGATCTTTGTTAGACCCTTATTAGTAGTTCTGCTTTTTGCCCTTTGAAGCATGTGATCTTTGTACCTACTCCCTGTTCTTACACCCCCTCCCCTTTTGAAACCCTTAATAAAAACTTGCTGGTCTAAGACTCAGGTGGGCATCACAGTCCTACTGATATGTGATGTCACCCCCCGGCAGCCCAGCTGTAAAATTCCTCTCTTTGTACTCTTTATTTCTCAGCTGGCCAATACTTATGGAAAATAGAAAGAACCTACGTTGAAATATTGGGGTGGGTTCCCCCCGTATCAAAACACATTTTTGCTAAGATGTTTCCTTCATCAGAATGCCTTCCCATGTACTCTGCTGGAATCCTACCCAATCTATCAAGGCATAGGCCCATCACCACCATCTTTTTGATGTGTGCCCTGATCCCCACAGCTGAAATACAACCTTGAATTGTATCACTCTTCATAGTTTAGAGAACATAATACATGTCATTTTATCCTCATAGCAGCTCTCTGAGATATCTTTATGCTCCTTCTACAAACTGAGCCCAAGTGCCCTGGCAAGGTCACTGCAGCCAACAACAGAAGTGGGGATTCAAATGCAGGTCTTCAGGCTCCAAATACCCTGTGCATACCCCATTCCACTAATGCTACCTTTAAAAACCTCTACCTCCCAGGGTGCTCTCAGGGTGATTTATATTTCAATAGCACACTAACCCCAGGTCCATTGTATATTAGAGTTGATATAAGTTGGTGAAGGGAGGGAACCTCATCTTGTTTATCCCAGTATCCCCAAAGTACTTACCATCTTCTTTACATATAGCATAAATGTATCAAGTGATCAAACTGAATTTAATTCATTGAGGGTTTTTTTTTTTTTTTGGACAAAGTCTCACTCTGTCACCCAAGCTGGAATGCAGTGGCATGATCTCGGCTCCCTGCAACCTCCACCTCATGGGTTCAAGTGATTTTCCTGCCTCAGCCTCCCAAGTAGCTGGGATTACAGGTGCCCGCCACCATGCCCAGCTAATTTTTGTATTTTTAGTAGAGCAGAGTTTTGCCATGTTGGCCAGGCTGGTCTCGAACTGCTAACCTCAGGTGATCTGCCCACCTCGCTCTCCCAAAGTGCTGGGATTACAGGCATGAGCCACTGCACCCAGCCTTCATTGAGGTTTTTTATTTTCCTTTATGGCAAATTCCAAAATTACTGCTGGAGTCAGCACCCCAGAAGCAGAACAGGGTGGAGGTTGGAAGTGTGGGGTCCTCCCTGGGCAAATCACTCAACACCTCTATGTGCCTGAGTGTCCTTATTTGTAAAATGAAGATCATAATTATGCCTTCTTCATAGGGTTGTTGTTAGGATTAAATTAAACAATGTACTTAAAATACCAAGCCAGGGCCTGGCACACTCAATATATACCAGCTATTATTATGTATTCCATTTTATGTCTCCCATGGCCAAAAATTACTGATCTCAAAATTAATTACTCCGAATCATCAAGAGAAATTTAGATACTGTGGAATGTAAATTAAGCTGCAAGGACATTTACTTAGTATATTTTATAAAGATATCCCTGGAATCCTTTTTATTTGAAAACCCCATTACATAAAACCCCTAGTTATCTGGGAAAATACTTTACACTGAGTGACTCAATTTACATTATATGAAAAAACCAGGTATTAATATTAAGGGATATACAAGTGAGATGGGCATGACGGAATTTTTTTACCTTCCCCCTTAATTTTGCAATGACTAACATTTTTCCTAAGCCAAGTACCAGGTGCTAGTCAAAAGTTTTAGCAATGAGATGTGTCTGACTCTTTGCCCTGAAGGTAAAGAACAAGCAGGGACCAGAGTCATGGACCACTTATCTACCCCTTTTAAAGGTCTGCACGAAGCACATATTCAATCTTCAAGGAATTTACAAATGATGTAGTCAAATAAATAAATACAAAGGTGTTTACAGACACTGATGACTTCACTGGAATAAACAGCGGTTACTGTGCCTGAATTTTTTTTTTTTTTTTTTTTTAGACAGAGTCTCACTCTGTCGCCCAGGCTGGAGTGCAGTGGCACGATCTCAGCTCACTGCAAGCTCCGCCTCCCGGGTTCATGCCATTCTCCTGCCTCAGCCTCCCGAGTAGCTGGGACTACAGGCACCCGCCACCACGCCCAGCTCATTTTTTTGTATTTTTAGTAGAGACGGGGTTTCACCGTGTTAGGATGGTCTCTACCTCTTGACCTCGTGATCCGCCCGCCTTGGCCTCCCAAAGTGCTGGGATTACAGGCGTGAGCCACCGCGCCCGCCAACTGTGTCTGATCTTAACAAGGCAACCGAAACACCACACCTGAGTGAGTTACACTGATTCTTACCCAGTAAAGACATGTTCGGTAAGTGAAAGCCTTTGTATGCAACAGGTCATTTCTCTTACTGGGTCATTACTGTAAAACGAGAGGGTAAGAGAAGGAATTTCTAAGATTCCTTTCAGATCCAAACTCTATGATTCTGTAATCTCTCCTGGGCCCCACGAAGATGAGGAAGGCAAGAAGGGCTGTTGTGACCCACAGCAAAGGCCAAGCAAGCAAAAGTGAAATTCTGGGCGCGGTTAAACTTAGAGCGATCAAATTAGTTTGCAGGAGTTAAGACTGCAGTCAGGGTGGTAAGGAAAAACGAGGCTGGGCAGGACTGGTACAGGACAGGCATCTTTGAACCTATTTCTGGGAGTTCTGAAACTACTGTTCTCGTGGGCCTTGGCGACTGATTTGGGAAAGCTGACCCTGGGTTGGCCTGGCTTCCAGCCACCGTCGCAACATAAACAAGCCAATTCAAAACAGGGTCGCAGTCTTTGAAACTAGCTGAGGCAACAGATCCCCTCCACACTTCGCGGGCCCCACGATCGCCCCATCAAACACCATTATCCCTCTTCCCATCACACTCCCGTCCGCCCGAGGCCGGCGGACCTGCAGCGGCGGCGGGATGGGGTTGGATAGAATGCGGCCCGGTCCCGGCCCAGCGGAGCTGGGGGAGCCGTTCCCTTCGGTCCTGTGCCCACCTTGGTACTGGGGTCCGCGTCGGAGCAGCAACTGAGGGCGGCCTCGTCCGTGAGGCCGCCGGACGGGGGCTGCGGTTCTGCCATGGCTGCGCTGCAGTATCACAGACGACGGGACCCAAGGAACGGAGGAGTCACCCACACTACGCCTCGGCCCTGTGCCGCCTTAACTAGGAATGGCGCGATGGCGCCGCGGGCGGGAGACCGCTGACTTCCAGCCAATCGCTGCGCGGAGAGCAAGTTGACTCTCTGCTGATTGGGTCCCAGTGAGTCAGCGCCTCCACCCACAGGACTATGCCTCAGACTACAACTCCCAAGGAGCCTTGCGCATAAAGGAGGCAAACTCATACAAAAAAAAAAAAAAAAATGCAGGCTGGGCAGAGTGGTTTCTCTGTTACTTAATGAGCTAATTTTGTTTGTTTAACTAAAGTTTGGTAACCATTCATACCTCAGGGCTGCAATTTGGTAGAAAATTGGAATCTGATGGAAACTGAAAACTGTAAGTTGTTCTTTTAAAATTGTAAGGATTCAGAGGTTTCTCAGTTTACGCAGCGCAGAGTAATTAAAACAATTGTTGAGTCGAAAACCTATGTTCAAGTCTTGGTTCCGCTATATATTAGCGCTAGAAACTTGCAATAATTACTGACCCTCTCTGAGCTTCCTAACAGGATTTGTTGAGAATTAAATAAGTTTTCTTTTCCTTTTTCTTTTTTCTTTTCTTTCTTTCTTTCTTTTTTTTTTTTTTTTAATTTTTTTAACAGTGTCTCGCTCTGTCGCCCAGGCTGGAGTGCAGTGGTGTGCTCTCAGCTTACTGCAGTCACTGCTGCCTCGACTTCCGGGGCTCTAGCTGTCCTCTGGCCTCAGCCTCCCGATTAGCTGAGACTACAGGCTGCAAAACCAAGACCAGTTAATTTTTGTATTTTTTTGAGATGGGGGTTTCACCATGTTGCCCAGGCTGGTCTCAACTCCTGGGCTGAAGTGACCCTCCCGCCTCAGCCTCCCAAAGTGCTGGGATTACAGGTGTAGCCACTGTGCCCAGCCTAAATGAGATTTAAGTCATGGTTTGCCTACTTAGGTTCCAAATGTCCATAACTTGCAGTACTTTTTACATTAATATATATTTTGTGTTCACTGGAAGGCTTAGTCATCACTGTGTCTTCAATGATTGGCTCATAATAGTAGATGCTCATTAAATACTTCCTGTTGTTAAAAGAATAAATGGGAATGACTGGTGCTCACCTAACCAAAATGAGGTTGGGCAGGGATGTATATGGCACTAGCCACCTGGCCACCACCAAGATGTCCCCGTCTCTCATCTCAGCTTTTTTCTGCATCGCAGCTTCAGTTTGTCAGACACCAGCTCCATAAGACTAGAAATTTGGCAGCTGTTCTCTCACTAGGAGTGGGAGTAAACTCTCCCTCTGGATTTTATCCAGCCAGCCTGGATTTTATCAAATTGGAAAATCCAAGAAGGAGCTGTGATTGGCCTGGCCTAGGACCTGTGCTTACTCCTGTGATTGAAGCACTGCGATTGGCAACCTGGATTAGGACCACCTGATTGGAGTTTGGGGAGGATCTGTTAGTTCCCTAAAAGAAGAGCGATGATGTTCTTATGAGAAGGGAGGATTGCCAGGCAAACTGAACCATGGATGTCCACTGCAAAATGATAGGCAGGATAAGGATTTCAGCAGAAATGTTGTGCATACCTCATACTAACTTACTGAGGATATTTCATCAAAACACAGTCTATTAGAACTGCAGGACTTCTATATGGAACTAGACCTTAAACCTTTTAAACTCGGGAATTGGAGCAATACACAAACTCTCCATATACTGTGTGTTACCACTGAATTATTGAAAAGACCCCCAAATTGTCTTCTTTTGCATTAATTTTCTTTTTTAGATGGAGTCTTCCTCTGTCGCCCAGGCTGGAATGCAGTGGTGTGATCTTGGCTCACTGCAACCTCCACCTCCTGGGTTCAAGCGATTCTCCTGCCTGAGCCTCCCAAGTAGCTGGGATTACAGGCACCTGCCACCATGCTGGCTAATTTTTGTATTTTTAGTAGAGACACGGTTTCACCATGTTGGCCAGGCTGGTCTCAAACTCCTGACCTCAGGTGATCCGCCCACCTCGGCCTCCCAAAGTGCTGGGATTACAGGCATGAGCCACTGTTCCCAGCCCTTTTGCACTAATCTTTCTGGTGAGCTTCTCAGACTATGTGAGATATAAAGCATGTAAATGAATAGGAAGACTCAATATCATAAAATATCAATTCATTTACTAATTAATCTGTTCATGTAATGAAATTCCAATAAAAATCCCAACAGAGTCCTTTCTTTCTTTCTTTCTTTCTTTCTTTCTTTCTTTCTTTCTTTCTTTCTTTCTTTCTTTCTTCTTTCTTTATTTGTTTCTTTCTTTATTTCTTTCTTTCTTTCTTCTTTCTTTCTTTTCTTTCTTCTTTCTTTCTTTCAAGATAGGGTCTCACTCTGTTGCCCAGTGTGGAGTGCAGTGGTGCTGTCTCAGCTCACTGCAGCCTCAACCTCTCAGGCTCCAGCAATCCACCCACCCACCCACCTCAGCCTCACAAATAGCTAAGACTATAGGCATGCACCACCAAAACCAGATAATTTATTTTATTTTAGTTTTTGTAGAGACAGCATCTCACTATGTTGCCCAGGCTGGTCTTGAACTCCTGAGCTCAAGTGATCCTCGCACTTTGGCCTCCCCAAAGTGTGATTACAGGTATGAACCACTGTGCCTGGCCCAGGGGTTTTCAATTAAAATGAACAAGCAGATTCTACATTCTATTTTTAGGGCCCCAAATAGGAAAGATATACTGAATAATAATTAAGTAGGGGAACATTCTCTACCGGATAACAAGACTTTGTACAAGCTACAGTAATTAAGACAGGATGAAAAAAAAAAAAAAGACAGTATGGTAGGGAGGCTGGCATAGATCAACAAATGGAAACTGTAGTAGACCACTCTAAGATAACCCCAATGATCCCCACCTCCGGGTCTTCACAGTCTTGTCTGCTTCCCTAACCTTGAGTATGGGCTGGATTTGGTGGCTCACTTCTGATACAAAGAGCATGATAGACATGATAAAGTGTCACTTCATGTCATTTCTGAGATTAGAGAATGAAATGTTGTGATTCTTATCTTGGGAGCTCTGTCACTTTCTTTGATCTCTCACTTGGAGGGTAAGCAAGTTGTCACGTTGTGAGCAACTCTAAGGAGAGATGCATGTGGCAAGGAACCAATGTCTCTGGTCAACAGCCAGTGAAGGCCAGACACCTGCCATCAGCTACACAGTAAAATTGCAAGTGGGTCCTTTTTCAGTAGAGCTTCAAAATGACTGCTGCTTTGGCCAACCTCTTAGTCACTGTCTTGTGAGAGACCCTGATCCAGAACTACCTAGCTGGACCATTCCCAGATTCTTAAACCACAGAAACTGTGAGATAATAAATGTTTATTGTTTTCAGCTGCTAAGTTTTGGAATAAGTTGTTGTGCATTAATAGGCAACCAATATACACACATACCATGTTTGTGTCTCTGTGTGTGTGTATATATATATAAATTTGGTATGTGTTATCTTACTGCTAGTGGGGAAAAGATTATTTTTTCAATGAATGGGGTAAGGACAATTGATTATGTATGTGATAAAAAAAGATCTCTATTTCATACCATAAAGGAAAACGTAAGTCCAAGAGGATTATAGACATAAATGTGAAAAGGCAAAACTTAAAACCTTGAAGAATAAAATATTAGAAAATGCCTTTGTGAATTCATGGTAGAAATTTCTTAATGAAGGCTGGGCGCGGTGGCTCACTAGCACTTTGGAAGGCTGAGACAGGTGGATTGCCTGAGTTCAGGAGTTTGAGACCAGCCTGGGCAACACAGTGAAACCTCGTCTCTGCTAAAATTCAAAAAATTAGCCAGGCGTGGTGGCGTGTGCTTGTAGTCCCAGCTACTCGGGAGGCTGAGGCAGGAGAATTGTTTGAACCTGGGAGGCAGGGGTTGCAGTGAGCCGAGATCGTGCCACTGCACTCCAGCCTGGGTGACAGAGCAAGACTCCATCTCCAAAAAAAAAGAAAGAAAGAAAGAAAGAAGTTTCTTAATGAGATATAAAAGCACGAAGTATAAAAGAAAGCTAAAACACACCCTAAAAGGTAAAAAGTTAAACCATAGACCAGGAGAAAGTATGGGCAACACACATAGCCAACAAAGGTTCAGTATCCAGAATATGTAAAAACTGTTAGAAATCAATGAGAAAGAGACACATAACTCGATAGAAAAAAATGGCCAAAAAGAAGAATAGGCAATTTACAAAAGAGAGAATAGAAATAGCATATATTCATATGAAAAATTGCTCCAAGTCTGCCCTACGTAGTGAAACCCCACCTCTACTAAAAGTACAAAAATTAGCCAGGTGTGGTGGCACATGCCTGTAATCCCAGCTACTTAGGAGGCTAAGGTAGGAGAATCACTTGAACCTGGGAGGTGGAGGTTGCAGTGAGGTGAGATCACGTTACTTGGGCGACAGAATGAGACCCTGTCTCAAAAAAAGGAAAGAAAGGAAAGGAAGGGAGGAAAGAAAGGAAAGGAAGGGAGGAAAGAAAGGAAAGGAAGGGAGGAAAGAAAGAAAGAGGAAGGAAGGAAGGAGGGAGGGAGGGAAGGAAGGAAGGAAGAAAGAGAGAGAGAAAGAAAGAAAGGAAGAAAGAAAGAAAGAAGGAAAGAAAGAAAGAAAGAAAGAAAGAAAGAAAGAAAGAAAGAAAGAAAGAAAGAGAGAGAGTCCGGGAGTGGGGGCTCACGCCTGTAATCCCAGCAGTTTGGGAGGCTGAGGCAGGAGGATCACGAGGTCGGGAGTTTGAGACCAGCCTGACCAACATGGTGAAACCCCGTCTGTACTAAAAATACAAAAATTAACCAGGTGTGGTGGCATGTGCCTGTAATCCCAACTACTTAGGAGGCTGAGGCAGGAGAATCACTTGAACCCGGGAGGCAGAGGTTGCAGTGAGCTGAGATCACGCCACTGCACTCCAGCCTGGGTGACAGAGTGAGACTCTGTCTCAAAAAAAGTAAAAGAAAAAAAAATTGCTCCAATTTTCTGGTAAATAGGTAAATGCAATTTAATATAGAAATGAGTTTTCTTTTATGCTCTTGAGATTGACAGAAATTAAAAAATTAAAAACCTGTCAATATCAAGTGTTGGTGTGGATGTAGAACAGCTGAAATGCATAAACACTTGCTGGTGGACACACTTTGGAAAGTAATTTGGCAGTATCTAATGAAGTTGAAGAGAGTACATCCTGGGATCCACTGCTAAGTATATATCCTAGAGGGTTATTGTGTCTGCACTCCATGAGACATATATAACAGACATGGTTTGAATGGCAAAAAAAATAAAAGAAGAAAAAAGGATAAAGCCTTAATGTCCAACCGTAGGAAAATAGATAGATTGTGTTATTTTCATTGAGTGGACTACTATACATAAGTAAAAATGAATGAACCAGAGCTACTATTCCAACAGGGATAAATCTCATAATAGAAATGAAAAAAATTACAAGTTGCAGAAGAATACACATAGCACAATACCATTTTTGCAAAGCTTAAAAATATGCAGAATGACATAACGTATTGCCTAGGACTAAATACACATCTAGTAATGGTACAGGAAGTGCCTGGGAATAAACAAATTCAGGAACATGATTTCCTCTAAGGGGCAGCAGAGGAAGACATAGGGGAGGGATATACTGTGGATTTCACTGTGTTGACAATGTTTTATAACTTAAGCTGGATGTTGGGCAAATGGAGAGTTGTATTATTCTTTATGACTCTCTGTATATTTTAAATATTTCACCGCACATTTTTTTTAAAACTAAAAAGTAACAAGCACCACATAGAGAAACAAAAGGGAAGACAGTGATAGTGGGGAAGGAATAGTTTAGAAATAGTCCCTGTTTGAGAAGACACAAATTCCAAAGAGTTTAGAAGTGCTTTGTCAAACTAAAAAACAGAAAGAGGTTCTCTAAAAGAAAAAGGTATTTATTTGAACGTAGGGCATCGCAATGGGAATTTGCGTGCCATAGTAAACTATGTGCATATTCAGGGAGATAAAGGAAAACAAAAGTTTTTAAATGAAAAATGAGGAAGATTACATAATTGTTTTGAGACTATTATCCTTGACTACAATGATCAACAGTAAGGGTGATGATGTCCGTCTAAGGATGGACAGAGTTCCTGGGCGGATGTCCTTGCAGAAGTATTTCTTTGCATAAAGTTTTGATGGCCTTTGTACAAGGTTGTAGTTTCACAGAATCTTCTGTGATAGTTTTGTCGTCAGTCATACAAGCCTGAGACCCTTCTTTTCAGAGCCCTCCTCAACTCTGTGTTTCAGGATTTTTATAAAACACTTCACACTGACATGAAAACTTTCACATTCTCCTTTTTGGTAGAAGGGGTGTATTAATTTTCCCAGGGACGATGTAACACATTACCACAAACTCAGTGACTTAAAACAACAGAAACTTATTCTTTCACAATTCTGGAGGCAAGAAGTGTGAAATCAAGGTGTTAGCTGGGTCATTCCCCCTTACAGGCTCTACGGAAAATCCTTCCTTGCCTCTTCTAGCTTTTGGTGGCTCCTGGAGTTCCTTGGTTTGTGGAAATGTGTCTCTAATCTCTGCCTTCAACTTCACGTGGCCTTCCTCCCTGTCTTCATGTCTATAATCTCTCTCCACTTTCTTTGATAAGGACTCTAGTCATAGATTTAGGACCCACCCTAAATCAGGATGATTTCTGTTGGTAGAAGAGCTGAGGCAGGACTGGCTTGTCTGTCATAATATAAAAGAGTCTTGGAAGATGTCCGGGTTCGAGGCTCTAAAACCCTTCGTGGCCTTTGGGACACCAAGCTCTGTGCCAAAGGGTGGAAAGCTGCCCTGCCACACCACAAATCTAAGCCCAGGGCATAAAACCCCTTGTGGCTTGGATGGAATCTGGGGCTTAGGGCATAAAACCCCTCGTAGCCTCTGGAATGTGCACAGACTTGTTGGTTGCTCTCCCAGGCTCGTAAACATGTTCTCCATTATCTCAAGCAGCAGAGTATATTCTATATGTGTCAAAGAAAATGCTAAACCATCACAGCTATGCTTCATGCACCGCTACCTTTCTACCCCCACGTCCTCACGCCCTCACCTGTTTACCCCCATGTCCTCACGCCCTCACCTGTTTACCCCCACATCCACATGTCCTCACCACCTGCTTCTTTGTTTGATCACCAATAAATAGTGTAGGATCCCAGAGCTCAGGGCTTTTTCAGCCTCCATACCAGCATTGGCCCCCGGACCCACCTTATGCACTCTTAACTTGTCTTTTCTCATTCCTTTGTATGGGCAAAGCCCAGGACCCCGGACTGGGGAGAAATGGAGGGACAGTTTTAGGAAGTGTTTGTGTAAGCAATTTTAGAATGAAGTCAGAAGAAAAAAAAAGAACTACATATAACTTTCTAAATTGCTGTGTTGTTTTTCTAGTAGAATGCTTGCCTTTGTATAATGATGATTGCTTGATTGTTAAACAGTAATCAGGTTATTAAAGCAATAATGAAGGACTGAGCCAGTCACCATGAGGTTTGGCTGCCAGTGAGAGTTAACAGCGTTTGATGTGCTTTCCCCTGCAGAGAGCCTATAGACGGACATGCAGGATGGGAGGTGACACATCACCCATATTCCTTTCTCAGGAAGGCATAAGTATTAAGGCCCTGGGAGAGGAATGCATCCCTTATGGAGAGCCTATAAATGGATGCATGAGGGATGTCTGTTTGGAAGTGAAAGCTTCAGTGGTTGAGATAAGGGCGTAAAGCTCTTCTTCTCCCACCACTCTCCTAGGCCTGCCCAGGGGCCCCTCCCCCAGGGAGAATTGTGGTCAGACTGGTCGTCTGGTTTCATGTCCCGTTCTTACTTGCCTACTGCGCAACCATCTTAAACATAGTTTATAGTTAAAGCCTGATCCTATTAAATTGCTGATGCATGCAACTAGCAGTTGGAACTCACAGTTCCGTATATCCGTACATCTTTACTGTGGACCTCACCCTATAATCATGTGATCCTCTCACCCCATGATCAGACCACCCTCTGCTCACTGCCCTTGCTCCCCCTCCCACATGTAAACTGATAATAAATGCTGGCTATTCCAGTGCTTGGATGACATTGCAGCTCCACATTGCGGTGATCCCCCTGGACCCAGCTTTCACAAACTCATCTCTGTTTGACCCACCTGGGATAAGAAAGAGAATCCATGTTGCTGGCGGGGCTGGTTCCCACTAGACCTTTGACTCCGCTGGACTTTGTAGCCCCCACGGCCTGGTGTTGGGTCTGATCACCCCAACAATTTCACCTTGAGATTTTTTACTTCATTACATCTTCAAAGATTTTTTTTTTCCAAATAAGGTCACATTCACAGGTCATGGTAATTAGGACTTAGACATATTGCCGAGTGCGGTGGCTCATGCCTGTAATCCCAGCACTTTGGGAGGCCAAGGTCGGCAGATCACCTGAGGTCAGTAGTTCAAGACCAGCCTGACCAACATGGTGAAACCCTGTCTCTACAAAAATACAAAAATTAGCCAGGCGTGATGTTGTGCACCTGTAGTCCCAGCTACTCAGGAGGCTGAGGCAGAAGAATCACTTGAACCAGGGAAACAGAGGTTGCAGTGAGCTGAGGTGGTGCTATTGCACTCCAGCCTGAGCAACAGAGTGAGACCTCCGTCTCAAAAAAAAAAAAAAAAAGACTTGGACATATTTTGTGGGGGGTACACAATTCAACCCATTACAAGGGACGTATACATGGCTTTTCTTTTTCATTGGTAATAATTTAAGATTAGGAAATCTGAGAATATGTTTAAAATACTTTTATGATTACATTTATTTTCCTTAATGAACATCATCTTATTAGTTGTGTAAACCAAAAATAAAATTGTAACCCCCTGCACCCTGCCGCCCCAACCATCTGAATGGACCCTTCCCCTCAGCCAAGGGTATGAAAAGGGTTATTGTGTCTGCACTCCATGAGACATGTATAAGAGACATGGTTTGAATAGCAAAAAAAAAAAAAGGAAGAAAAAATTGATAAAGGCTAAATGTCCAACCATAGGAAAATAGATAGGTTGAAAACTAGTGCAGGCCATGATGGAAGGAGGGGTTGGACATGCCTCATTATACCCTCATCCCTCTTGGAATTACTGGTAAGACACTCTTTAAGTCTGATAAGAAACATTTACAATCTATTTTCTCTGAAGCCTGCTACCTGGACCCTTCAACTGCATGATAAAACCTTGATCTCCACAACCCCTTATTGTAATCCACACATTTCTTTCTATTGATAATAACTCTTTCAACCAATTGCTAATCAGAAGATTTTTAAATCTACCTGTGGCCTGGAAGGCCCACCCCCATGTATTATGTCTCCCTAAAATGTATAAAAGCAAGGTGTAACCTGGCCACCTTGGGCACATGTCATCAGAACCTCCTGAGGCTATGTCATGGGTCCATCCTTAACGTTAGCAAAATATTTGCAAAATAAACTTTCTGAATTGATTGCAACCTGTCTCAGATACTTTTGGGTTCACAGTTGCTTAGGTTCTTATTGTCAGGTTTTTCAGGTTTCTGCACTGGCAGAGATTTTTGTTTGCAAGTAGAATGGACCACACTAAACAAGATATAAATGTGCCATTACAGCCACAAACTGATAATCCTTCAAGAAAAGCTCAAAGGAATGAGCTGTGGATAGTTATTTAATATTATATATGTTTTACTTGAATAACTGGTTACTTAAATTGTTATTTGATAATATGACCATGTGGTACTTTAGGATAATTATAACATAGCAAATATTGCTAATCTGTGCACCTTAATTGCATATTCCCTACAACACCTAGACATTTCCAATTGGTTGTTTTGACATTTTTATTTCGGTCAATAGTATCATCTTCCTCTCAATTGATGAGGCTTGAAACCAAACTCGTCATAGAGTTAGACATTTTTCGAACTGGAAGGGAACTTAGAGATTATCTCAACTCCCCCATTTCTTTTTACAAATAAGGACATCCAGTAATAGAGCAGTTTCACAATCTGAGGCTTAGTCGACTAAACGGTTATTTGTTGAGTAGCACAGTAACAGGACTCAGTTTCCCTGATTACCGGTTCAGTATTTTTCTTCACTACACACACTAATACTAAACTACTACAAATAACAGCTAGCATTGATTTAGCCATTACCATGTACTACTGTGCTAAGTGTTTTTATATGTGTTCCCTCATTGTATTTTCGGGGACACTTAATACTCAGGATCGTGGGCACTTAATGTCTTATATAAGTGCTGCATGGGGTTTACCTTCTGTTAAGCCTCAAGAGAACTCTGTGGAAGGTACAGTTTTCCTGTATCTCAGGCATTCTCAGGGTTGCTATCATTTGGCAGTATTCCATGAAGCTAGTTTTCTGCCAGAGTTAATGAAACTATTGCATGGATCACGGTGCTACAAACCTAATACAGCAACACATGTCTTTAGAACCAAAGCTCTGTCCATATTTAGTATTATTTCTTAGGAATATATTTTCAAAAGAGGCATTTGTAGGTTAAGGCATATGAATGAATATATTTAAGGCTCTTTATTAAGGAATATGGTATTCTGGTTTGTTTCTTACTACATGAGAATAGAGAGACAGCATAGGGACAGGAAAAGAAGGCAAGTATAAAACCTGCCCCAGCTCCATCAGTGCCAAAAGTAAACAATGAGATTCGATGGACAAGAGGTAGAGCACTTGTCCTCAACACTACCTCAACAAATGGCAGGAGTATCATATGGGAGGCCGGTTCCCCCAACCCCAAGTCCCAATGGGCAACCCCGTGGACCCAGATGCAGGCAGTGGACTGGGAGGCAGGTAAAGAATCTAGGGCTAAGTGCTCAGTATCTTTTGTATCGAGCAGTAAACAAGCTAGTCCCTCTCCCCAGGAAGTGAGCAATTGTGCCTTTTCGTGCCGTGGTTGCTGTGGCCTGCTGAGTTGCCTAAAGATTGGTTAAGGAAGTGGCTCAGAGTTAGAGGGTAGGTAGGTCTTGCATTTCGGCACAGTCAGCAAGGATATTCAGGAACTCCCTTGCTCCCATAAGCTTATATTGTATAATCACTGAGTAATGTCTATTAATATGGATGGACCATGGTTTATTTAATTTGTGATTTTTTATATTCATTCTTGTTTTTTTTTTCAGTTGACAGACCTTTCAGTCCTCATTCCACATTGATCTGCTCTACATTCAAAGACTGACTTTCACACCTGTAAGACAAAATAGTTTATGTAAGAAGCTATATTTGCTCATTCTGCTTGCCAGCAGAATGTCAGAGAATTCTTTGGCAGCTACATTTCACAAATCCCCTAACTCAGTGACTAAGTGCAGCCCCTGGAAGAATGCCCCTGAAGATGATAACATCTCTTGCATGAATCTTTTCTTGCAAAAGTTCCAGGATCCTAACTCATGCCTCTTCCTGTACATAATAAGATAATAGCTGATAGGATTAATGATTATGCCTCTACAATCTATAACCAGATGTACCCTTGAACCCCACCCTTGATGAGATTTTGCTCTAATGTAACTGCTGAGCTCATTTGATGTAACTGCTGAGCACATCTGATGCCACTTCCCATCACATGCCACCACCTGTACCTAAGCTTTGGAGCAGTCTCACAGAAAGTCTCTGAAAGACTCTCCGGATTGCAATCCTTAGTAAGACATCTGAATAAAACTAATATTAATTATTTAAATGACTGATTTTTTTTTCTTTGGTTAACACACCCAACTAAAAACGGACCGCTCACATCATGTCAGGCAGTCACAGCAAAAGCAGAACCGTACTAGAGAGGGGAGGGGGTGGACTTGGGAGAGAAGTCAGTTTTCCCCCAGAATCTTTCTCTCTCATCAGTCACAGGTTTCTGAACACACTGACTCACCAGGAAACACTTTTTAGGTTCTCAAGGAAAACACTAAGTAACTTCAGAAACTGTAAAGGTCATAGAAAACATTATTTTATATATTTCCGTATTACCACGTATACGCGGGAATCCTCCCAAGCCCCTGGCACCGCACTCCAAATGTCCATCTCCAGGAACCCGCCCTTCAGTGCCTGGGGTCCCCTAAACAATGTTTCAGTCCTCGGGCTCGGTGGGTGCATCCTTTATTGGGGAGCGCGGGGGCTGCCCGTGCCCCTCCAGTCGCTCCCCGTAGGGAGCTGCGCACTGCGGAGCCCTCGCCCCCGAGCGAGCCTGTCTCGGACTCCCAACCGTCAGCCTCGTTCCGGGCCGCGGAGGCCGGAGCAGCTCCCCCGGGGCAGCGCAACCGCTGGGGCCGGCCTCAGTGGGCTGAGTGGTCGGGGCATCGGGGCCCAGAGAGCGGCTGGTGAGTACTTGGTCGGAGCGCGCTGTGAGCGCCCGGCCCCTGTCCGGGAGGCCCTGATGCAGCCGGGTTCCCCGCCCACTTTCCTTCTTTTTAGGGGACTGGAATCCACGCTACAGTTCAGTCCTCCACCTCTGTTAGTTGAACCCAGGGAACCCCTGCTTCAAAACCCCAGCTGAGTCACTACCCTTTGTCAGTCTCTACACTGGACATCTAAGTGACTTCACACCCACTCCCCGTTTTGAGACTAGAAAACCAAATACCGCACGTTCTCACCTATGAGTAGGAGCTAAGCTATTGCTACGCAAAGGCATCCAGAGGGGTATAGTGGACTTCGGAGACTCAGAAGGGGAAGGGTGGGAGGGGGGTGAGGGATGAAACAACTACATATCGCTTGCAATGTATGCTACCTGGATGACCCTGAAGTCTCAGACTTCACCACTATCCAATGCATCCATGTAAAAAAACCACCTGTACCCGAAAAGCTATTAAAATAAATAAATAAATAAATAAATATATATATATATATATATATATATATATATATATTTTTTTTTTTTTTTTGAGACGGAGTCTCACTCTGCCGCCCAGGCTGGAGTGCAGTGGTGCGATCTCGGCTCACTGCAATTTCTGCCTCCCTGGTTCAAGCCATTCTCCTGCCTCAGCCTCCCGAGTAGCTGGGGCTACAGGCACCCGCCATCACGCCCGGCTAATTTTTTTTGGTATTTTCAGTGGAGACGGGGTTTCACAGTGTTAGCCAAGATGGTCTCGATCTCCTGACCTTGTGATCCGCCCACCTCGGCCTCCCAAAGTGCTGGGATTACAGGCATGAGCCACCACGCCCGGCCATATACCTATATATTTTTAAAAATTCAAAAATAAAACAAAAAAAATGCCTCTCCCTCCGGCTTATTTCCCGTTCCTCTACCCTTCTCATTCCCCTCTAGCCCAAAAGTCTCATCACTGAATTTACCACTTTTCCCAAGATAGTTGTGCCTCTTTTTGCTTCTCTGCTTTTGTACGCCACTGTTCCCACCTTCTGCCTATAATGTTTCTCTCTCCCATCCTCTCCTGACAACTCTTCTTTAGACCCGACTCGGGTGGTACCTTCTCCGTCAAGTTTTCTTTCTTTCTTTTTTTGTTTTTCAGAAGTTTTGCTGCCTGCTAAGCTCTCTTAGCCCTTCGTTAATTCACCTGTCATTGACATTGACCATCTTGTGTTGTATTCAATAGTCTGTCACACCAATTTGATTGTGCATTTTGCTTTGGAGAAGTCCTTAGTCTTTTATGTAGCCACAGTGGCCAGACATGCAGAAGACGTTCAATATTGCTGAATGAACTAATGCATTTGGGATAGGGTTACAGAAATGGGTGCAAGAGAAAAGGGTGTGGTTGAATTGGCTGTACCCAGCACACAGGTATGCAACTTGCTCACTTACTGTAGTATTCCTAGGAGGGGAGGAGTTCAACACCTGGAAATGCTCCTGAAAATAACCAGGATGCATTTCTTGTTGACTTTGCAGAAGTTCACTGAATCCTTAAAATTTAACTTAAGAAGGGATGGTGGGAATTGAAAATGATTGCATCCAGCCTGGGCAGCATAGTGAGATCCCATCTCTACAGAAAAACCAAAACCCAAACCAAAAAAGAACAGCCAAGTGTGATTGTGTACGCCTTTAGTCCTAGCTACTTGGGAGGCTGAGGTAGGAGGATCGCTTGAGCCCAGGAGGTGAGGACTGCAATGAGCTGTGCTCACATGACTGTACTCCAGCCTGCACAACAGAGCAAGTTGTCTGTGAAGGAGAGAAGGACCCAGAGAAAGTGAACAAGTGTTGATGCCACATTCACTCTGTGTGCTTTGCATCAGCAGAATGTGAATGCTTGGGGGTAGATTCGTAGGGAATTTCAGGTCTTATTTATTTATTTTTTAAGATAGGTTCTCACTCTGTCACCCAGACTGGAGTGCAGTGGCGCCATCTTGGCTCACTGCAGCCTTGACCTCCTGGGCTCAAGCTATCTTCCCTCCTCAGCCCTCGAAGTAGCTGGGACTACAGGTGCACGCCACCACGCCCGGCTAATTTTTTGCATTTGTTGTCAAGACTGGGTTTCTCCATGTTGCCCAGGCTAGTCTCAAACTCCTGAGCTTGAGCTCAGGAGTTTGTATGTTACAGTATATGATATGCACAGATGTAATACAACTAAAATGTACACATGATTTTTTTTTTTTTTTTAGAAAAGAACCATACAGAAAGTTAGGAAATTGGAAAGTAAAAATTCTTCTTCTACTTCCCTTCTTCAATTTCTTTCACTCAGAGTGATTCTTATTAATAATTTATTGTGTATTCTCCCTAGAAAGCTTATAATGTACTTTATCAAATCTAAACTATTACTGATTACAATTTTTTTGCAATTCTGTACATGCAAATTAGGTATTTTATGTAACTGCATAAAGAAAAAAATGCTGAGAAACAAAAAAATGCTGCATATTAAACCTTCTTAAAGTATGCATCTTAGAATTGATGAAATACCGTATATACACATATACACACTTTAAAAATTTTATGCGAGTGGTGTTATTATGCAATGTGTCTTGCTTTTTATGTAACGATGTGTCTTGGAGAGTTTTACATATCTGCATATATAGCTCTACCTCATTCTTTGTATCGCTAATGATGCATTAAAATTTTATTGAACAAGGGTAGTACAGAACAATTAGTGGGCCCTTCATTAAGGGACATCTTGGTTGTTTCCAAGGTGTGGGTATGTGTCTGTGTGTTTTCTTGCTTGTTTTTGCTATTACAAACATGTTGTAGTGAACCACCAACCTTGTGTGTATGTGTGTCTGTATATATATTGTATATCTATCTATATATAGTTGGTAAGATTTTTTCATTTTTGCTACAGTTTTTAGGAATTCCTCTATATAAAGTAGTTGCATACATCTTCTAACCTAAAATTAAATAATTGCATCACTCTTATAAGTTGATAAGTTGATCTTTTAGTATTTAGAGTTTGTTACCTGCCAAGCAATATTTGACACTCAAAAACCATGTAGAAAATGCATCTCAAATTACAGTATTTCATTAGAGGGAAAGTTATATGATTTCCTTAAGGAAAATCTCTCCAAAATGGCAGTGGTCATGTATTTATATATTTATTTTGGGAATCTTAGCTATATGATCTATTTTAACAAAATTTAAACTATAACAAATTATTTATAATTTATTTTTTTCTGAGTCACAATAGGGATTAATCCCTGATTATCAATTTTCAGTGTTCACAGACACTTGTATTCGCAGAAACAGAGTCTGTATGTCAGTGTTCACAGTCACAAAAGTCTGCTTGTATAAAAACCACATTTATTATTTATCTTAACAGATTCTGAATCCTTGCTGTTTGTGGTCTTTTGGAAGAATGAATATGATATGATGTCGTTCTAAACTTTTTTTCCCAACCAAATTTTCCCTGCTTTGACCTGTTCATAGCTTTTTATAGTTTACCTCTTTACTTCTCTGTTTAAATTTCTTCCCTCTGCTTCTTGTTGACTCCTACTTATCCTTTAAGGCCAACTAATGTTCAAATCCTCCATGAAATCCTCTTTGTCTATTTTGTCCACGTTTCTCTCTTCCTTCTTTAAATTCCTTTTTCAGCAGAACATCACAATTTAACATTCTTGATTGATTCATATAGGTTACTTTATCTCCTAAATGAGACTGAATTCTTCAGGAATTCTTGTCTGGGCTGGATTTCAGGCAAGACATCTAGGGGGTGCTACATTAGCTGTGGTTGCTGAGCACTTGTGGCTTGAAGTAGTCTTTTTTTCTGACTTTTATTTTGGATTCAGAGGATACATGTGAAGATTTCTTACAAAGGTTTATTGCATGATGCTGAGGTTTGGAGTATGATTAAACCTGTCACCCAGATAGTGAGCATAGTACCCAATAGGTAGTTTTCCAACCCTAACCCCCATCCTTCCCTTCCCCTTCTTGTACCCCCAGTGTCTCTTGTTTCCATCTTTATGTCCATGTATCCCCAGTGTTTAGTCCCTACTTATAAGTGTGAACATGAGGTATTTGGTTTTCTGTTTCTGTGTTAGTTCACTTAGGATAATGGCCTCTAGCTGCATACATGTTGCTTCAGAGGACATGTGTTTTTTTTATGGCTGCATAGTATTCCATGGTATATATTTCTTCATCCAATCCACTGTGAAGTTGTATTCTTAAGACAAGAGGCAGGGCTTCTCCAGAGACCTGGAGGGGGTGTAGCTAATGCAGCTGATCATTACAGCTCATTCCCTCTAGCATCAGAGGAATGCCTGGGCTGCTGTTTCACAGATAGACGCCTATTCTGCCCAGCATTAGAGTTGCCACCAAAGATTTTTACTGCGAATGGGCTAACCATTAAGCTGCAGCCCTAAAACCCTACCAAGCTCAAAAATGCACCCTGACATTGTGTTTCAAAATGGTGGCACAGAAGCAAGCTGGCTGTTTCTTCTCCCTTACCACCAGAAAATGGAAACAAATACACAATGTTAAGATTATCACCAACAATATCCCAAAACTCAGATATAAGGATGAGATCATTTCCAGTACCACAGAGAAGTGAAAAAACCTCTAAGCAGATGGTAAGAGAATTGGACTTTCATAGCATGACACTCCTTACCTCAGTCTGCCTGGCACCAGGCAAATGGAAAATTTCTCCCAGTCTTACGGTTTCTCTAATGGGAAAAGTGAGATTGAAGTGGACAACCAACTTTCCTACCATCCTGGGTTTCATGGCAGGAGACCTGTTCTTGCCTCAAACCACAGGAAGTATCAGCAGTGCTAAAGGGAGAAATATCCCTGAGGACAGCCAGAGATGAAGGAGGGAGATAGGACTACCATCCCCATTCCTGGAAACTCTGCTCTGTAACTTGGCCAAAGAAGACACCAAATCAGAGTTGCTGTTTGGCAGTACCATGCTGTGGGAAGCTCATCCCACAGTTCCCTTAAGCATGAACCCCTAGCCAGCATTCCCACACTGCTGGGATAATCCTTTTAGGACTTCCCCCATTTTGGATGGGCAGCAATCTGATTGTTTACTAGAACCGAGGCAAACCCAGGCTTAAGCCGACATCTAGTGCTGGAAATGAGTCAGTGACCTAGTGAAAAACAAAAGAAAATCTACAGGTAAATTGTAAAGACTCTCTAAGCAGACATATCCAATAAAAACCAAAACCAGCCAGACAGAGAAGACTGGAGTAAATAATTAATCCTTCAACACAAAGACATACACATACATTCACAGGAAAAAATAGCAAACAGAGGATCATGACCTCTTCAAAAGGACAAAGCAAGAAACCAGTGACTAACCCTAATAAGAAGGCAATATGTGAACCCTCTCACCAAGAATTCAAAATAGCACTGAGGAAGCTCAGTGATCTCCAAGATAACACACAAAAAAAATTCAGAAATTTATCAGAGAAGGTTAACAAAGAGATTGAGATTAAAAAACCCAGAAATTTTGGAATTAAGAAAGAGATTTGCTGAGCTAAAAAACTTATTAGAGGTTCTCAACAGCAGATCAAGCAAAGAAAGAATCACTGAACTCAGACAGGTTGTTTGAAAATGTGCAGAGGAGACAAAAGGAAAAAGAATGAAGATGAACAAACTTATAGAAAATTACCTCAAACGACCAGATTTAAGAATTATTGAGTTTGTGACCAGTCTGAGCAACAGAGTGAAACCCTGTCTCTAAAAATAAAAAATAAAAAAATTAGGCATGTATCGTGGTGCATTCCTGTTGTCCCAGCAACTCAGAAGGCTGAGGTGGGAAGATCACTTGAGCCCAGGAGCTTGAGTACTGGTACTGTTTGGCAGTACCATGAGACCAGTCTCAGCAACATAATGAGACCTTGTCTCTATGAAAAATAAAAATAATAAACAAACAAACAAACAAATAAATAAATTAGCCAGGCTGGTGGCATGCACCTGTAGTCTTAGCTACTTGGGAGGCTGAGGTGGGAGGGTCACAAGCCTGGGAGGTCAAAGCTGCAGTGAGCTATGATCACGCCACTGCACCCTAGCCCAGGTGGCAGCGTGAGGCCCTGTCACAAAAGAGAAAGAGAGAGAGAGAGAGGAGAGAGAAAGAGAGAAGGGGGTGGGGAGAGGGAAGGCTAAAAAAACCCTGCTGATAATTTGGGAACAATGGTTCATGTTGACACATTCTAGGGGACAGTGGGTGGGTAAACTGGTTAACTAGCAGCTAAAAGATAGGTCAGTTTGTCCTTGAGTAGGCCAACTAAGTGTATCAAACAAACAATTATAGCTGTTTATGAGTTCTCTGGAAAACTTGGAGAGAGCAGTTGTGGGGCATAGGTGACAGGCTGGCTCTGTGTAGTATCTACTGTTGACCCATCATAAGAAGCTCCATCTTGCTTAGGCCAGGTCTGCATCTGTGTCCTCAGAATTTCTCACTAGAAACCTCTTTTTCTGTCTTCTTACGTGTTTGGGAATGTATCCTTTTGTTCTCCAAGTATTTACTATTATTCTGGTTTCTGGATTTTAACCACATCCTGAAAACATATTTATTTGGTTGGAGGCATCATTATTGTCCTACAATATGGTTTTTGTCTGTAACTGACATCTCCTTTTCCACTGGCGTCCCCTAATTTCCATGGTTATGTGCTCATAACTTCTACACTTCTTCATTATTAGAGCTTTTCTGTTTAGGCAGGCTAGATTTATGCTCTCTATAGTACCATTGCCTCAATAAATAGTCACAATCACTTTTCAGTGTGAACTTTCTGTTTGGACTTGGGGTTATTTATTTTGGCTGCTAAGAGGATGTTTTATGCTTTTATGGTAGATGAGATGGCAGACAGTAGAATGTCTGATTAATGAACTGTATTGCATTACATAGTTCCTTGAAGCAAGGAACCTTTAGAGTTCACGAAGTTCTTTGCTTGGTCTCTTGCACAGTGAGTACCTCGGCAGTGATCTACAGTCTGTCCTCTAATTCAGTGGCTCTCATCTTTTTTTTTTAGCCCTAAGGCACCTCCTCAGGTGCCCTCCAATGAATTGCTGGGGTTACTATGGCAGGGATGGGATGTGTGTGGAGGGACAGTCCCCTAGAGCCATAACATAATCAGGAGGAGCACTTAAAGTCTGAAAAAGCTCCCAGGTGGGTGGGGGTGTGTGTGTGTGTGTGTGTGCTGTCCTCACTAAAAATATCACCTCTCCAGCCCCATAAACTAAGCTTCCTTAGATAATATGGCAAGGGAGAACTTAATGATTTTGCTACTTGTCTAGCTAAAAGGGGAGTAATAAAAACGTACAACACTCAATTTACTGTAGTTTTAAACGAACCTATGTTATAATTCTAGGTTTCGAAGTATAAAGCATTCCGCACGACGGGGGATGGAGAAGGATGCTGAAGATGGCGCCCCTTCTGAGGGAGCAGAGGCTCCTCCCTCTACGGAAGAGGCTGCCCCTCCCCGTTCAGAAGAGGAAGAGGCCCCGCGCCCTCCGACAGTGGAGGCCCCGGCAGAAGATGGTTTCTCTCCTTCCGCAGAAGATGCTGTTTCTTCTGTGGTGGATTATCGGGATCTCATTCCTTCTGAAGAAGGGATAGTTCTTCCAGATGATCATGAAGCGGATCTGAATAGAGTTCGACAGAGGCTTGCACCGCGACCGGTTCAGTCAGTGATTTCGGAAGTGCTGTCCTTGCCGTCTTCCCGGAGGTCCTCCAGATACCGCCGGAGTATGAGTGGCCTTCCCAATCTACAGGAAACATTAAAAGAGAGACAGGTTTGCTTCTAATACGATTTTTCATGTGTGCCACTTTTCCTTATCAAATACGAAATACTTTTACTTTACAAAGTATGAAACAGTTTGATATTTTTTCTTCAGAATTGCAATTTTTGAACTTGGTTTTCATTCCTTAGGCAAGATTTAGAGAGGCAAGGGAAAGCCGAAGACTGAAAATTGACCCTTCATACAAATATATATTTGAAATTCTAGCAGAAAATCTTGGCCTGGACATAGTAACTGTTGAAGAATTAATTTTGGATTGCCCATCTGTAAGTTTAAGTCTTATCATTATATTTTAATTGCCCTTTGAGTAAGTGATTAACTTAAGAAAATAGAGTTGTCATAAACAGCAACAACAACAACAAAAATCATTCAGAAAGACAAAGTTGGGGCAGGGCACAGTGGCTCATGCCTGTAATCCCAGCACTTTGGGAGGCTGAGGTTTGGGGATTGCTTGAGGCCAGGAGTTTGAGACTAGCTTGGGCAACATAGCAAAACTCCTGTCTCTGCAAAAAATACAAAAATTAGCTGGGCATGGTGGTCCGTACCTGTGGTCCCAGCTACTCAGGAGGCTGAGGTGGGAGGATCTCTTGAGCCTGGGAGGTGGAGGATGCAGTGAGTACTCCAGCCTGGCTGACAGAGTGAGATGCTGTCTAAAAAACAAAAAAGAAAGAAAAAAGAAAAAGACAAAAGTTGGAATTTTACTGACTAGAGGAGAAGGTTTAGTTTATATAATTATAGCCAGTTGAATGGTATTTCTTTTTAAATTTAATTAATTAATTAATTAATTAATTAATTAATTTTTTGAGACAGAGTCTTGCTCTGTCACCAGGCTGGAGTGGAGTGGCACCATCTCGGCTCACTAACCTTGCCTTCCGGATTCTCCTGCCTCAGGCTCCCGAGTAGCTGGGATTTCAGGCACGCACCACCACGCCCAGCTAAATTTTTTTTTGTATTTTTAGTAGAGATGGGGTTTCACCATGTTGGCCAGGATGGTCTTGATCTCTTGACCTCGTGATCTGCCCACCTTGGCCTCCCAAAGTGCTGGGATTACAGGCGTGAGCCACCGCACCTGGCCCAGTTGAATGGTATTTCTAATCAGGTTTACTGTTGTGGAGGAAGAAGAGAAAAGTTAGCAACTAGAATTTTGGCTAAACTTCTAATTCAGAATGATGTCAGAAGTTAGAGGCATAGTTGAGTGGTGACGGTAGGTAATATTTTACAAGTACAGGTTATATGAACTACATATGCAAATCACTTGTAGAGAAAAGCTGCATAAATAAGTCAGGAAACAGTGACTATTGTATGAGTATACGGTAGTAGAAATAGTGATGTGATTGCAGGTCAGGTTACTATATGTCTCAGTGTGCCAGGGACAGTTCTGGATTATACCTATTTTCCTGGCATGATTAACAGTACCTCCTGACACTACTAACAGTTTTGGATGATAAATTGATGCGGTCACCCTAATTATAGTAATGTATGATACACTTGTGTCATAGCTTCCCTCGCGATAGCTCTGGTTCTAAGATAATTTTCAATAAAACTACCACTAGGTTCTTGGGCTTTTTCTGAACCCTAGGAGTGGACTGGGCTGGTATGCCAGAAAGACCAGTGAGCAGGTGCAGACTGCTGGTGAGCTGATTGTCTCACTGAATGCACTGGTGAGAGAGTTGGGGTGAGGTGGGGTTGTGGTGAGGTTGTCACCATGGGGGCCATATCCCCTGCTTTTATAGGGGTCATCAAACATGGGCAAAACTCTTTAGCTTGCTCTAGGAGCCAGGGTTCTATGGAACCGTGCCTAAAAGAGCTACTCCCGGCCGGGCGCAGTAGCTCACACCTGTAATCCAAGCACTTTGGGAAGCTGAGGCGGGCAGATCGCCTGAGATCAGAAGTTCAAGACCAGCCTAACCAAAATGGTGAAACCCTGTCTCTACTAAAAATACAAAAATTAGCTGGGTGTGGTGGCATGTGCCTGTAGTCCCAGCTACTCAGGAGGCTAAGGCAGGAGGATCGCTTGAACCTGGGAGGCAGAGGTTGCAGTGAGCCGAGACTGTACCACTGCACTCCATCCTGGGCGATAGAGTGAGACTCCAACTCATATAATAATAATAATAATAATAATAATAATAATAAAGAGCTACTCCCTTGCTTGATACAGTGCATTGCTAAATTCTGCAAAATTGTCTGCGCTTCATGTCGTCCAGTATCCTTATAAGAATGTGGTCCTGGCAGTTCTCTGACAGTATGAATGGGATTGCTCATTTTCTTGGTCCTGTTGTGTAGCTGTAACAGTGAGATGGGGATGTGATTGATGCAAAGACTTCAATAGCTCTAAGCTATTATAATGACAAAGTATAGAGAATGCATGGAGATGTGTACGTAAAACAAGAGGTGTCACAGCAAGCAACCGGAAGTAGGTTGTGGTTTCCCAGGTCACCAAAGTTCCCCGCTGGAATTTACTGCTGTGGTCAAGGCTGGCTTCATGGATATATTGGCTGTGTAGTTACAGAGGCCCCTGTGCTTAGAATGTCACTATGCTTGGTTTGATGATCTTTTGTCACCATTTTGAAGTTCTTGATAATTTTTTGGTAAATGTCTCCCATTTTCATTTTGCACTATGTTCATCAAATTCTGTAGCTGGTCCTGACTGTGGACAATGCCAACCAAATAGTAAGAGGATTTTCTTTGCCATTCACAAGTTGGGTTTGTTTGTTTAATGGTTTCCTTTCCCCAGTGACTATTCTAGTTTCTGTGGTGACTTTGGCTACATGTCTTTCTAGCCTCTCTAAGCAATTGGTGCAAAACAACCTTATACACATCCCTGAGATGGTGACAATGAGAGGAAGGGAAGGCCAATTTCTAAAAAGTCATTTCTTAGTAGGCCCAGGCTTTAGGCCTGTCCCGAGGATCAGTCCTGCATTTGGCTAGGGAGGAAGCCAGATGAGTGATCAATTTTGTTTCACCTGAAAATTGCTGGGCCACAGATTTGGATAACACCACAACTGGAATCCCTAGACCTTCTGCAAAGAGTATAGGCATAGGCATTGCGGCCTGATCACTGCCTTCATGAAAGGGTAACTGCTAGAACTAAGATGTGGGGGGGAGATGGGCATCTGCAGAACTGGTAGTCCAACTTTAAGTATTTGCCATCTGTATTTCTGGGTTGGTATTCTCTGTTTGGAGGAATTCTTACTGGCTAGCATGCTAGTCAGGAAGTAGAAGTGCTATGTGCCTACAAACCCTTCTATTTGCTATTCCTGGGGTATGTCTCAGACTTTGGGTCCATGTGGTTAGATTCTACCTTTAAGGCCATTATGGTCCAGGACTGACACTGCTTAGGCTGCAAGGAATGGGAAATGTAGGCATTAAGGAAGAATCAAGCTGCAAAAGGTATTTCCTTAAGAGTTGCTTGTGAGTGAGCAAAGCCATGGTGGAGGGAAAATCGTGTACCCAGTAGGGAAACCAGTGTCAAAACCTGAAAGATTAGAATGTTTATTTGGTTGAGGGGAAAAGGCAAGGATATATGATAGGTTGGATCAAGGTTGGTGACCAGGTGAGTAAAGAGATGGAACAAGGAACAAGGGGTGGCATGATTTGGTGTGGTGCGGTTTAGGAAATTGGGGGTATATGGAAAAGTATTCTTTAGTTTTTTTTTTTTTTTTTTTTTTTTGAGACAGAGTCTTCCTCTGTTACCCAGCCTGGAGTGCAGTGGCACGATCTCAGCTCACTGTAATCTCCACCTCCCAGGCTCAAGCGATTCTCCTGCTTCAGCCTCCTGAGCTGCTGGGACTACGGGTGCGTGCCACCACACCCGGCTAATTTTTGTATTTTTAGTAGAGACGGGGTTTCACCATCTTGGCCAGGCTGGTCTCGAACTCCTGACCTCAAGTGATCCACCAGCCTTGACCTCCCAAAGGGCTGGGATTACAGGTGTGGGCCACCGTGCTGGGCCTGGAAAAGTATTCTTTTAATGTGAAGCCTGGCATGCAATCCAGGATGAAAGCAGCTCAGTAAAGGCACCACAAAAAAGTGGACAACAGAGGGTATGATGGTTACTTTGTTTGCCTCTGGATCCATTCTCCCTTTGTCTCTGCCCTGCTCTGTGGCATAGAAAGCTGAACTCTATGGAATCTATCACCTGGGCTCCCTTGTTCTCTGGTTTACACTTGGTTCAGCCACTGGGAGGCACAGCAGGAAATGGGAGGGCAGAAGGGGAGAGAAGCTCCCCACTTGGCCCTGTTCCTGACTGTGGTTCTCTGCTCCCATAGTTATAGCTCCCTGAGCAGCCTGCATCTCCAGTTCTCAACCTGGCCCTAGTCATTCTATTTCCTCTAGCTCTCAACTCTTCAGTCCTTGGGGGATCACGGTTCTCCGTTGTTGCTAGTCCCATTGTTGCTGCTAGTGCTGCAGCTTCTCTTAATCCTCCTCTGGCCTCTAGAAATAGTCTTTTATTGTATAAATAAAATAGCCTTTTTATTTATAAAGTTTTTTCAAACACCCCTTTGGGTGTGACTCCTTTTCTTGCTAGGACCTTGACCAATGCAGATGTTTCTGCAACATTGGCACTTTTACCCCTTCCCACTTTCCTGCCCCCTTCATTCAGCACTGCTCAAGATAGTCTCTTTTCTGGCTTACTGGCAATGTTTTCCAGTGACTGGGTGGCAGGGTTGTGGTACATGGAAGGAGCACAAATTTGGACACCCAAAGCTGAGGTCCAATCCCAGGTTCTGTGCTGTGCGTGTGTGTTTTGGGTCCTTAAGTTAATTTTTTTTTCTTTTGAGACAGACTGTCGCTCTGTTGCCCAGTCTAGAGTGCAGTGGTATGATTACAGCTCACTGCAGCCTCAACCTCCCAGACTCGGGCCATCCTCCGACTTTAGCCTCCCAAGTAGCTGGGACCATTGGCACATACCTCTATGCCCAGCTAATTTTTTTGGTATTTTTATAGAGAGGAGATTTCGCCATGTTTCTCAGGCTGGTCTTGAACTCTTGGGCTCAAGCAGTCTGCCCACCTGGGCCTCTCAAAGTGCTGGGATTACAGAGGTGAGCCACCGAGCCTGGCCTACTTAAAGTCTTTTTACCTTAATTTTCTCTTCTGCAAGAAGGGTATAATAATGCCACTTTACCTAGTTGATACTCAGATTAACTGTTGGTAAAATGTTATGTAATATAAGTGAATTTTTAATGCACAGTCATGATTTTGGCCCATGATCTCACATTTACTTTGCTAGTCTCATGAGTACAATGTATCTAAAATGCAAGGATTCATTGCATTTGATATTTTGATGTCTTTTTATCCTAGTCATGTGCACTGCTTTTGAGAATTTGTATGATTTCAAAGCTAAAGGGTCAGCAAGAAAGTACTGATGGAGCTGTGCAAGAACTATGTGGACAGCTTTTGTCCCTTTTAGGTGGCAATTATGTGAGACCCAAGTATATACGGGAGGTGGAAGAGTAGAGAACAAAGGGCTAGAGTTACGCACATCTTGGTGGCTCTGTTTTATCTCCCAGGGTGGTGGTTCTCAAATGTGGTCCCAGGACCAGTTGCATCAGCATCACCTGGAACTTGATAGGAATGCAAATCATTTTGTGTTTTTAAAAAGCCCTCTATGTGATTCTCTGATGCACACTAACATTTGAGAACACTGTCCTAGGAGGAGTGGCTTTGCTACACTTGGGATACTTCCGCTAGGCAGTCAGTAAATTAAGAGATACTCATGGCCAGGTGTGGTGGCTAATACCTATAATCCCGGCATTTTGGGAGGCCAAGGCAGGAGCATCACTTGAGGTCAGTTCAAGACCAGCCTGGCCAACATGGCGAAACCCCATCTTTACTAAAAATACAAAAATTAGCTGGGCGTGGTGGCAGAAGCCTGTAATCTCAGCTACTCGGGAGACTGATGCCGGAGAATCTCTTGAACCTGGGAGGTAGAGGTTGCAGTGAGCCGAGATCGCGCTACTGCACTCCAGCCTGGGTGACAGAGCGAAACTCCGTCTCAAAACAAACAAACAAACAAACAAACAAACAAACAAACAAACTCTCACTACCCAAGAGAAAGCCTTCTGTATGGGAATAAGTGGGATTAGGTGAATGGGTATATGACTTTGTATTTCCCATAGGATATTTCAGGGCTTTCGTTTATGTTATCTATTTAGTTTTCTATTTACTAAGATATTACACTGACTCCTAAGTAATTGAATAAAAACTTCATGCTCATAAATATGGAAGAATCTCAGTATGATAATGTGTTTTTACTTCAGTTTGGTACAATACAGGTCAAATTACAATAGCTAAAAACATAATTGCTCAAATAATTGGTCAACAACACAGTTAATCAATAGGCAAGTTTTCTGTTCCCCAAGTGAGCTTTTAAGAATAGTTTATCTTAATAATACTTCTTTTTTAAAAATATTTACCTCAAGTTGGACTCACCTATTTAACCCCTATATGATTCTGTGGGGCAGGGTCAGGTAAGTGGCTGCCCAAAACTATATATGTAGGTCATTAATGTAGGTTCAGAAATATAATTCAACCATTACTATATTGCACAGTAATTTTGGAGTTAAATTAGTTTGGGTTCTAATCTTGCCTTTATGTACCTTTGAATAAACTCTTTGAGCTTCATCTTCTTCATCTGCAAAATACTAAGAATTTTTCCTTAGTCGTTTGATTATCATTTTCTCTTTTATTTAACAGCTGGAAGCATTTACTAATTTTTTTGCGAAAGATGGTTGTAAGACACTGAAATTTTTGTACCAAGAAGGAGATGTACCTGGTATTGGTAAGAATTTTCTGAGGGCAGTGTGCCAGTAATTAGTTCATGCACGTTAAAGTGCAGCATATTTTTTCTCTTATACATAGATAATCCTTTATTTATAAAGAAAATGTTACCAGAAGTTTATGTATAAGAAATATAGTGTCTCAAGAACAATACATTCTCAGCCCAAATACATATTTCAGGCCTTGCTATAATGTCTTCAGGAGAAAACATCCTTGTAGAAATCACTGGCCTCTGCTGGGAATACACATTTTCATTAGAATTTAATTGCATTTTCCCCGAAACAGGTGGAGCCATTTTGTCCAGATGATTAGAAGTGGTGGTGAAACCACTCCAGAGCCCTGCAGCTACCCCCTGTGGTCCTATCTCAGCATCTTGTGCCTGCTGCAGCTGTCACTTGGAATAGCTGGTTTTCCCTACTGTGCATATTATGCCTGAACTAATTAACATGCTACCAGCTTGTTAAAACTTTGTTTTAATAACTAGATATGTGGGTTTCCCTTTTGGTCTGAGACTACTCATCATCAGAGTCCTGTGGATTTACCTTCAACACATCCCTCCCGTTGCTTCTTTCTCACTTGGTTCCTCTGCTGCCTTAGGCTAGGCCTTCCCTGGTGTTCCAGATTGAAAACCAGTATCTCTGTAATCAGATTCTCCCTCTGAAATTCGTACTGTGTATTCCTGCCAAGTATATCTTTTATTGTTCTGCTGTTTATTGGATTGGGTCCACATCTCATTTATTCAAGGCCTGCTGTCATCTGGACACGCAGTACTTGTCTAGTCTGATCTCCTACTCTTCCAGATGTGAATTTGCTGCTCCTTTTAAGCCCCTCTTCATTGTTTTCTGCATACTAGAGTTATTTCTTTTCCCTTTCTCTCCTCACCTGGCTTTTTCAGATTGCCTTTCTTCTCTCCACTCAGCATCCCCTACCCGGCTCCTTCAGAACACCTCCAGCAGAGCCCTTCCCAGGGTGTTCCAACCCATAGCCATCACTGTTCTCCAGATCCCTATCTCATTTACAGTATCCATGTAAATATAGTACTTGATTGTGTTCTTCTACCTTCCTCTAATTGTTTAATATATGTCTTGTTTCTTCGATAAAATATGTAAACTCGCAAATAGTGACTAGGTTGGCTTTGTGGATTTTCTGTCTCTCACAGTTCCTATTGTAGGAGGATTATTGTGTGGTCTATATTTTTATAACTTGTTAAAAATTAAAACAATAGCTGAAAATTATAGAAAGATAAAATATCTATAATTAGAAGCAAAATACAGTTCCACTCAGTTGGAGAAAGCACTGTTAACTCCTTAATGAATATTTCTCTATAACTGGTTTATATACATATTTTACAAAAATGGGATCCAATTCTACATATTATTCTATAGTGGCTGTTTAATTTTGATAATATTGTCTTCTTTATGCCAATAAATACATTTATCCAATCAAAATGTTAACATCTGCATTTTATTTCATTAGGCTGATATAACTGTAATTTTCCAAACTGATCTCTCAGTAGAATTTAGGTTGTTTACAACTTTTTGCTCCCTGAAACAATGCCTGAGTGAATATTACTGAATACAAATCTATGTGGATTAGGAATAAATTTTAGGAGAAATTCTCAGAAGGGAAATTGCCAGAGCAAAGGGTACACATATTTTTAATCATTATTTTTGCTACTTACAAAAGTACATTTATCAGTTTGGTAAATATTCATCTACATTTCTTTGTTGTTGCTGTTGTTTTTGTTGAAGCAGAGTCTCACTCTGTCACCCAGGCTGGAGTGCAATGGTGCCATCTTGGCTCACTGCAGCCTCCGCCTCCCGGGTTCAAGTGATTTTCCTGCTTCAGCCTCCTGAGTAGCTGGGATTACAGGTGCACACCACTGCGCCCAGCTAATGTTTTGTATTTTTAGTAGAGACAGGGTTTCACCATGTTGGCCAGGCTGGTCTTGAACTCCTGGCCTCAGGTGATCCACCTGCCTCGGCCTTCCAAAGTGCTGAGATTATAGGTGTGAGCCACCACACCCAGCCTACATTTCTTTCTTATGTGCATGTGTTAACATGTAAATGCTTATTATCAGTTAAAAATGTGGTTATATAATACATTTTATTCTTGACTTGGTGTTTGCATTTGACAGGGTAGCCTAGACATTTTTCTGTGTCATTACGTAAAGATTTACCTCATTCAAAAAATTCGTTATAGTATAACATTCCATTATACAGCTGCATTGTGATTTTTAGAAATCATTCCCTATTGATGGTCACATCTCTCCTCTTCATCAGGAAAACTTAAGCTTGTCTTATGTCTTATCAGACAGAACTGTGTCACATGGCTATCCTGGGGGCCAGGGAGGCTGAGAGAGCAGTTTTCTTTCTAGGGATGAACACAATGGGACAAAGTCAGGTTTTCTTAGCAAAGAAAAAGGGGAGGGTAGTAAATCCCTGTGGAGCCTCTATGAATGGGCATTTGGGCTCTTATATTGCTACGTACCATGTATCAGGGTTCTTTGGCTGCAAGCAACAGAAATAGGTCTGGCTTATATGAGTGGAAAGCAGTGTTTCGGGAGGCGGAAGGTGGATAACAAAATTTAGAACTAGTTGAACAATCAGGTCTCGGGAAGGACAAGAATAGAGCATTTCCACAGATTTCAGGGCAGTTTCTTTAGGATTCATCAGTAGACTTCCATCTCTCAAATCCCTTTTTTTCTTTATGTGTATTCATTCAAGGTTTATATTCTTGTAGAGTCTAATTAGTCTAGTTCTTACATGCCCACCTTTACAGAGCCCTGGCACTCGTATCCTCCAGAATCACAGGGCAGGAGGAATCTCCCAACCCCCGTGAAAAAGAAAGGCTGGGCAGACAAAACATTTCTGTGGCTTTGTGATGTGGATTTTCTATTTCTTTCCTTTTTTATTTTTTTTTGAGATGGGTCTCACTAGGTTGCCCAGGCTGGAGTGCAGTGGCATGATCATGGCTTATTGCACTCTTGATCTCCCAGGCTCAAGTGATTCTCCTGCCTCAACCTCCTGAGTAGTTAGGACTACAGGCACATGCCACCACATCTGGCTAATTTTTAAAAATTATTTTGTATTGACAAGGTCTTACTGTGTTGCCCAGGTTGGTCTCAAACTTCTGGGTTCAAGCAATCCTCCTGCCTTAGCCTCCCAAAGTGCTGGGATTATAGGTGTGAGATGCTGCACCTGGCCAATTTTCTATTTCTTTTATTACATTTTAAATTGGCTATTGCTGCAAATAGAAGGCTGTTGATTTTTGCAAATTAATATTGTGACCAACTATCTAACATAATTCTCATATTTTTAATAGTTTTTCTAATTAAAAAAGATTGATAATTAAATGTTTAATTTTCATGGAAATTAGTTCAAGGAGGGATTTAATAGAAGGTGGATACAATGAGTGTATTTGGTACAGGAACTGGACCTTCTTGGGGGAGTCAGTGAAGGCTTCCTGAGATGGTGGCATTTCAGCTGAGATCTGAAAGATGAGTAGGAATTTGTAGGTAAAAGGTTGGGGATGGGATAGGAGAACAGGTTGTATAAGGCCCTGAGGCCAGGCCAAAAGGAACAGAAGTACAGAGTTCAGGGAAAGGTACCCAGAGGAGGCTGCAATTTAAGATACAATTATTAGCTGGGCACGGTGGCTCACGCCTGTAATCCCAGCACTTTGAGAGGCTGAGCCGGGCAGATCACTTGAGGTCAGGAATTTGAGACTAGCCTGGCCAACATGGTAAAACCCTGTCTCTACTAAAACTACAAGAATTAGCCAGGCATGATGGCGCGTGCTTGTAATCCCAGCTACTTGGGAGGCTGAGGCACGAGAATCGCTTGAACCCGGGAGGTGGAGGTTGCAGTGAACTGAGATTGTGCCACAGCACTGCAGCCTGGGAGACAGAGCTAAAAAAAAAGACTCCATCTAAAAAGAAAAAGAAAAAAAAAAGATGCGATTATTGGCCAGGCATAGTGGCTCCATCTAAAAAAAAAAAAAATGATGCAATTATTGGCCAGGCATGGTGGCTCACACCTGTAATCCCAGCACTTTGGGAGGCTGAGGTGGGCAGATCACCTGAGGTCAGGAGTTTGAGACCAGCCTGGCCAACAGTGAAACCCCGTCTCTAAGAAAAAATAAATACAAAAATTAGCTGGATGTGGTGGCACACGCATGTAGTCCCAGCTACTTGGGAGGCTGAGGCAGGAGAATGGCTTGAAGGGAGGTGGAGGTTGCAGTGAGCTGAGATTGCACTACTGCACTCCAGCCTGGGCAACAGAGCAAGACTCTGTCTCAAAAAAAAAAAAAAAGATGTAATTATTGGCATCTTCTAGTAGACCCCCCCCCAAAAAAATTATTCTATGACCGTATTGAAAACTTCTTACAATAAAGTAAAACAGGAAACAATAGTGTAAGAGCCACAGTAACTTATCTCATTTGATTAGTTGTGTGATTATACGCTAAGTTCTTGACTTTTGTTTTCAGAATGTGGTCGAACTATTGCTGGAGCAACTAAAGGGGCAAAAATGATGAAATTGTATATAGACAATGCAGCCCCGGATAAACTAAAAGGACTGTGCATATTTTTTGTTCGTTGCCGTAATGATGTTGCTATAAATGTTAAAACTATTCAAGAGGTATGTTTAAAAATTTCCCCAAATACATAGTTAAACATTGAATATATTTTTGTAGTCACACTTATGCTTTACTTTGCTTTCCCTTTTTAAATATAGGACTGAATTGAGTTCCAAGAAAATAAATGTATTCATATATTAAAAAAAACTGAGAAATTGACTGTAATAGAGCTTAGTTATATTGATATTTTAGATACTGCTTTCAATTTCATGAAAATTTCATTTCTTGATGGTGTGCAAATAACACATTTAATTTTGTTGATGCAAAGTATTAGTTACTTTATTTAACTTCCTCTTCACTCAATATTTTAACTCTTTTATAGTTTTAAAAGAAGAAGGGAGAGTTGTCCTAGAGCCTGGACATTGCTAAGCTAGTTCTGGGAAGGCAGGATGATGGAATGGGAAAAGCAAGAATTTTAGCCAGAGAGACCGAAATTTGCCTCTTAGCTTCACCACTGACTAATCACTTAAATGTGTCCTCTGGAAAGTTGCTCATCCTTTCTGCGACTTAGATCTCTACGTTCTTAAATTGGGAATAATAATACACACCTGGCAAGATTGTAGTGACACTAAATGATAATATAAATAAATTCTTATTATATTGCCTGACATACAGTAGGCTCTCGACAAATATTAGTTCTCTTTGTTATTCTTAGAGAGTCTTAATACCTTTTACAATGGGAAAGGGAACTGAAGTCTAATCTTGTTCCTTTTCTGTTATGATAAAAGATTGCTTGAAGAGAGCTTGTTTAGCTTGGTTTAAGATTTTAGGTTGGCAGTTATTTTTCCCTGACCCCTTGTAAATATTTCATGGTATTTCTTGTGGATGATGAGAGCACTCCTGTTAGTGTAATTCATAGGTAATCTGTCTTTTTTTCTTTCTGTTTGCTTTTGCTTGTTGTCTTCAAAGTCCTGTAGTTTCACCACAATGCCTCTATGTATGGATGTTTCCTCAATCTGCCTTCCATTTCATTAATTCTTTCTTCAACTTATCCATGATTTCATCCATTCATTTTTATAATTTAGCTTTTGTTTTAGTTCAGTTATGTGTGCATATAAAGAGAGAAAAAGTCCTTTTATGAAATAGTATAAGTCTTTCATAACCGAAAAACTGACTTCTATGCTATTCTCCAGAAGCAACTATTAAACCCTTTTAATGGATTCTTTTATTTACCTGTATATCTCTAAATAATATGCTCAGACTGCTCCTTTTGTCAGTTTAGACATTATCTGTGGCCAGTCGCAGTGGCTTACCCTGTACTCCCGGCACTTTGGGAAGCAGAGGCAGGCAGATCGCCTGAGCTCAGGAGTTCGAGACCACCCTGGGCAACAGAGTGAAACCCTGTCTCTACTAAAATACAAAAAATCAGCTGGGTGTGGTTGTGCACTCCTGGGGTCCCAGCTACTTGGGAGGCTGAGAGAAGAGAATTGCTTGAGTCCCCAAGGCAGAGGTTGCAGTGAGCTGAGATCACGCCACTGCACTTCAGCTTGGGCTACAGAGTGAGAGAAAAAAAAAAAGACATTTTCTGTGGACTTTTCTCTCTGGAAGGTGATAATTTCGCTCTTTTTCTGCCTTCTGACCCTTGTTTCTCCATCCCTCTATTCTTCCAACGTAGTTATATTCTAGTTAACTTAGCTAAATATTTGTTTACATCATTAGAACTAAGTAAATGTAATCACAGATGAGCCATGTGGTGTAACAGTGGTTCTTAAAGTCAAACCTATTTTCATCAGAATACTAAGATGCTAGTTGCCCTTTTCACCAATGTTGACATTTGACTGATGGCGCAGAAGCAATGGTGGGAAAAACTACTGATACCTTAACACGAATCAAGACGACACCAAACTGTATGAGTAGTAATTTTATACTTCATTGCCACACACTCACAGTTAAAAAACCAGAAATCATTTTTTTTTGTGACCCTAGACAAGTTTTTTAATCTTAATTTTCTGGCTTGGGATTTCTAAGTCACTTAAGATGTATCAATTGAAAGGTCACGCATGGGTGGTGGGCTTTTGATTTCTGGGCTTTTGGTTTCTTACGGCTGGTAATTTATTCCACCAAACTTCTAGGCAAGGGCTTTTCACCAGAAAAAAAAAAAATCATGGACAGGGCAACTTTCAACGGAGGATTTTCTTTACGCAGGTTTGGTTCCACGTCCCTCACCTTGAATAGGCTCCAGGCTATTGTTCCTTTCCTATGCAGAAATTAAAGCATCAAATGAAACATCACTTTGATGAGCAAATATGGGAATAATTAAATTGGGGGCAGAATATAAGTTTGTTGACTTTAGAACTCTAAGGTTCATAACCACTTAAGATTCCCTAATAGTTTATAAAATGTATTAGTTGTCTATGTTTATTGCAATATAAAACAGGTTATGATTTTTCAGTTCTTTAGTGGGATTAGCATGTAAAATAACATTTAAACTCCACCCTTTCAGGAAGCGCTCTTTACTGTTCTGGATGCGTCGAAAGGACTCTTAAATGGAATTAGGGATATGTTGGCAAATATATTTCTACCAGCTGTTCTTGCAACAAACAACTGGGGTGCTTTAAACCAGTCCAAGCAGGGAGAATCTGAAAAACATATTTTCACTGAAACCATCAACAGATATCTTTCATTTTTAGATGGTAAGTATAAAATTTAATGTTTAGCAAATTGCAAAAAAGAAGCAAATTAACTAAGATATTTCATAAACAGAGAAAAAGTTTCTATCTTAAAAGATGTTAATCCAAGTAATTATGAGACTTAGAGGCAAGAAATGAAATCATTAGAACTCATTTTTGAGGATCTTTGGTGGAGTAAGATATATTTTCTTTTTAATTTTACGTTATAGCAGGAGGAATCTCTTTCTATAATATTAATGAAAATTTTCACCATATTAAAATATATACTTTATTATGAACTCTTAAAAATCTATACTTTTATTTTTTCATATTGTTAAAATGTACAATTTTATCAGTAAATTATGAAGTCATAATCTAATGATTAATTAGAATTATATTTCTGTAAAGTATTAGATCTTTAACATTTCAGTAATTAGAGCTTAAAAGTACACATTGACTTTTAACACATTGACATTAAATACTTCTTACTATTAAATATTATTTAATATTTTTATTAATATATTTAAAATATTTAATATATAAATTAGTATTAAATGTCTTTTTTTTCCTTTTTAGGTGCTAGAATAAGTATTGAGGGAACAGTGAAGTTAAAGACAATAGACAATGTTAATTTTTCCAAACTGCACACCTTTGAAGAAGTAACTGCTGCAGCCAGCAACTCAGAAACTGTTCATCAGCTGGAGGAAGTGCTGATGGTATGGTACAAACAGATCGAACAGGTGAATTGACTCAAACAATTGCATCTGGACTAGTAGTTTTCATGTGCATCCTAGCCATTGTATTTTGTCTCTAACAGCAAAGGGAAGAGGTGTCTCCTTTGACTTTCTTCCAGAATCTAGTTTGAAACTCAGCCAATTTTTGGGTCTAGAGCAAAATCATTCTTCTTTGTGGACCATTTGAAATCAATTTTAAGATATTTCTCACTTCAAGGAAGAAACCATAACAATATGGGTTGAGAATGAAAGAATGAAGAATCAGGAATAGCCAACATTTATCCCCAATAATGTTTAAATTGTTGATACTCTCCATAAAAGAGAGAGGGAGAGGACACAGTGAAGAGCCAGAGTGCTAGACACTAAATAAGTACCTCTTGTTCGATCAGTGGAGTTGTCTGTGCTGTCAAAGAAGTTCAGACTAGGCTGTTTCACATCAGCATCACAGTGGCAAGCCTGCAGCTCTATGGTCAAATTTTTTCTGGCAGTAAGGAAAGTAGTGATAGGAATACAACATATGTCAAAATTATGAGAGGCTCCAACTTACACTATAAACACTGTGAAAGAAAATCGGATATTACATAATTGCCCTAAACAGAAAGAGGATTCTAGGAACCGCCCCCCAGATCTCTAGTTCATCAGCACAGGACAGCAGAACTAAACAAGAAAATCTTCAGTTATGTGAGGATCAAGGGGAAAAAATCTTGACCAGGCAGGAGGTACAGAAAAGCGTTTCCAGTTTTACCTTTCTAGAACTATGTTAGGAGGAGGGCTGTGCAGTTAGAGTGGCAAAAATTGGAGGACTCCCCTAGGGTCTAGAGTGCTGGCCACAGCATTTGCTTCCAGGTGTCACTAGATTATTGAAATGGGTAATTGCCCACTGGATAACTCTTGCAGCCACCGTGCCCAGCCAAGACTTCCTATTTTTTTTTGAAAAATCTTTGGTTACACTTGGAATTGTCAGATTTTTAATTGTTGCCAATATGTTGAGTGTGAAATGATATCTTGGTTTACTTGGTATTACCCTAAATACTATTGAGGTTGAGCATATTTAATGGCTATTTTGGTTTCCTCTGTGTAGAATTGCTTGTTTATATCATTTACCTGTATCATTTACCCATATCATTGCCTGTTCATATCATTTGCCTATATCATCCCTTTATTTTTTTGGATGGCTTGATGTTATCATACTACATTTTTGGAGGTTAAATAATATTTTCCTGATATTAATCCTATGTTGGTCCCCATTGTGTCATGTTTCATTTGGTATAGTGCCTTTAGTCATGTGGAAATTTAAGTTTTTAATGTAGATAAATATATTAATTACAAATGTTAATCCAGCCTCAACCTAGCTATCCCCAGTGACTATAAATATAAACTCTGTGCTTTTTGTATTTTACTTATTAAATGCTTTCCTACTCCAGTGTTACAAAGGCATTCTCTTAAATTCTTTATTTATTTTAAATAGTGAATATAACACAAAAATGAATATGATGAAAGGAACAAACTGTAAAATGAACACCTGTGTAACCTTTGCACAAGTTAAGAAATAGAACATGGCTAGGCATGGTGGCTCATGCTTGTAATCCCAGCACTTTGGGAGCCCAAGGCAAGAGGATCGCTTGAGCCCAGGAGTTCAGGACCAGCCTGGGGAACGCAGTGAGACCCAGCCTCAAAATAAATAAATAAAGAAAAGAAAAAACATAGACCATTACCAGCGCCTTAAAATGTCCTTGCGTTTCTCTTCCCAGTTTTAAACAGCTTTTCTTCCCCCTAGTGGTAACTATTATCTTGATAATTATGCTTTTCAATTCCATGTTTTTCTTTCTAGTTTTACCCTGTCTCCTACATTTTCTTTTAGAAATGTTACCATTTTATTTTTAACATTTAGGTGTTTAATCCATCTGGAATTGTGCGTGTGTGTATGATGGGAGGCAGAAATCTAATTTTGTGTTTTTCATGTACCTGTAGTTAGCCAATTGTCTCGATTTAAGATTCTCTGTTAAATTGTTTAATAGTCCATTTTTTTCTAACATATTTGTAATATAACCTCTGTCATATATAAAGTTGTTAGACCCTTTTGTTTGTCTCACTGGTGTATTTATTTATTTTTTATACTATGCTGTACTGCTTTAATTCTGTAGCGTTTTACTAAACCAACATTTGGCATGCCAAGTCTTTTCTCTGTTTTTCCTCAAAATTACATTGACTGTTGCAGGCTAATTGTTTTTCAAAATTAATTTTAAGACTAATTTTTAAAGTATCATGAAAAACCCTATTGAGATTTTGATTAGAATTTCATTGAATGTGTACATGAATTTAGAGAAAACTGCCATCTTTGTATAATTGAATTTTCCATCCATGAACATGATATACCTCCCCATTTAGGTAGGTCTTCTGTGTGTGTAAAATAAGTTTTAAAATTCTCTCCAAAAAGGTTTTGCATATCTTTCATTAGATTAATTTCTAGTTATCTTATCACTGTTTTTCTTTGCTGTTGTAAATTGTATCTTTTTGGAAATTAAATTTTCAGATTGCAAGATAGCTTGTAAAGAAGTGATACTAATTTTTATGTATAGATCTAGCAACTTTACTGAATTGCTCACGTTTATTAATTGTAAAAAGTTTGTCTTTAGTCTTTTTGTTTTTTTTTCTTTTCTTTTTTTGAGACAGGGTCTCATTCTGTCACCCAAGCTGGAGTGCAGTGGCATGATCATAGCTCACTGCAGCCTCCAGCTTCTGGGCTTAAGTGATCCTCCCCGCTCAGCCTCCTGAGTAGCTGGGACTACAGGCATGCACCACCACATCCGACTAATTTAAAAAATTTCTGTGGAGAAGGGGTCTTGCCTTGTTGCCCAGGCTGATCTTGAACTCCTGGGCTCAAGCAGTCCTCCACTTCAGCCTTCCAAAGTGCTGAAATTACAGGTGGGATCCACTGCTCCCAACCTTAGATATGCTAGTTTAAAAATGTAGCAAACTATATCATCTGTGATTATGCCATTTTTGGTTTTTTATTTCCAATTCTTAATGCCTTCTGTTTCTTTAGTTACCTTGTTCTGGGATATCTATTACCAGGTGGAATAGAAGTGGGTGGTGATTGTGGCAAACTTATCATGTCCTTGGTTTTAAAGTGATATTTTCTAAAATGTCACCTTTGGCCAGGTATGGTTACTCATGCCTGTAATCCCAACACTTTGGGAAACTGAGGCAGGAGGATCGCTTCAGCCCAGGAGTTTGAGACCAGCTGGGCAACATAGTGACATGCTATCTCTACAAAAAATTAAGAATTAGCTGTCTGTGGTAGCACTTGCCCGTAGTCCTAGCTACTCAGTAGGATGAGGCGGGAGGATTGCTTCAGCCCAGGAGGTTAAGGCTGCAGTGCACTGTGATTGTGCCACTGCACTCTAGCGTAGGCAGCAGAGCGAGACCCTGCCTCAAAACAACAAACATACAAACAAAAAAACCCCAAAACCAAAAAACTACCTCCCCCCCGACCAAAAAAAAAAACCCAAAATAAATAAGAGAAACTGTCACCTTTAAATATTATGTTTGCTGGAGAATTTTAGTAGATAGTATCTATCATATTGAAGACATTCTCCTCTAGTCTTCATTTACTGAGAGTTTTTAAACATTATTTGGTATTGAACATTATTTATACTTTCAGCTGCCTTCAAAAAGATGCAATCAGATTTTAACAAAGAAGAATGTAACATTTCTATATTTTATAAATTTTTTTGACTGCAGGTACTTATTGAGAGTGAGCAGATGAGAAAAGAAGCTGGTGATTCAGGTCCACTCACTGAATTGGAACACTGGAAACGCATGTCAGCCAAGTTCAACTATATCATTGAGCAGATTAAAGGGCCAAGTTGTAAGGCTGTCATAAATGTGCTAAATGTTGCACACTCCAAACTGCTAAAGGTAAAAGGCTTTTTATTTAAAGTTTGGTATACTTCAGAACAAGCAACTAGAAAATTATCCTATTGAACTACTTCTTAGTATAATATACTGGAATCGTGTTTAGAAGTGTTAGCCTTTGAGTAAGGCTTTTACATATATCACAGTTATTTCCAGAAGAGGAAATGAAGATTTATTTCTCAGGATTTCGCAGACCAATTTTGACCATACTACTATGGGGTGATTTTTAGGAAAGTGATCATCTTTTATTTTTAAATTGTTTTTGAAATTGTAAATCAATGAAGAAATCAATATAGGCTCACTGAGGTAAACAACTGCATATAGAGTCAAAAGTAAAGTACATCTCATCCCCATGATTCTACCTCCTTTCCTAGAGGTCATCTTTATTTACAGTTTGGCTTGATTCTAGATTCTTTTCTTTTCTTTCTTTTTGAAACAGGGTCTCGTTCTGTCACTCGGGTGGGGTGCAATGGTGTGTTCACAGCTCACTGCAGCCTCCACCTCCCAGGCTCAAGCGATTATCTTGCCTCAGCCTCCTGAGTAGCTGGGACTAACAGGCATGCCCCACCACCACGCCCGGCTAATTTTTGTATTTGTTGTAGAGATGGGGTTTCACCAAGTTGCTCTGGGTGGTCTCAAACTCCTGAGCTCAAGTGATCCGCCCACCTCAGCCTCCCAAAGTGCTGGGATTACAGGCGTGAGCAACCGCACCTGGCTTCTTTTTCTTTCTTTCTTTAAATGTATTTCTTTCTTTGCACAGAAAAATAAACTAATACTTTTTTGGTAATAGATTTAAGCAGTACGAATAAAACAAGTCTCTCTTAATCACATACCCTTAGCCCCACCACCCACAACTCTGTGTCCTGAATAGTAAGCACAGAAAGACAACTGCACTTTTCTATTTTATTTTTTCCTCAACATCTTCTGTGGTATGTATGTGTGAGTTTACTATGCACAAATGACATAGTTTAGTTTTGTGTTTCTAACTTTTAAATTAAATAAATGTCATAGCATAATATTTTTCAACTTCCCTTCCCCACCCCTGATAGTATATCTTGGAGAGTTATGCCTGTTAGATCGAGCTTGAGCGGTATGGTTTTCCAAAAAAATGTTGTTGTTGTGCTTTTTTTTTTTTTTTTTTTTTTTTTTTAAAGACAGAATCTTACTCTGTCACCCAGGCTGGAGTGCAAAGGCATGATCACGGCTCACTGCAGCCTCAACCTTCCAGGCTTAAGCCATCCTCCCACCTCAGCCTCCTGAGTAGCTGGGACTACTGTCATATGCCACCATGCCCGACTAATTAAATAATTTTTTAAAAATGTTGTCCAGGCTAGTCTTAAACTCCTGGGCTCAAGCGATTCTTCCACCTCAGCCTCCCAAAGTGCTGGGATTACAGGTGTAAGTCACTGTGCCTTGCCCAAAATGTTAATGTAGCATATTAGGTTTTATCTGATCATTTCCCTGTTTGTGGACCAATTTTCCCCTTTCTTTTTTTGCAAGTCTGAGTTATAATTCACATACTATTTATTTTATCCATTTAAAGTGAACAATTCAGATATTTTTAGTGTATTCATAGTTGCACAAATATCACCACGATCCAATTTTGGAACATTTTCATCACCTCAAAGAGAAACTCTATATCCTTCAGCTCTCACCTTCCCATTTCCAACATTCCCCCTTCCCCCCAGCCCTCTGTCTAGATTTGCCTATTCTGGACATTTTATATAAATGGAATCATAGATTCTTTGCCTTTCGTTACTGGTTTCTTTCACTTAGCATAATGTTTTCAAGTTTCGTCCATGTTGTAGCCTGTATCAGTATGTCATTCCTTTTTATGGCTGAATCATATTCTGTTGTATGAATATACCACATTTTGTTGATCAGTTTATGGACATTTGGGTTGTCCCTGTTTTTTTGGCAATTATGCATAACGCTGCTATGAACATTCATGTACTGTACAACTTTTTGTGTTGATATATATTGTCATTTGTCTTGGTTATTATACCTGGGGTGGAATTTCTGGGTCACATGTTAACTCTATGCTTAACTTTTTAAGGAAAATGGTTCCTTTTCTATGTGTTTATAAATATTGCTGCAGTTGAAGCTTTTATATGTCCATATGCAAATATTTCCTTAGGTTGGACACTCCACAACTTTTCAGTACTAATTATCAGTTAAGTTATTATTATTATTATTTTTTTGCCAGGCATGGTGGCCTACATCTGTAGTGTGAGCTACTTGGGAGGCTGAGGCAAGAGGATTGCTTGAACTCAAGAATTTTGAGCTGTAGTGCACTATGTTGATTGGCTGTCCACATTATGTTTGGCATCAATATAGTAGTGATGTCCCAGGAGTGGGGTGATGAGGGTGCCTAAGGAGAGGTGAACTGATCAGGGTCAGAAACAGAGCAGATCAAAACTCTTGTGCTGATCAATAGTGGGATCATGCCTATGCATAGCCACTGCACTCCAGGCTGGGCAATGTAGCGAGACCCTATCTCATTAAAAAAACTAAAAAAAAATTTTTGGGGGGCCAACCTGACATATGGAGAATGGCTTGTTTTATTTTGTTCTTTCCTTGTTAGTAGTGAAGTTGTTCAGTTTTTGCTGCTTACTGGCTATTCATATTTCTTTTGTGAATTTTCTTTTTGTATCTTTCCCTTATTTAGAAAAATTCAGACATTGTTTTGTACTGATTTATAGGAGTTCTTTATTTTTTATTTTTTTTGAGACAGGCTTCTCTTCGTCACTTAGGCTGGAGTGCAGTGGCACTATCATGATTCACTGCACGCTCGACCTCCCGGGCTCAAGTGATCCTCCTGCCTCAGCCTCCTGAGTAGCTGAGACTACAGGCATGTGCCAATGTGCCTAACTAATTTTTAAACAATTTTTTTTATAGAGATAGGATCTTACTGTGTTGCCCAGGCTGGTCTCAAACTCCTGGGCTCAAGGAATCCTCCTGCCTCACACTCCCAAAGTGTTGGGATTACAGACGTGAGCCACTGTGCCTGGCCACTTGGAGTCCTTTATATAATATGGATATTAATCACTCGTTATATTTGTTGGATGAAGTAATTCACTATGACTCCTGGGCATCTCTGCACATTTTCACTATATATGAAAAGAATGCAAGGCCCATACTGCTCTTTATCTGAACATCTCTCAGAGTTGTGTTTGCAGTGAGCAACCTTGAGGGGTCAGTTCACGTGTCCCCCAGACAAAGAGCAGAATTACTTACCGCTTACTGTAAAAAGGATAAATTCCCCTAAACTCAGTATTCCTCACCTGTAACACAACCTACTGCAGGTGCAAGCATCAGTGTGTGGATATTTAGGGTCATGGGGGAACAAATGCAACTTAATGCTCATGCCATTTGCTGTGATGTAATAAAATCCTTGTCTCTGAACCCAAATCTCATGTTTTCTCCCTTCATCCATAAAACAATAAAAGGCTAATGCATTAACTTCTAAGCAGGGTAAAATCCCAGACCCCCATATGCACTTTGACAATTACAATGCAAACTTTTTCCTAGTCTGTGGCTTGTATTTTTTAAAACTTCAACACTTGAAATCATTTTAGACTTATGGAAGAGTCAACCAGGATAGTACAGAGAGTTCCTGCCTGCTCTTCATCTAGCTTCCCCTAATGTTAACATCTTAAAACTATTGTACAATGATCAAAATGAAGGGGTAACATTAGTACGATACTATTAATGATGCTACACACAATTTATACTTCTCCAGGTTTTCCACTTATGTATTTTTATCTGTTCTGGGATCCAATCCAGGATCCTATTTACATTTGACTGTCATGTCTCTTTAGCCTCCTCCAATGGAACAGTTCCTTAGTCTGTAGTTATACTTCATGAGCTTGATACTTTTGAATAGTAATGGTCAGTTATTTAGGAGAATGTCTCTCAATTTGGGTTTGTCTGATGGTTTCTCGTGAATACATTGAGGTTATGCATCTTTGGTAAGAATGCCAGAGTTGATGTGCTCTTCCCAGTACGACTTACCAGGCGGTCCATTATATTGATGTGCCTTATTACTGTTTTAAAATTGATCATTTAGTTAGGGTGGAATTTGCCAGGTCTCTGTACTGTACACGTATCGTATTTTGTGGAAAATAACCTTAAACTACATGAATAGCTTTCATAGGTGGGTCTTGACTGCGGCCGTCATTACTGTGTTATGCCAATGGTGGTTTTCTAGTTCCCTCATTCCTTCCACGTTTATTAATCAGAATTCTTATGTAAGAAAATGTTGTCTCTTCTCTCACTGTAGTTATGTATTTGATCGTTTATTTTCATTAATATAGCCTCATGGGTATTTATTTCATGCTTTTGGTTATAATCGAATACTATCATTATTTAGTTTGTTGCTCAAATTGTTTCCTCTTTGGCCATCGGGAAATCTTTCAGGTTGGCTTGTGTGTTTCCTTCTGATTCCCTTACTCTGTTTGGACCACTTCTTTACTCTCTAACACTAGATAAATGCTTAAGGCTCATTTTGTATTTGTTCTGCCCTAGTCCTGGGATCAGCACTTCTCCAAGGATCCTGGGTTTATTTTATTGGAGAGTAGTATTTAGGAACCAAAATCTGGTTGCCAGATGTGCTTATTTGTTGCTTGTATTTTAATTTTTTTTTAAAATGGAATCATTTATAATGAATTTTTTTATATTTAGATGAATTAATTTTTTCAGCCTTTTATTGCTTTTGTCTTTCATGTATTGTTTAAAAATACCTTCTTAAGAAGAATAAATTGGTTGGGCGTGGTGGCTCACGCCTGTAATCCCAGCACTTTGGGAGGCCGAGGTGGGTGGATCACCTGAGGTCAGGAGTTCGAGACCAGCCTGGCCGGTATGGCAAAATCCCGTCTCTACTAAAAATACAAAAATTAGCCAGGAGTGGTGGTGCATGCCTGTAATCCCAGCTATTCGGGAGGCTGAGGAAGGAGAATCACTTGAACCCGGGAGGTAGAGGTTGCAGTGAGCTGAGATTGTGCCACTGCACTCCAGCCTGTGTGTTGGGAGTGAGACTCCATCTCAAAAAAGAAAAAAAAAGAAGAATAAATTAAGGTTAACCTAAATTTAAAATAGAATTGCCCTTTTCTTCTATTTCTAGGGTTTTATTTCTTTATACTTTATTCTTCAGTTAACTTGGAATTTATTTGTGTGAATCATGTAAGATTTAATAATAATGATAATAATAGCAGCTAACATTTATTGTGTGCTTACTATGTGCCAAGCGTTGTGTTCAGTATCTTACCTATAACATTTCATTTAATCCTCACATCAGCTGGATCAGGTGGATCTTATTATTATCTTCCCCATTTTGTATATAGAACAGTGAGAGATTAAGTTTCTTGTTCAAGGTCACAGAGTTAGTTGGAGGGGAAGCAGGATATAAGGTCATGCACTTACCTCTTGAGCTAGCATTCTTTTTCCCAAATGGCTGGCTAATTTTCTGGGCACTGTTTGTCATTTTCTTTTTTTCTTTTTCTTTTTTTTTTTTTTTTTTTTGAGGCAAAATCTCACTCTGTTGCTCAAGCTGGAGTGCAGAGGTGCGATCTTGGCTCACTGCAACCTCCACCTCCCAGGTTCAAGCAATTCTCCTGCCTCAGCCTCCTGAGTAGCTGGGACTACAGGCACATGCCACCATACCCAGCTAATTTTTGTATGTTTAGTAGAGACAAGGTTTCACTATGTTGGCCAAGCTGGTCTTGAACTCCTGACCTCGTGATCTGCCCGCCTTGGCTGCCCAAAGTGCTGGGATTACTGGCGTGAGCCACCGCGCTCAGCCACTGTTTGTCATTTTCTTGTAATCATCATAACTTTTGTACATCTACTCTTTGTTCTTCTTTTCCAGATTTGTCTTAACAATTCCTATGTTTTCATCCTTTGGTACACATTTTGAAATAAGTTTATACAGTTTTTTTCTCCAAAATACCAAATTTTGAGACTTAGTTTTATATATTTTTGAAATGTATGTAAATGGAGTCATATCATATATTCTGCAATCAACTTTTACTCAACATTATTTGTGAGAATTCATCATGTTAATGTGTGCATTATTATTCATTTGCTACCTTTGTTTTTATTGCTGTATCATATTCTGTTGCATGAATGCACCACAATTTATTTATCTATTATCCCAGAATCGACATTTGGATTGTTTCTAGTTTGGGGTTATTGCAAGCAATGATTCAAAGGACATTCTTATTCATGTCTCCTGGTGCACATGTGTGAGAATTTCTCTAAGGCATATTCCTAGGAGAAAATTTATGAATTTGTGGATCAAAGGCATATACAATTTAAGCTCTTGGAGAGAGGTCTCTAATGATCTGCCATAGTGACCTTCAGACATTTTGTATTAAAAATATTAATCTCTAGTCTTTAGAAAGGATACAAAGCAAATGTGGTAGCAAATCTATGAATGACATTGAGGAGGGAGGGAAAGAAATATATTGGATGACAATGTAAAGATCCAAGAAGGTCTTCAGTGGTAAGAGTGGGGGTGCCATACTGATATCCCAACCTCTTTGTTGGATGGGTTTGTTGACAAACTGTTTGGCTCCCATTGTTTTTCAAAATGGTTTTGTTCAGAGCATATTATTTCTGTTTTTGCTGAGTAGACCTCTCCATTTCATGCTCTCTTCATCTCTGACCAATTCTCAAGCAGGCACTTGATTTTATCATCCCTAGTATGTAAGAGTGGTCAGTTAATAATAAGATAACAGCTCACGCCTGTAATCCCAGCACTTTGCGAGGCTGAGGCAGGAGAATGGCGTGAACCCAGGAGGTGGAGCTTGCAGTGAGCTGAGATCGTGCCACTGCACTCCAGCCTGGGTGACAGAGCAAGACTCCGTCTCAAAATAATAATAATAATAATAATAATAATAATAATAATATAACATTTATTGAGAATAGGTTAAAAATCCTGAAAGAATTTGAAGGAGAGAAATTGATCAACTTTGGATAAAGACTTAACAGTTTTAGTTGAATCCATTGATAGAATGATATTACTGATGCAAGTCAACTTGATCCTAGGCTGCTTTATGAGAGGTATAGTTTCCAGGAAAAAGGAAGGTGATGTTTTGGCTTTTCTCAGCATTGACCAGATCACACTGAAGGCTTCCTTTCATTCCTGAGGCATATGTATTTAGAGTGATGTTGTGTGTGTCCCAAGTAGAAAGGCCAAGAGGTTGAAGCTATTAAGACCATGTCCTTGGAACCAACCCAAAAGCTCATCAATGATAGACTGGATAAAGAAAATGTGGCACATATACACCATGGAGTACTATATGGCTATAAAAGGGAGTGAGATCATGTCCTTTACAGGGACACGGATGAAGCTGGAAGCCATCATCCTCAGCAAACTAACATAGGAACAGAAAACCGAACACCACATGTACTCACTCATAAGTGGGAGTTGAACAATGAGAACACATGGACACAGGGAGGGGAACATCACACACTGGAGCCTGTCAGGGGGTCAGCGGGGAAAGGGGAGGGAGAGCATCAGGACAAATAGCTAATGCATGCAGGGCTTAAAACCTAGATGAGGGGTTGATAGGGGCAGCAAACCACCATGGCACATATATACTATGTAACAAACCTACGCATTCTTCACTTATATCCTGGAACTTAAAGTAAAAAAAAAAAAAAAAAGACAATGTCTAATTAAATGACTAAAGGCACACAGATTGCTCATCTTTGAATAAAAGACTTAGTGATGATATGGTAAATGTCTTCAAACATTTGAAGGGTTGCTGTGTGTTCACTAGGCTCCATTATGCAAAACTATACAGATGAGCAGAGATTACAGGAAGAACTTTCTCATAATCAGTTATTTAAGCAGGTACTATTTGATGACCACTTACAAGAAACTGTTGATTTCAGATTGACTTCACTTTGCTAGTAAGGTTTTGTTTTGAATAATGTTCTTTTTTATTTTTTATTTTTTTTGAGACAAAGTCTCACTCTGTTGTCCAGGCTGGAGTGCAGTGGCGCGATCTCTGGCTCACTGCAAGCTCCGCCTCCCGGGTTCATGCCATTCTCCTGCCTCAGCCTCCTGAGTAGCTGGGCCTACAGGCGCCCGCCGCCACGCCCAGCTAATTTTTTGTACTTTTAGTAGAGACGGGGTTTCACCGTGTTAGCTAGGATGGTCTCGATCTCCTGACCTTGTGATCCGCCCACCTTGGCTTCCCAAAGTGCTGGGATTACAGGCGTAAGCCACCACGCCCTGCCATAATGTTCTGTTTTAATAACTTGACCCATTCTTGAAGACCCAGAGTAATATAATGTCACAAATAATTAACCTGAAAAAGTCATTCCTGTTAGAAGCAGGTCCAGTTCAAGCCTACAGACAGGATTTTAATTACAAACAGAATGAGTCTTCAGTTTTAGTAATTCATTTAAGGTGCTTGTTGTAACTTTGTCTCAAGTATTATAAGAAAAACATATATTAATCACACTTAAATATCTACCATTTTAGTATATGTATGATTAGGGAAGACTGAATTTCCCGAGTAAACTTTAGCACACTGATATATTTGGATGTTTCATAGAATTCTTATACCTTTTTTTCTTAGAATTGGCGTGATTTGGATGCAAGAATCACTGATACAGCAAATGAATCCAAAGATAATGTCAGATATTTGTATACTTTGGAAAAAGTGTGTCAACCTCTCTATAACCATGACCTAGTAAGTATGCTTTTAAAGTACAATTTTAAACTGAGGGCAGTGGCTCGCATCTGTGATTCTAGCTACTCAGAAGGCTGAGGTGGAAGGATCGCTTGAGCCCAGGAGTGCAAGGCTGCAGTGAGCTATGGTTGTGCCACTGCATTCCAGCTTGAGTGACAGAGCAAGAAGACCCCATCTATATAAAAAAAAATAGTACAATTTAAGAAACTGACTTGTATAATTAATGCATTAAAAATCTTTAATATGTGTATATTGGGGAAAAACATCCTGCCAAAAGTTATTTAAAATATACATTTTCCTCTTATGTGTTTATGAAGAATGATAAACTATATTTAATATTTTAACCCATATTTAAATATATAGTGAATCATTAATATAGTATGTGCAAGACAAATATTAATATATTACTTATACTTTGCTGCATAACAAATAACCTCAGAACTGAGTGGCTTAAAAACAATGAGCATTCATCATGTCAGAGTTTCTGTGGCTCAGGAATCCAAGCAAGGCATAGCTAAGAGCTTCTGCTTCAAAGTCTCTCATGAGGTTGCCCACAGGCTAAGTGGGGGAGGCTGACTGGGGAGAGTCTTCTTCTCAGTTCACTCATGTGGTTATTGGAAGGCCCCAGTCCCTTGCCACGTGGGCCTCTCCACCTGGCAACTTGCTTCCCTTGGAGTGAGTGTTCCAAGAGTGAGCAAGAGAATGAGAGAACACCCAAGTTGGAATCTACCTTCTTTTAATAACCTAATCTCTGAAGTGACAGCCCATCATTTCTGTTGTATTCTATTGGCTAGAAGCAAGTGAATCTGGTTCACTCTGGGTGGGTAGGGGAGTATACAAGGGTGTGAGTACTATGTGGGTGAGCATCACTGGGGCCATCTTTGGGGCTGCCTATCAAGGTAGATATTTCCCCATTTACAGATTAGGAAACCAAAACTCATCATGGTGAGGTGACTTTGCCAGCATCACTCAGCTAATCAGGGATGCAGGACAGAACCCATCTTCTAATTTCTAGCCTACTCTTCTCATAATATTTCCATAGAGATCCTTTAAAGAACATGTTAGCACTACCATTTGCTTTTATTTTTTAGAAGTTTATATTAACTTCAAATTTATAATCTGGTATTTCATAATATTTCATATAAAATATGAAAATTAAAAAAATCTCTATCCTTTATTTAATAGAAGGAGAAGTCAAGGAAGCTAGTAGTTATTGAGAACTTAGAGCAGGATTTCCCCATTTTTCCTGGATATTACTTCTTTTGTAAATCATTTGTAGGCAGGAGGGCTGCCCAGACAGCTGCATTTTTAAAGATGTTCCCAGGCTTGAGAATCCTTGAACTTTTGTTATAGGCATTGTGCTACATGCTTTAAATATGTTTTCATTCTCTATGCACAATGACCCTCATTTCAAAGATTAGGAAACCGAGTTTGAACATTTCTATGATGATCCGTGATGGGACCAAATTGGAATCTAGCTATCTGTAGCATTATGGGTTGTATTATTTTTCCACTTTACTATGTTGCTTCTTCAAGGTATTCTCTAAGTTGAAATGCTTCCTCTTTCCTTCCTCCCCCCACCCCACCACCCCGGGATGGAGTCTCTCTCTGTCACCCAGGCTGGAGTGCAGTGGTGCTATCTCTGCTCACTGCAACCTCCGCCTCCCGGGTTCAAGCAATTCTCCTGATTCAGCCTCCTGAGTAGCTGGGATTACAGGTGCATGCCACCATGCCCGGCTAATTTTTGTATTTTTAGTAGAGACAAGGTTTCGCCACATTGGCCAGGCTGCTCTCAAACTCCCGACCTCAAGTGATCTGCCCGCCTCCACCTCCCAAAGTGCTGGGATTACAGGCGTGAGCCATCGGGCCCAACACTTTCAAATTAATTTAATTTGTGTCTGATATCTGTGTCAGTATTCTTCACTCTAATTTTTTAAGAAGTAGTCAAATCTTCCATATAGGTGGCAGCACTGGCCACATGGTTTTGTTGACCAACCTTCTTGGGTCAATGTAGGTTTCATCCCAGAGGCAGGGAGAAGGAAAGAGGTTATGGCCTATATCACTTAGACTTGGAGAAGAAGGAGGTGTAAAGGCAGTTTATAATCTTTCCAAGAGAGTGTTAGTAGTCAAGAAGTTTAATATGAAAGGGGAGGGAAAAATGTCAGTTGAGAGTCTTGGACAAGTGCATTTCTTACTGCCATGAGGAATCCATTATCCATCAGGGAGCACCATGAGAGGGGACAGGAAGACTTTAGAAGCAGAGTCTTTTAATTGAGTCCATAAAGAGATTGTCGATTTTATTTAAAACTTATTAGTATTATTTGCAAAGAGATGACTTTTTGAAAAATTACAGCTTTATTTTAGATTCGGGGGTACATGTGCAGGTTTGTTACATGGGTATATGACATGATGCTGAGGTTTGGGGTATGGATGCTGTCACCCAGGTAGTGAGTACAGTACACAATAGGAAGTTTTTCAGCTCACACCTCTCTCCCTTCCTCCCCACCAAGAATTATGACTTTCTTAAACTTCATTCTTCTCATTTTTACCCCTGCTACTAGTAGCTGGACTTGTGTTGTGAACCTTTGTAAAATTTGTTTAATATAAGAACATTTATACTATTTCTTAGGTATTTCTGTGCACGTGACCCCAAGTAAAGAAAATCAAATTGTATATGGTGTTGGAGAAGTAAGGCCTTTGCTTGGCTTACTTGGCAGCTCAATGACTTAATTCCCCAACTTTACAATGTGAGCAATTAAAATTTCTGTCCAAGAAAAATTAAAATTATTACATGTCACAAGCATTTCAGATTGCTCACAAGATTTGAAGATGCAAATATGAAATACACATAATACCTAAAGCCTACTCCAGGGCTACCGCAAGTAGCTCTTGATGTGAAAAAATAATAGATGAAGTGAATATGGCACAACGTTCACGTTTGTCAAATCTAATGATGGGAGTAGGTGGTCATTATATTTTTCTCTGTACTTTTCTATATATTTAAAGCTTTTTATTATAAAAAGTAAACTTGAAAGAAAGAATACTCTTCATTGCTATCAAGACTCCAAATTTTAAGGTATACTGATTTCAACTTCTTGATTCAAAAGACTTGTTTTAATTCATATAATTTAAAAATCATTTAGTTCTGATGTTTTTTTCATCCTAGTAATTTTAAAAAGCTTTGTTCAATTACTCTAACCATGGATGTGCCTTATTATTGTTATTTTGTTGTTGTTGAGCTTTTTATATTCTCTGATGTAGGAAGGTTTCAAGCATCACCTTTTGAAATGACAGAAGTACTAATAGCATTGAGTCATATAATTGCTTCCCACTCATACACCCACTATATCTGTACTTTCAACAATTCCTTTTTCCCCCTCATTTTCTTTATTCTGATTAAAAGTAACCAGCAATTGCTGTTTAGTTTATAACTGTCATTTGGGTAGGAAAAGTGCAGGGGATTCATGCTTCCATTTCTGGTTCATAAGTTTTATGTATGTTTCATTTTTTTAATCACCCTGGTATTGTGCTTTAGGCATATCTTACTATTATATGTTTGACATATGAGATATCTGAGCACTGTATATAGATGGACAAGAACAGTGCACTCAAGGAGCTACTATTGTAAATAATGATGTTTAAAGTTCAGATGAAGGACGTTTTCCTGAAGGACCCATTTGATGCCATCCCTGAGCCCTCTTTATTGGAGTTTAGTGGTACTTTGTAGACATGACTTAGGAAGGGTGGAAGGGACTCTTTCTAGGCATATTTTTATTAGGATCTTTTTGATCTACAGATACCATATATAATATGAATTCTGGCCTAGAAGGTTAACTATAAAGTAATGGTGTTAATTTCCATAAGCCACATAAAACTGATTTAATTATTCCATAGTTATACCCCACACCTAGGACATACCGTACAGTAATCGGTAGTTGTTTTTCTTGGCTGTATTTCTTCCATCACCATTAAAAACACATTTTATATATTTTATCTTGTCTTATCAATTAAAAGGAAAGTTCCTTGAAGGGAGGGATGCCATTGGCTTTGTCTGTTCTCCTGTAGTGATTTGCATCACGGTTAGAAGCAGGGTCTCAAAATCTCCACTATGTAACTTACAGCTGTTGGATCTTAGGCAAGGGACTTAACTTCTCTACCTCTCTGTTTTCTCATTTGCAAAATGGGAATAATGATAATACTTTATTTTATAGATTCTAAGACTTTTTTTCACATTTTAATATCCCTGAACTCAGGACATACTTTAGTCAGTTAGGTTTTGTGAATCATTGTGGATGTGACTTGATACTACCTTAAATTATTAGTTCTCTCCTTGAGGGTGTTTTTTTTGTTTTGTTTTGTTTTTGATTTTGGTGCCATTCGTATGAATTCAGACTGCAGTTGAGTACCTGTGCATACATTCTCAAAGAAGTTTGATTTCTTTCCTCCTCCTGGTAGCATGTACATTTTGTTTCTCTCTTTTTCTCCATGGTTGGTTTATTTCATGTTTACCTTAACAGGGAGGACCCACTGGTGGCCTAGTATTATGTAGGAGTTAGATTCCTCATCTTGGGTGTCTTTTTTCTTTCTTAATAGCACAGAAAATAATGGTGCAATCTTACAATCCGTGATGTTTTATATCTGATGTAATCAAACCTACCTTCAAGGGTTGTTGTCAGCATATCTTAGAATAATATGCTAACGCTCTTAGCCTAGTGCCTGGAATATAGTAAGCAGTCAGTTTATGTTCAGGATTGTTTTATATCCTTGTTGTACTTGTTCTGCTTTGCTCTACCTTTTTCTACTTGTTTTACTTGTTTGTGTTTATCTCTTCTGCTCTGTTGTGAGCTACTCATGAATAGGTTTGGATTTCTTCCAATATCTTCAGAGCCTAATGGCACTTGGTAGGATTGCTAAAACACGAACTGAGTTGCATAAAAGAAAATGAATGCTAGTCTGATTTCTATTTTAGCTGGGCTTATGACCTTAAGAAAGTCACTTTACCCCTCAAGGTATCAGTTTCTTCACCTTTAAAAAGAGCAGAATGAACTATTAACCTTAAAATGGCTCTCACCTCTAAAATTTAATTTTAGATAAACTTTTAAGTTCAGATTTACAGAAAAGTTGCAATGATAGCACAGAATTCTCTTTACCCAGTTTCTCCTGTTAACATCCTGTATTACCTTAGTTTGTTTGTCAAAACTAATGTCCTGTTATCTGTTCCAGGGTCTAGTCTAGAATACTGCATTGGATTTAGTAAAATTTGACTTTAAGCTAAAAATGCTATACTATTTTGTGTACCTTTAGAGTTTTGAGTATTATAGAATATTGGTTATTAAAACTATATGCATATGATGGAATTCACTTAATTTGTTTCAATGTTAGGTTTCCATGGCACATGGAATACAAAATTTGATTAATGCCATCAGAATGATTCACGGTGTGTCAAGGTATTATAATACCTCAGAGAGAATGACCTCATTGTTTATCAAGGTAAGTTTCTGTGGGAGGAAATTACATGTCATCCTGTGAAAAAGTTAGCAAATCTTTCCTTCTGAGCCCTAGGAAGGGAATTTGGAAGCCTAAGTGCCTCTCAGAGTTTTAATACTTCCAGTGGACAAGAAGAGAAAGGCGTTGACTGGACTCAGTTGTACTTAATTGAAGGGAGTAATTGGTACTTTTCTGTTTATCAGATGTAAGCCCCAATACTTAAAGAAAATGTGCCTGGTGGTTTTTTAATTTATTCATTTCAAATAGTTTTGATTCTACCCAAGAGATAGGAGTGTGTCTACTATTAACAGTGCTTCTTTAGCTACTCCCATGAACACTATAGTTTGTGTAAAATTTTCCTGTGTAGCGCCGCATGGTTAATTATTTAAAATAATTTTTTAAAAATGATTAAACAATATATATTTAAATTTGCTAGCCAATGTCATTCTTTTTTTTATTATACATTAAGTTTTAGGGTACATGTGCATAATGTGCAGGTTAGTTACATATGTATACATGTGCCATGTTGGTGTGCTGCACCCATTAACTCGTCATTTAACATTAGGGATATCTCCTAATGCTATCCCTCCCCCCTCCCTCCACCCCATGACAGGCCCCAGTGTGTGATGTTCCCCTTCCTGTGTCCGTGTGTTCTCATTGTTCAATTCCCACCTCTAAGTGAGAACATGCGGTGTTTGTTTTTTTGTCCTTGCGATAGTTTGCTGAGAATGATGGTTTCCAGCTTCATCCATGTCCCTACAAAGGACATGAATTCATCGTTTTTTATGGCTGCATAGTATTCCATGGTGTGTATGTGCCACATTTTCTTAATCCCGTCTATCATTGTTGGACATTTGGCTTGGTTCCAAGTCTTTGCTATTGTGAATAGTGCCGCAATAAACATACGTGTGCATGTGTCTTTATAGCAGCATGATTTATAATCCTTTGGGTATATACCCAGTAATGGGATTGCTGGGTCAGATGGTATTTCTAGTTCTAGATCCCTGAGGAATCGCCACACTGACTTCCACAATGGTTGAACTAGTTTACAGTCCCACCAACAGTGTAAAAGTGTTCCTATTTCTCCACATCCTCTCCAGCACCTGTTGTTTCCTGACTTTTTAATGATCGCCATTCTAACTGGTGTGAGATGGTATCTCATTGTGGTTTTGATTTGCATTTCTCTGATGGCCAGTGATGATGAGCATTTTTTCATGTATCTTTTGGCTGCATAAATGTCTTCTTTTGAGAAGTGTCTGTTCATATCCTTTGCCCACTTTTTGATGGGGTTGTTTGTTTTTTTCTTGTAAATTTGTTTGAGTTCATTGTAGATTCTGGATATTAGCCCTTTGTCAGATGAGTAGATTGCAAAAATTTTCTCCCATTCTGTAGGTTGCCTGTTCACTCTGATGGTAGTTTCTTTTGCTGTGCAGAAGCTCTTTAGTTCAATTAGATCCCATTTGTCAATTTTGGCTTCTGTTGCCATTGCTTTTGGTGTTTTAGACATGAAGTCCTTGCCCATACCTATGCTCTGAATGGTATTGCCTAGGTTTTCTTCTAGGGTTTTTATGGTTTTAGGTCTAACATTTAAGTCTTTAATCCATCTTGAATTAATTTTTGTATAAGGTGTAAGGAAGGGATCCATTTTCAGCTTTCTACATATGGCTAGCCAGTTTTCCCAGTGCCATTTATTAAATAGGGAATCGTTTCCCCATTTCTTGTTTTTGTCAGGTTTGTCAAAGATCAGATAGTTGTAGATATGCGGCATTATTTCTGAGGGCTCTGTTCTGTTCCATTGGTCTATATCTCTGTTTTGGTGCCAGTACATGCTGTTTTGGTTACTGTAGCCTTGTAGTATAGTTTGAAGTCAGGTAGCGTGATGCCTCTAGCTTTGTTCTTTTGGCTTAGGATTGACTTGGCAATTTTTTGCCAGGGCTCTTTTTTGGTGCCATATGAACTTTAAAGTAGTTTTTTCCAATTCTATGAAGAAAGTCATAGGTAGCTTGATGGGGATGGCACTGAATCTATAAATTACCTTGGGCAGTATGGCCATTTTCACGATATTGATTCTTCCTACCCATGAGCATGGAATGTTCTTCCATTTGTTTATATCTTCTTTTATTTCCTTGAGCAGTGGTTTGTAGTTCTCCTCGAAGAGGTCCTTCACATCCCTTGTAAGTTGGATTCCTAGGTATTTTATTCTCTTTGAAGCAATTGTGAATGGGAGTTCACTCATGATTTGGCTCTCTGTTTGTCTGTTATTGGTGTATAAGAATGCTTGTGATTTTTGCACATTGATTTTGTATCCTGAGACTTTGCTGAAGTTGCTTATCAGCTTAAGGAGATTTTGGGCTGAGACGATGGGGTTTTCTAGATATACAATCATGTCATCTGCAAACAGGGACAATTTGACTTCCTCTTTTCCTAATTGAATGCCCTTTATTTCCTTCTCCTGCCCGATTGCCCTGGCCAGAACTTCCAACACTATGTTGAATAGGAGTGGTGAGAGAGGGCATCCCTGTCTTGTGCCAGTTTTCAAAGGGAATGCTTCCAGTTTTTGTCTATTCAGTATGATATTGGCTGTGGGTTTGTCATAAATAGCTCTTATTATTTTGAGATACATCCCATCAATACCTAATTTATTGAGAGTTTTTATCATGAAGGGTTGTTGAATTTTGTCAAAGGCCTTATCTGCATCTGTTGAGATAATCATGTGGTTTTTGTCTTTGGTTCTGTTTATATGCTGGATTATGTTTATTGATTTGTGTACGTTGAACCAGCCTTGCATCCCAGGGATGAAGCCCACTTGATCATGGTGGATAAGCTTTTTGATGTGCTGCTGGATTCGGTTTGCCAGTATTTTATTGAGGATTTTTGCATCCATGTTCATCAGGGATATTGGTCTTTTTTAAAATAATTTGAGAAATTACTCAAGCAACACATGAGACCAGGCATGGTGGTTCAGGCTGTAATCCCAGCGCTTTGGGAGGCTGAGGTGGGAGGATCGCTGGAGCTCACGAGTTTGAGACCAACCTGGGCAACATAGAGAGACCTTGGCTCTACAAAAAAAAATTTTTTTAAGTTAGCTGGGCATGGTGGTGTGTGCCTGTAGTCCTAGCTATTCCAGAGGCTGAGGCAGGAGGATCCCTTGAGCCTGGGAGTTCAAGAATGCAGTAAGCTGTGATAACACCATGGCACTCCAGCCTAGGCAAGAGAGAAAGACCCTGTCTCAAAAAACAAACAAACAAACAAACAAACAAACAAACCACCACCAACGAAAAAACCCACATGAATAGAATTTATTTGTAAATTATTCAAGCATAACGAAATATATAAAGTCATAGTCACATTTTAAGTTTTTTTAAAAAGCAAAGTATAGGCTTAATCACTATGTCCTAAATACGACAAGACTCTCAGAATCCTTCCTCTTTACCTGTCTCTCTCATTCTTGCCATATATGTCCCACATTGAGATCATTTTTAGTTCTGACAATGATTCTTTGCTTGGCTTCTGAATCTTCTGGTAGGCCCACCTTTGCACTTTCTAGTGAAATCTAGTTTGAGCAAAGAACCCTGCTAAGTCAGTTTAGCAAGAACCCCCCATTCTTGATATCTGATGACTCTAGATATCTGATCAGGTTTTCATTCCCCCCAACCCCCCAGGTGTTGTCTGATCACTTTGGCCTGTCTTCAGCAAGAATCCTGTTAGGTCAGTTTAACCAAAATCCCCCTTACCTCTGATGTTTCCTCTTAATAATTTTCCACCCACTGACTCCCATCCTGCCCCTTGGCTATACATTCCTGCTTGCCCATGCTGTGTTCAGAGTTGAGCCCAATCTCTCTTTCCTGCTACAAGATCCCATTGCAGTGGTCCCTATACCTATCACAATGGTCCTGAATAAAGTCTCTTGCTTTGCAAGTATCACTGAATAATTTTTTAACAGTTCCATATTATTCTTAACATTTTTTTCAACATTGTGAATCAACAAGTATTCAGACTAAAATCCAAGTATTGCTAATTTATTTATCACCACTGTTTTGTGATTCCCACATCTTTTTCCTTCTTGGATTCATTATTTCTTTTGCTGAAAAAATTCTTTCAGAGAGGTTTCAGGGTGGTGAACTTCCTGGATTTCTACATGTCTGAAAATCACTTTCATTTTGTCTGATCACTCAAATGCTAGTGTGACTTGGATTTTAAATTCGACATCATTGTCTCCTGGGAAGTTGAAGATATTGCTCAATCATTGTCTAGTATTCAGTATTGTTGAGGAGAAGCTTGGTGCTAATATGATTCTTGTTTCCTTTGTAGGTAACTAGTTTTATTCTCCCAGGAAGCTTTTAGGATTTTTTTTCTTTATCTTTGAATTTCTAAAATCTCAAACTTTTTTTTTTTACATTTATCTTGTTCTACACTTGCTGAGTTGTCTCAATCCAAAGACTTTCCTTTCTCTTTATTCCTGAGAAACAGTCCTCTTTTGCCTGGGATTATTTCTAGCTCACTGATATGGTTTGGATATTTGTCCCCTCCAAATCTCATGTTGAAATGTGATCCTCAGTGTTGGAGATGGGGCCTGGCAGGAAGTGTCTGGGCCATGGGGGTGGATCCCTCATGAATGGTTTGGTGCCCTCCTTGTGGTAATGACTTCATGCAACAGCTGATTGTTTAAAAGATCCTGGCATCTCTCTCTTGCTTGCTCTCATATGAGGCCAGTTCCCACTTTGCTTTCTACCATGATTGTAAGCTTCCTGGGGTCGTCATCAGAAGCAGATGCCGGTGCTATGCTTCGTGTACAGCCTACAGAGCTGTGAGCCAAATAAACCTCTTTTCTCTATAAATTACCCATTCTCAGGTATTCCTTGATAGCAATGTAAATGGACTAACACACCTACCCATTCAATTTATTCTCTCCCCTTGCATCTAACTTCCATTTCTCTTAATTTTTTTCTTCCATCTTTGCCCTTTTCTGGCTCACTCATTTGCTCTTCATTTTTTTTTTGGATTGTATTTTATTTATTTATTATTATTATTTTAAATTTTATTATTATTATACTTTCAGTTTTAGGGTACATGTGCACAATGTGCAGGTTTGTTACATATGTATACATGTGCCATGTTGGTGTGCTGCACCCATTAACTCGTCATTTAGCATTAGGTATATCTCCTAATGCTATCCCTCCCCCCTCCCCCCACCCCACAACAGTCCCCAGAGTGTGATGTTCCCCTTCCTGTGTCCATGTGTTCTCATTGTTCAGTTCCCACCTATGAGTGTTGCTCTTCATTTTTGTACCAATTGATGGTCAGTTCATCAATAGAATTTGTTTTAAAATTCTGACAATGAAAATTCCAATTTCAAGTTCTCTAGTTTTTTTTTAATGTTATTATTATTATTTTTTATTTTTAGAGACAGGGTCTCATTCTGTTTCCCAGGCTGGCTTTGAACTTCTGGGCTCAAGTTACCCTCCCACCTTGGCCTCCCAAAGTACTGGGATTACAGGCATGAGCCACTGCACTTGGCCCATAGGTTTATTCTTTATCATATTTTTATGCTTGTGGTTTGAAATTTATATATAAATGTTATTTCTCTTTTTACATATAATTATTTTGTACCTATATTTATTTCAGGTAACAAATCAAATGGTAACAGCATGTAAAGCATATATTACTGATGGAGGATTAAACCATGTATGGGATCAGGAAACGCCAGTTGTACTAAAGAAAATTCAGGTTTGTAGAAGTACTTTTATTTTCATAAACTAAATCTTTTCCCATCCTGCCCAATTTTACTTTGTTTATTCACAAAATATGTTAACTGAAAAAACTTCCTACAGAGTAGTGTTGAGAATATAAAAAGAATACAATTCTTATTATCTATTTCCCTTTATATTTAGTGCTTCTCTGAGGGTAAAATTTAATTCTCATCTCCTCCATGGCTGCCTGTGTTAGACTCCTGTGTGCCATTTCATACGCTCTGGCCCCTACATCTCATTCCAGCCTGTTACAATTAAAATTTTTGCCTTTTTTTGCATTGGTTAGGATTACCATGTATCCTTAAATAGACATGGTAGTAGTTGCCATCCTAATTTTGATCCTGGTTTAGAAGACAATGTTTCTAACGTTTCCCCCATTTAGTTGGATGCTTTTGTAAGATTTAAATATATCTTTGATCAGATTAGTTTAGTACCAAGAGATATTTTTTAAAGTTATGAATGGGATTTGGAAAATTTTCTTCTGCATATATTTATTGAGATGCTTATAGAATTTTGCTCCTCAGTCTGTTAATGTGATAGATGACATTTTTAGACTTTCTAAAATTAAACTGTCCTAACGTTTCTGGGTAAACTCAACTTGGTCGTGGTGTAATTATCTTTTTAAAAAACACTCAAATTCAGTTTGCTACAGTTTTGTTTAGGATTTTTGGAAGCTGTATTGGTGAGAGAGAGAACCTGTAATTTTCCTTTCTTATGCTGACCTTGTCTGTGTTTTGGCATCAATGTCTCAGAATAAATGGAGGGTGGGGGGAAGTATTTTCTATTTTCTGAAAAAGTTTGTATAAAATTAAAGTGACCTGTTCATTGAAAGTTTGAAAGAAATGGCCACAGCAGGAAGGCTCCATCTGGAAGTGGTTATTGGTCATCTCTGTGTGCAGGTTCCCTGGTCTTCGTAGTGCCAAGGTGTGTGGCTTGAACAGGGAGGTCAAGTTTGAAAAGTGGCCCAGTGCCCTCCACCCAGGATGGGAACCATTATTCCCACAGGCCTGGTGCTGACCTGCCATCCTGGCCAGGGCACTGCTATCACCCTTGCTCTGACCTCTGAACTGGAGGATAAGAAGAGGAAGAATTGCAGTTAGTGTTTCTCATGCTGAAAACAGTTGATCCCAAGGACTGGAAGAATCAGGATCATTATGCAGTTCTTGGACTTAGCCATGTAAGATACAAAGCTACACAGAGACAGATCAAAGCAGCTCATAAAGTAGTGGTTTTAAAACATCATGGAAAGCAGCCAGTGAACCAATAAAAGAAAGGGATAATGACTACTTCACTTGCATCACTGAAATTATAAAATGTATGACCCAGTGAAAAGAGGAGCATTTAACAGTGTAGATCATACATTTGGAAACTCAGTTCCTTCTAAAAGTGAAGCAAGGGATAGTTTCTTTGAAGTGTTTTTCCCACTATTCGAAAATAATTCCAGATGGTCCAAAAAAAGTTTCTAAACCTGGTGTTATGAATTCATCATTTTATTCCTTCTGGTATAGTTTTTATGCTTGGACAGAGTTTTCTTATTTAAATACAGAAGAAAAAAAAGCAGAATATTGTGACAAGAGAGGGATTGAAAAGAAGAACAGAGCAACAAGAGCTCAAAGAAAGAAAGAAGAAATGAATTGAAAACATTAGTTGATAATACACATAGCTGTGATACAAGGATAAAAAAATTCAAAGAACAGAAAGCCAAGGCCAGGCATAGTGGCTCATGTCTGTGATTCTTGCACTTTGGGAGACCAAGACGGGTGGATCCCTTGAGCCCAGGAGTTCGAGACCAGCCTGGGCAACATGATGAAACCCTGTCTCTACAAAAAACTTAGCCAGGTGTGTTGGTGCGCACCTGTAGTCCCAGCAACTTGGGAGGCTGAGGTAGGATAATTGCTTGAGCCTGGGAGGCTGAGGCTGAGTGAGGTGAGCCGTGATCACACCACTGCACTCCAGCTTGGGTGAGAGCAAGACTCTGTTTCAACATTAAAAAAAGAAGAGAAAGCCGAGAAAGAAGCAAGATGGAAGAAGCGAGAGGCTAAAGAAAAACAAAGACAAGCTGAATTAGAAGCTGCTTGAATAGCTAAGGAGAAAGAAGAGGAAGTTAAATAAGGAGCATTGTTGGCAAAGAAGGGAAAAGATATCCAGAAAAGAGTTGTTAAAAGGAAAAGACAAACCTTCAAAATTCAAGGAAGACCTGAAATCACTTTTTCTGACAATAAGTGGAGCAGCTTAAAAAGGTGGAAGAAGTGGAAAAACTTTGTGATAGGCTTCAACTAGCAAGTTTATAGCACTTCAGTGAAATACCTCATCTACAAAAACACTAGGAATGGCTGCTCTCCTAAAAACGGAAGAAATAAATGAGCCAATTAGAACAGAGAAAGAGGAAGGGGAGGCTTGTGTGTGACAAGCATCTAAGAATGCAGAGAAATCAACTGTCGAAGGTGGAAATGGCAGTAAAAATTGGTCAGAGGAGCATTGGTCTGCAGTTACTAATTAAAGCCATAGGCCCCTTTTCTGCATGAACAAATTCAATATGGGAAGTTATTACCAATTATATGAACACACATTCTTTTTTTGGAGTCAAGAGAACTTTTTGGCAAAGAAAATTGAGCCTCTAAAAACTTGACCCTCACAAAAAAAAGATGACAAAAAAGGCTTTGGATAACCTTTAAAAGAACATGGAATAGTCTCTCAAGTACATGAAGTAGGCCTCCTTCAGATGTACCTGAAGATGAGGAAAAATAGAGGGAGCAGTGCCTGGCAGGACAAAAGAGGACCTCAGGAAACAATATAAGGAAGTTGTTGAGGTGGTAAAGGCAATGAAATGCCCAGGAGCAACTGCTGAATGCAAATGGAGCCGAGAAATGACTTATGGACAGTCTTTGTTGTGTATGCATTTAAAAACTAAAACTGATAATTGGAGATGCTAAGCACCTTTTCAAATGCCTGCTGGCTATTTGTATGTTTTTTTTTTGAGAAATGTCTTTTGAGGTCCTTTGTCCATTTTTTAAATGTTTTTTTTTGAGACGGAGTCTCGCTCTGTTGCCCAGGCTGGAGTGCAGTGGCACAGTCTTGGCTCACTGCAACCTCTGCCTCCCAGGTTCAAGCAATTCTCCGGTTTCAGCCTCCTGAGTAGCTGGGATTACAGATGCCTGCCACCATGCCCAGGTAATTTTTGTATTTTCAGTAGAGACAAGGGTTTCACCATGTTGGCCAGGCTGGTCTTGAACTCCTGACCTCAAGTGATCCTCCTGCCTCAGCCTCCCAAAGTGTTGGGATCACAGGCGTAAGCCACTGCGCCTGGCCTCATTTGCTCATTTTAAAATCAGGTTATTTATTTTCTTCCTATTGAGTTGTTTGAGTTCCTTATATATTTTGGGAATAAACCTCTATTAGATATATGGTTTGCAAATACTGTCTTCCAGTCTAGAGGTTGTCTCTTCACTCTGTTTTCTTTTCTGTGCAAAAGCTTTATAGTTTGATACAATCTCATTTGTTTTTTTTGTTTTTGTTGCCTGTACTTTTGGGGTCACGTCCAAAAAATCATTGCCAAGTAGCTTTTCCCCGACATTTTCCTCTAGTAATTTTACAGTTTCAGGTCTTATCTTTACATGTTTAATCCACTTTAGGTTGACTTTTGTATGTCATATGAAACGATGGTTCAATTTTATTGTTTTGCATGTGGATATCCAGTTTTCCTAAGACCATTTATTGAAGAGACTGCCCTTTCCTCATTGTGTGTTCTTGGCACCTTTGTCAAAGATCAGTTGACCATAATGCATGGATTTATTTCTGGGTTCTCCATTCTGTTTCATTGGTCTATGTGTCTGTTTCTATGCCAGTACTATGCTGTTTTGATTACTATAGCTTGGTAGTATATAAAAATATACTACAGTATAAAATCAGGCAGTGTGATGCCTCCAGCTTTGCAAATTAAAAACCACAATGAAATATCAGCTCACACTTGTTAGAATGCCTACTACAGAAAAAGACAAATGATAGCAAGTGTTGGTGAGGATGTGCATGCTCTTGGTAGGAATGTAAATTAGTGTAGCCATTATGAAACATAGTATAGAGGTTCCCCCCAATATTAAAAATAGAACTACCATATGATCCAGCAATCTCATTTCTGGGTAAATATTTAAAGGAAATGATATAACTGTCTCAAAGAGATATCTGCATTCTTATATTCATTGCAACATTATTCACAATAGCCAAGATGTGGAAACAACCTAAGTGCCTGTTGACAGATGAATGGATAAAGAAAATGGGGTATATAGGGTATGTATGTATATATGTATGTGTTTGTATGTGTGTGTGTGTGTGTTTGTGTATGGATACATATATATAATGGAATATTATTCAGTCTTTACAAAGAAGGAAATATTGTCATTTTTGACAACATGGCTGAACTTTATTTCATTATGCTAAGTGAAATAAGCCAGGCACAAAGACAAATACTGCCTTTTTTCACCTCTATGTGGAATCTAAAAAAGTCAAACTCTTAGAAGTGGAGAGTAGAATGGTGGTTACCAGGGGCTGGAGAGGGATGGCACAATGACGAGATATTGGTGAAAGAGTACAAATTTTCAGTTATGCAGGATGAATAAATTCTGGAGATGTAATGTACTGTATGATGACTATAGTACACAATACTGTTTTGTTTTTGTTTTTTGAGACAAGGTCTGGCTCTGTTGCTCAGGCTGGAGTGCATTGGTGCCATCTCAGCTCAATGCAACCTCCGCCTCCTGGGCTCAAGCCATCCTCCCACCTCAGCCTCCCTAGTCACTGGGACTACAGGCATGCACCATGTATTGTATACTTGACATTTGCTAAGAAAGTAGGTCACACCCCCAACCCCAAAAAGTAATTCACACCCCCCACCCCAAAAAATAACTATGTGAAGTGAGGATGTGCTAATTAGCTTGATTTTGGAACATTTCACAATGTATACATCTTTCAAAACATCATGTTGTATACCTTAAATATATATAATTTTTATTTGTCAATTATACCTCAATAAAACTGGAAAAAAATAAAACTGGAAATACTGAACAAAAAGCAAGTCTGATAGAAATCATCTGTTAAGCATCTAGGATCGACATTTTCTTTGTGAAAAGATTTTTAATTTCCTGCTTCTCTTTTTGTATAATTAAAAATTTTTAATTATGATAAAAATAGCATAAAATTTACTATTTTAACCATACAGTTCAGTGGCATTAACTACATTCACAGTGTTTTGCAACCATCACTGCTATCCATTTCAGAACTTTTTCATCATTCTAAACTGAAACTCTGTAGCCATTAAATAATTCCCCAAACTCAGGCCAGACGCGGTGGCTCACGCCTGTAATCCCAGCACTTTGGGAGGCTGAGGCGGGCAGATCACCTGAGGTTAGGAGTTCAAGACCAGCCTGGCCAACATGGTGAAACACCGTCTCTACTAAAAATACAAAAATTAGCTGGGTGTGGTGGCAGGCTCCTGTAGTCCCAGCTACTCAGGAGGCTGAGGCAGGAGAATCACTTGAACCTGGGAGGCGTAGATTGCAGTGAGCCGAGATGGCACCATTGCACTCCAGCCTGGGCAACAAGAACAAAACTCCATCTCAGGAAAAAAAAAAAAATTCCCCAAACTCTCTGCCCTAGCCCCTAGTAACTTGTATTTACTGTCTCTCTTTATGAATTTGCCTATTCTAGGTACCTCAAATAAGTGGAATTAAACAATATTTGTTCTTTTGTGTCTGGTTTATTTCACTTTGTGCAATATTTTCATCTACGTTCTAGCATGTATCAGAATTTGATTCCCTTTATAGCTGAGTAATATATTCCATTGTATGTATAGTCCATATATTTTTATCCATTCCTCTGCTGATGCACATTTGGTTTGTTACTACCTTTTGGCTATTGTGAATAATGCGGCTATGAACATTTGGTGTGTAAGTATCTGTTTGAGTCCCTGCTTTCAATTCTGCTGGGTGTATTCCTAGAAGGGAAATTGTTGGGTCTTATGGTAATTCTATGTTTAACTTTTTGAGTTCCTGCCAAACAATTTTCCACAGTGGCTGCACCATTTTACATTTCCACCAGCAATGCAGGAGGGTTCCAATTTCTTCATCTCCTTGCCAACACTTTTTATTTTCTATTATTTTGATAAGAGCCATTCTAATGTGTATGGAGTGAAGTGACATCTCATTGTTGTTTTGATTTGCTTTCCCTAGTGGCTAGTGATGGCTGAGCATCTTTTCATATGCTTATTGGCCCTTTGTATATCTTTGGAGAAATATTTACTCAGGCCCTTTCTCCATTTTTGAATTGGGTTGTTTGGGTTTTTTGTTGTTGTTGTTGTTGAGTTGTAGGATTTCTTTATATATTCTGGATATTAATTCCTTATCATATATATGCTTTGCAAATACACTATTGCTTATTTGTCTATTTATTTATTTTGCTTGTTCGTTTTGAGACAAAGCCTCACTCTGTCACCCAGGCTGGAGTGCAGTAGCCTGATCAAGTTCACTGCCTCCTTGACCTCCTGGGCTCAAGGGCTCCTCCTACCTCTGCCTCCTAAGTAGCTGGGACCATGGGTGCATGCCATCATGCTTGGGTAATTTTTTTATTTTTGTAGAGACAAGGTTTTGCTATGTTGCCCAGGTGGTCTCAAACTCCTGAGCTTAAGCCATCATCTGCCTTGGCCTCCCAAAGTGCTGGGATTACAGGCATGAGCCACCACACCCGGCCTGTTTATTAAAAAAAAAACTATTTGACTATACTTTCTGTTTCTTCTTGAGTCAGTTTTAGTAAGTTGATATTCTTGGGGAATTTCCCCAATTTGTCTAAAATTTGTAATTTATTGACTTATTGTTGATAATATTATCTTACTAAACTTTGTCTTACTATATAAGATGTCTCCTTATTTACTAATATTATTTATCTTCTTTCTGTTTTCCTAATCATTCTTGCTCCCCTCATACCCAGATTCAAAACAACTTATCATCTTCCTAGGAGTTTCTCATTTCTGTTGTTTTTATTGCTACTTGCAGGATTCCATGTTTTCCTCTAGAGCTTCTCTTGTTATTTTTGGGAATAGGAGTCAGAAATTACTCCCCCCAAATTTGCCAATTGGCAGGAACCATAACTCTTTACATAGAATTTAGCAATGTAGTCTCATTATTCTTTTAAGGTCCTAAAGATTACTAGCCATTTACTGACTGAATTAGAAATGGGAACTTGGTTTTCTGAATTCTAGTTCAATGTTTCTATTACATCTGAAATGTTTTCAGGAAACTTTCAGTGTATACTTTTTAGGAATAATTTTTGGATGAGTTGGAGGAAACAATGAGAATTGTTACTCAGAATCTTATCTGAGAACTGTTATTCAGAGCCAACTCATTTAAAAAAATTTTTTTATTATACTTTAAGTTCTGGGATACATGTGCAGAATGTGCAGGTTTGTTACATAGGTATACACGTGCCATGGTGGTTTGCTGCACCTGCCAACCCGTCATCTACATTAGGTATTTCTTCTAATGCTATCCCTCCCCTAGCCTCCCAAGCCAGCTCATTTTTGTTGAATGAGTGAAAAATAATCAGAGACCTCAAAGAGAGCAATGATAATTGTTTTGGAGATTGTGATAGAGGAAAGAATGAGGCCAATTATTCTCAGATCTGAATATTTATAGGAATCACTATAGGAGAGCTAGTTAAAAATATAGATTTCTAAGTCCCACTTGCAGAAATTCTGATTTAGTGGCTGCAGTGGGCAGAATAACGGCCCCCAAAGATGTCTGTGTGCTTATCCTCAGAACCTATCCATAGGTTATGTTACATATGGCAAGGGGTGATTAAGGTTGCAGATGGAATTAAAGTGCTGATCAGCTGATATGGGGATTACCCAAGTGGGCCCAATGTTTAAGGGTTCTTATGTGGGCAAGAGGAGGCAGAAGAGTCAGAATCTGAGAAATGGTGTTATGATAAAGATTTGACTGGGTATTGATGGTTTCAAAAAAGTTTAACATTAACAAAAAAGATTTGGTGTTTAGGAAATGTTAGCTTGACATAATAGTTAATTCCTACTCTACCCAGCAATCTTATTCTCTTTTTTATTTCTATTATGTTCACAAACCAGACCAGTATATCTGTAGTCAAATATTAGGATTTCAGCAATGTACTCATCAAAGACTTTATGACCCTCTTTTGGAAAAATGATTGTCAGATGATAGCTTCGTATGACAGAAACTTCATATTTTATATACCTGCGCATAAAGAATGCTGATTCTAAGATGGATGCGAACTGAATAGAGATGTCTTGATAGATAATTTCTGGACCTCTTGGGAGTTCTAATTGTCATGAAAATGTAAAAACAAATAGTATATGGTATGCTTTGATGTAGGATAAGAGTTAAAGGAAAACAATGAGGATGAATAAAAGTGAGGTTGAAATGAGGATGAAAATATGGTATAAATAAAAAAAAACTATACAGATTTTCACAGTTTGATCAGTTCTGTGTGAGGGTAGAGTTTTTGAATTTTCGATTCCTGAACAAATGTCTCACTTTCTTTTCCCTATTTCTTTTACTTTTCTCATAGGACTGCATTTTTCTATTCAAGGAATATCAGGCATCTTTTCATAAAACAAGGAAACTGATTTCAGAATCCTCAGGGGAAAAATCTTTTGAGGTTTCAGAAATGTATATATTTGGAAAATTTGAAGCTTTTTGCAAAAGACTGGAGAAGGTAAGCATTATGCAGTCATCGTACCCCACTCCACACCACACCTTTTTGGTGATTTTGTACTTTATGTAGTGCCATTGAGAATTATTGTTCCTGATCTCTTGTCCACTATTGTTATGACTTGTCTAATATTACTTATAGGTCACTGCATTTTATTATAACTTATTTTTTCATTCCTGGTTACTGCCTTCTGCCAGTAACACAAACGCTATGGTCAACTTTCACATCTCTCAAGACCTCAGTTTACCTCTACCTATGAAACTTCAACTTAAAAGGCTCTGCTTTTAACTGTTATATTAGGCTGAGAAAAAGTATGAGATGAAATACCTGCAATGCCTGATAGAAGTCAGTAGTTGTGGAATCTCCGGATGTATAAGCATGTCCTCTTTCTGAGCCAGTGTATATGGTGTATACAAAAACATTGTGCGGGTGATATCTTTTCTGGACAGACATAGGTTTGATTAATTTATTAGGACTGGTTGGGAAGGAGTGACATTTTTTTGGGGGATATAGGCCAGCCCATATCAGAGACTTCTTGGAGTCATCCTTTGAAAAGTCTGTAAAGATCTCATTTAGGTATTCTTCCCCCAACTTCGCTAATTCCCTGGATCCTGCTAGTATTTAGAATCTTGTTCATCATTTGTTGGAAAGTAATGCGGAACATTACATAGGTTGAAGACCTAGACATGTTTGGAAGCCTATTTTTATTAGTAACTTCCTGATCAAGCCAGGACAGGAAAGTATGAGTAATGAACAGAACCAAGTTGCTGAGTGGGATCCTTCATACATACTTCTTTGAAGCTGTTTTTTAAATTTGTTTCTTTAACAGCTTTATTGAGACATAATTAATATACTATTTACCCACTTACAACTGTACAAGTCAATGTTTTCTAGTGTATTAACAGGGTTGTGCAATCATTACCACAATCTAATTTTAGAACATTTTCACTCCCACTAAAAGAAACCTTATGTCCATTATCAGTCACACCCCATTCTCTCCTCTCCCCAGTTTTAAGCAACCACTAATCTACTTTCTGTCTCTATAGATGTACCTCTTCTGGACACTTTATATAAATGAAATCATACAATATGTGGTCTTTTGTGGCTACTTTCACTTAGCATAATGTTTTCAAAGCTCATCTATATTATACCATTTTTCAGAACTTCATTCCATTCATCATTGAAGAATATTCCATTGTACGGATAATATCAGTTTATTTTTCTACTCATCAGTTGATGAACATTGGGATTATTTCCTCTTTTTGGCTATTATGAATAATGTTGCTATGAACATTTGTGTACAAGAGTTTGTGTGGGCATATGTTGTCATTTCTCTTGGGTATATGTGCAGAAGTAGAATTGCTAGGTCATATGGCAAATCCATGTTTAACTTTTTGTTGATAACCCCAACTATTTGCCAAAGTAGCTGCATCATTTTGCATTCTAACAGCAAAGTATGAGGTTTATGATTTCTTTTTTTTTTTTTTTTTGAGACGGAGTTTTGCTCTTTCGCCCAGGCCAGAGTGCAGTGGCGTGATCTCGGCTCACTGCAAGCTCCACCTCCCGGGTTCACGACATTCTCCTGCCTCAGCCTCCCGAGTAGCTGGGACTACAGGTGCCCGCCACTACGCCCGGCTAATTTTTTGTATTTTTAGTAGAGACAGGGTTTCACCGTGTTAACCAGGATGGTCTCGATCCTCTGACCTTGTGATCCACCCACCTCGACCTCCCAAAGTGCTGGGATTACAGGCATGAGCCACCACGCCCAGCTGAGGTTTATGATTTCTTCATATCCTTGCCAACATTTGTTATTATCTGTCCTTTTGAATTTAGCCATTCTACTGGGTATGAAGTGGTATCTCATTGAAGTTTTGATTTGCATTTCCCTGAGGGCTAATGATGTGGAGCATATTTTGATGTACTTTTGCCCATTTGTATATCTTCTTTTAAAAAACATCTATTCAGATTCTTTGCATATATTTAACTGAGTTATTTGTCTTTTTATTGTTGAGTTGTAGGAGTTCTTTATATATGCTGGGTATAACTTCCTTATCAGATATATGATTTACACGTATTTTCTCTTATTTTTGGGTTATCTTTTCACTTTCTTGATGGTGTCCTTTGAAGTACGATAGTTTTTAATTTTAATGAAGTTCAATTTATCATGTTTTTCTTTTGTTTTCTTTGTGTTTTTAATGTCATATCTAAGGAAGTGTTGTGTGGGGCTGTTTTATGCACAATAGATTTTTTTAAACATTTTTATTTATTAAATTAAAAAAATTGAGATGGGGTCCTGTTTGTGTTACTCAGGCTGGAGTGCAGTGGCATGATCATAGCTCACTTCAGCCTTGAACTCCTCAGCCTTCTGAGTAGCTGGGACTACAAGCATATACCACCATGCCTAGCTAATTAAACTTTTTTTTTTTTTTTTTTTTTTTTTTTGTAGAGATGGGGTCTTGCTATGTTGATGAGCTGGTCTTGAACTCCTGGCCTCAAGCAGTCCTCCTTCCTCAGCCTCCCAAAGTGCTGGAATTATAGGCATGAGCCACTGTGCTCAGCCAATAGGGATTTTTTTGGGGGCAAATGTTCAGTTAGGCTACTAGCACAAGTCAAATTAATAAATAGGTCTCATTGGTCAGGACAAAGATGCTTAATGTTCTGACTCCACTAGAGCAAAAACCTGGAGGTGGGTCTCAGTTACCCCTACCCCTATTTTCCTGGAGCCAGAACCCTTGCCCACCTGGGTGTCGCTTTGAAATTTGTAGTTTCAGGACTAAACCTTATTAGTGGTAAAGATCTTTGGGGGTGGGTCTAATGCTGAGTAGAATGGTCATCCATCTGTGAAATAGCAGCCCAGGAATTCCTCTGATGCTAGAGGAAGTGGTCTGTAATGACCAGCTGCATCAGCTGCACCCACTCTGGTCTCTGGAGAAGCCCTGCCTCTAGTTTGAAGAATACAACTTCAAGCCACAAGTGCTCAGCAACCAGAGCTAAGGTAGCACCCCCTAGAGGCCTTACCTGAAATGCATCCTGATTGCTAGGTTATCCCAGCTCCTCTGTGCTAAGAACGACAGACCGGCATCTTTCCCATTGGATAATTGGTGGATATTGGTGTCCAGACTCTCAAAGGTGGGGCTGGCGAACTTAACCCTGAAGTATGTCCAGGATTTTACATAATCCACAAGAGGTGGTTACTGAGCTGCCCAGGTGGGCTTCCTCTGATGAGTGGGGTACGGAAGGGGCAACTGTTTGACTACCCTTGTGAACTCTTGCATAGATGAAGAGGAGAGCCACAAGTGTGCACTAAGAGCCTATTAGGGAAGGCCGAGATTCGAAGTTGGAATGACCAAGTGGCAAAGTCGAAGGGCAGACAAGACTGATGTTGGGGTTGGAGAGCTGAGATTTCAGAGTTAGACAGATATGTTGGGGCCCTTCGAGGAGTAAGTGAAGAAGGCTCTAGTGTGTCAGTGTTAGGATGCCTGAAACACATCTTTTTATGGCAGGTATAGACTTGATGGTGCACTGAATCCTAAATAGCAAGAACGAAATGTGTGCAACAGTCTTTGCTTCTTCCTCTTCCTGCCATGTAAATTTTGGTGAATATTGGTGTTTCCCAGAGCTCTATCTTCAGTTTTGTTTTCTTCTCACCCTGAACATTTGTGGGAGAGAAGAGAAAAGGTGGAGAGCTGGTATTGCTGGGGGAGATTTGAGGATCTGGAGCTAGTAGGTGAGGTAGGGTCTCCACTCATGGTGATGCTGAGATGAGGGAATCACAGCAAGTCGAGAACTGGAAAGGGTGCAAGGTTGGTGAGCCGGAGGAGAGACTCTGCATTGGTGGTGAGTACTGAGAGATTGAACATTGATAGAGAGATGTTGAAAAAGCCAGGGCCAGGACAAACTAGCAGGAGCATGGTCTTGGTTGATTCCCACAGCTGGCTTTATGTTGCTCTGTGTGGTATGGGGACAGAGGGTACACTGGCTAAGTTTGAAGGGCAAGCATGGGACTGACCACCATGTCTGCCTCAGATGACCCCTCATCCAACCAATCAACAAAATAGAGGACATGTTAGTGACAGGAATTTTGTCCTAGTCTCTGGCTGTTGGAGCCAGGTGGTAGAGTAATGAGGTAAGGGGTAAAGGAAACAGTCTTAGCAGGTTAGAATAACAGAGCAAGCCAGTAGTAGTTTGCTTTTGCTCTTTAAAGTAGGTGAGTGGAGTATATGTGTTAGGAGGAGACCCAGATAGTTCCTGTGTTTATATAGAGCATGCGCAGCATGCTGTAAATCCCAGTGGCCTGTATTTCCTCCATGTTTGGAGTGGCTTCTAGGATGATAATGGTTTTTGGAAGTGTATGGAAATAGTGGAGTAAGAGCAACAGTTGCTTTGAAAATAGTCCTTCTGGGTGGCCATACACAGGGATTCATATGAATTCTGCTGGCTATGTAGGAGGATCAGTGGTGGTGTCTTCATGGTGTGTGTGGTATTTGGAAGATTCTCTGAAAATAGGTTTATTCCCTTTCTGGCCATTGGACCAGCCCTGGAGAGCATTGAGCATTGTTCTCTAAAGCAGAAGTCAAAATGGGGAAGCGTAAGGAAGGAGTAGCCTGTGGACATGAATTTTTTGTTTGTTTGTTTTGGTGAAGTAGGTGGTGTCAGGTTGAGACAAAGACAGCCATTTCTGAAATGAAGTCCACTGTGAGGGTTTCCCAGGTCTCATCAGGGGTCAGGAATGATTGCTGCCATTATTCAAGCTTCTTGGACCAGTCTTTTACCAGAACACAGGCGGATATGTGCTAATGTTAATTGTCAGAACTATAGTGAGGGCCAAACAGCATGGTGGAGCTTTTGAGTCCAGTAATCCAGTGAAATGATTTTCAGAAAATCCTCAAGAGACCACAGGATGAAGCTATTTAGTCAAGCTCCCCGCCACCCTTGAAAGACAAGCTGATTGAACTCTGAAAAAGGTTGTGAACTCTCTCTGGATATGATAGAACATCTTCTGTCTTAGTCTAAGAGTAAGAATGACGGGTGACAGAGATTTGTCTTCTGTTTTATCTCCTCTGGTTGGTTTTAGCGAAATTATTCTAGGCCCTGTTTAATGGTTTGTGTTTTATATCAATGATTCATTAAGAGCTTATTTTAGGGAAGTTGCCTGCTATCTCATTTAAAAAAGCAAAATAACATTTCTCTTTTTAAGATTACAGAAATGATAACTGTTGTGCAAACATATTCAACCTTGAGTAATTCTACCATAGAAGGAATAGATATTATGGCAATAAAATTCAGAAATATATACCAAGGGGTTAAGAAAAAGCAATATGACATTCTGGATCCAAGAAGGACAGAATTTGACACAGATTTCTTAGATTTCATGACAAAAATCAATGGTTTAGAGGTAAGTAATTATACCTACTTTTACTTAGTAAAGCTGAAAAGTAGTCAGTAGTACTATCTGGTACTTTTTGTAAATATTCACATGTAGTAAGTGTTTCTATATTTATGATTTAAGTTCCTCTTTCACATTGACCAAACATATTTGCAGTGTGAGTAACTTTTAAACTACTCCACTAAAGGATTTTTTTTTGAATGAATAGTGAGCATATCCAATAAAAGACATCAGAGAGTAACTAGAAGCCCAAAGGGCTTTTATAGCTAGGATTCTTTTTTTTTTTTTTTTGTGAGATGGAGTCTCACTCCATTGCCCGGGCTAGAGTGCAGTGGAGCGATCTTGGTTCACTGCAACCTCCACCTCCCGAGTTCAAGTGATTCTCCTGCCCCAGCCTCCCAAGTAACTGGGATTACAGGTGTGTGCCACCACGCCTGGTTAATTTTTGTATTTTTAGTAGAGACAGGGTTTCGCCATGTTGGCCAGGCTGGTCTTGAACTCCTGACTTCAGGTGATTCACCCACCTCGGCCTCCCAAAGTGCTGAGATTACAGGCATGAGCCACTGCACCCAGCCTCATTTTTAATATACATTAAAATTTGTATTTGCTTCTTGTGCCTAGGAGCACAAGAGAGCATTTGTAAACATTATTCTTTATCAAGTGTGATGAGATTTGAGAACAGATTAGGAAGATGGATCACTCTTCCTGTGGCCTTATGCTTTATGCCTGCATTCTCTCTGCAGCTATAGAGGGCAGCTCTGAAGAGGCATTCATATCCTGTGTGTCATAGATTAAGAGACACCAGATGGATGAAGGGTAGTCAGAAAGTATGTCAGATGAGACTGTAAGATGTTTTTCTCTCACCTTTTGGGCTATATGACCTCAGTTACTCTCTACTGTTAACTGAAACTACTGTTAACCTACGTTTAGCCCAAGGGAATGGTTTCCTCTTGCTGCAGAATTTCCTGGAGACACAAGCAGGGAGAAGAATATACTTTGTACACTTTTTAAGTCTGATATCCTTGCCATGAAAGTGAGAAAAATCAGATGTTTTTCTCAAGTATTTAAAAAATTCTTTAAAAACTACATTACACGTAACCTGGGCAATATAAATACATAAGAAAGATCCTAAAATTCTACCATTCTAACGATAACACTTTTTGTGTTTTGGCATAGATTTCCTTTCAGTTTTTGAAACTTAGACTCTTTGATATGAAGATATATTATATTTTAATTATTACTTTTAGTGTTTGGCTGGTTAGGTAGGGTGGAGTTTACTTCCAAAATGCTTCGAAAGTTAAATCTTTATGGCAATGGGAATTTTTGAAAAACTTGTTATCTCTTAAATTATTTTTATGATTTATTAAGAAAGATTATATGTTATAAAGGCTTTATTGTGGACTTAGATTCAAATTTTAGCTTTCAGTAAATTACAGCAATATTAACCTTTTAATAGTTAAATAATTTACTTGAGGCATCAGTGTTTTAATTTTAATTTTTCTTCGTTTTCCAATGTTTGATTTATGGGTGTGGTATATATTAATAGACCATACCAATATGATCTATACATACAAATAATTTGCAAAGAATGGTTCAGTTCCATCTTTTGGGTACCGGGAGTTTGGAGTTCACTGTTAGGGATGGTGGGAATATTTATTTATTTTTATTTTTATAGAGACGGGTTCTTGCTATGTTGCCCAAGCTGGTCTTGAACTGCTGTCCTCAAGCTATCCTCCCATCTCCCCCCACAAAAGGCTGAGATTACAGGCATGAGCCACCACTCTGGGCCAATGGTGGGACTCTTGAAAGAACATTTTCTACTTCTTGTACGTCCTTAGCAGTGGCAAAGAGGTTTCTGAGAGCAGCAATGTCAGAAAATGACATCTGCTGGCCCTGGTGTCTATAGCGTCACTACACTACTCTACCTGAAGTTCTATATATCCCAAAGAAAAATGCTTGTAAGGGACCTTCACTCCTTTTGTAAATTCTCTAGATCAGAAATATCCAATTGGTAATGACCTGCAAAGGCAAACCACATGTCACTTTAATTTTTCTAGTAGCCATTGAATAAAAGTAAAAAGAAGCAGGTGAAATTAATTTTAATAAAGACTCTATTCAACCCAATATGTTAAATATTTTAATGTCATTAATATGAAATCTTTAATGAGATATATTGCATTCTCTTTTTTGTACTAAGTCTTTGAAATCTGGCATGTATTTTACATTTATAGACATCTTGCTTCTAAGTAGTGACATTTCAAGTGCTCAGTAGCCACATGTGGCCAAAGTCCATCATACTGGACGATGCAGTTCTTGATGCTTAGATGGTAGATGTGTTTGAGGCTTGAGGCTATCTTAATTCTGTAGGAAAAGCATTAACTGTTGTTAAACAAAACCAATCTCTTTAACACCAAAAATCATTTAAATATTAATATTTTATTTTAGGTACAAATACAGGCATTTATGAACAGTAGTTTTGGGAAAATCTTATCTTCTCAGCAGGCTCTTCAGCTACTTCAAAGGTATTCATAACACTTTAAGCAGAGTAGTTTCTGGGGGGAATAACTTTAAATCTAAAAATACAATTTCAAATTAGGATGTTGTTGGAAATCTGTCCTACATAAACCTTAAAACTTACAAACATAAACTTTTCAATTACCACTAAATAGACTGGTAAAGATTTGAAATAAAGAATGATATGTTCTAATTGCATTGTTTTGGTAGCAGAAAGTCTTTCAACAAGAAAATGAAATTATTTCTCATGTTTCCCCTCCCTGCCCCCAGCCATGTCATATGTTTGGGGTTAATTTTATAGGTATTGTTGGAAAGGGAACAAATAATGTTTACTTCTACATACTGAAAGAATTTCTGAAAGTGAGATTATCTAAGAATAATAGATTCCAAAACTTTCCATTTTCCCTCCTGAGGGCTCCTGCACCTTAAAAGAAATTGTGTATACTTAAGGTGTATAACATGATATTTTTAAATATGTAGTGAAATGGTTGCTACAACCAAGCCAGATAACACATTCATCATCTCACCGAGTTATCTGTCCCCCACATTTTTTTGTGGTATGAACAGCTGAAATCTTCTCTCCTTTAGCTTCCTTTCCCTCTATCCTAACAGCACTACTCTCTCAAAGGGCGAGGAATCCCAGATTAGAGGGCTGAGCGGGACTAGAAGCCTTTCCCTTTCAGCACAGGGAGGGCTCAAGACCTGTGTCAGGGACGCTTGTGGAACTCTTCCCTGAGAGCCAGCGGATCTAGTGTTGGGTCTGGCTTTGCATGGTTCCACGGCTGTAATGATGGAGACCTGGTGAGACCATTGTAAAAAAAGTCAAAACAGAAATAACATAATTTTGACATGTGACAGTACTGCACAGATGGCAGGTACCATTTTCTTGGCGACTTCTGTCTCTGTCTCTCTATTTCTCTCTGTCTCTCTCTTTCTGTCTCTCTCTCTCTCTTTTTACCTGTAGTATGCTGATGTCAATTCATTTTATTACCAGAATGTTGTAGTTTTTAGTATTTCCTGTGTGTCATTCAGTCTCTGAATGGAAGTGACATTTAGCTGACAAAGTTGTTTTTGTGATTATGGTTAAATGGTTATATGGAATTATATGGAATTAACACTGGCAGAGGGAGAGTCAATGTGTTCTCTTCCATCTTTGCTAAGCCATCTCCTCACTCATCTTGTAATCTGTTTGTCATTTTCTCAGGGTGTCTTACTTGAATCCCCAGACTTGTCTAGGTCTCTCTTAGTTATAGGCATTTCTGACCCATTTGTAATTTAAATAATTATTTTTGTTACTCTTGGCAGATGTCTGTCTTTTCCATAAGATAATTGTGGGTTCCAAGAGAACCAGGACTGTACCTCCTATCTCGTTCATTGCTTTGTCCTAGGACAACGAATGAGGGCTGGTATGAATATTTGTCAAATGAATGAATGGATGGTTAGTATGACAGCAAGTCTTAAGTATATTTCTCATTTACTTTTTAACCATTCAGCTTTGATTACTTTTAGGTTTCAGAAGCTGAACATTCCCTGTCTGGGATTAGAAATAAACCACACAATAGAGCGTATTCTTCAGTACTATGTGGCTGAACTTGATGCTACTAAGAAGGCAAGTGTCATGTTTATAAATAAAATGGTACATTAGCACAAAAAGAAAAAAAATCTGAAAATATTTGCCATCATTGTCTCATGCCAAGCTTTTCAGAGTGATTCTTTCTCTGCTAAGGAGCATTGACGCTCCCTTCTGTGTGGGAAGGTGCTTGACAGTGTATATTGCTGGACAGCCAGATTTACTCCTCTTTGCTGTGATCTTACCAGTTATCCCACCATTATTTATTGAGTAGGAAGTCCTTTTCTCATTGTTTGTTTTTGTCATTGCTGAGTATGTACCCAAAGGAATACAAATCATTCTGTCATAAAGACACATGCACGCATATGTTCATTGCAGCACTATTCACAATAGCAGAGATATGGAATCAACCCAAATGCCCATCAATGGTAGACTGGGTAAAGAAAAGGTGGTAGATACACCATGGAATGTTATGCATCCAAAAAAAAAATGAATGAGATCATGTCCTTTGCAGGAACATGGACGAAGCTAGAGGCTATTATCCTAAGCCAACTAGTGCAGGAACAGAAAACCGAATACCACATGTTCTCACTTATAAGTGGGAGCTAAACATTGAGTACACATGGACACAAAGAAGGGAACAGTAGACACTGGGGCCTACTGGAGGGTGGGAGAAGGGAGAGGATCAGGAAAAGCAACTAATGGACACTAAGCTTAACACCTGGGTGATGAAAAAATCTGTACAACTAATCCTCATGACACGAGTTTACCTATATAACAAACAAACAAACAAACATGTAACCCTGAACTTAAAATAAAAGTTAAAAAAAAACTATCATATTGCCCCCGTTTTCTGGTGTGTGTATAGCAAAGCCCGTTTAAGTTAGTATTTTTGCCTATAGAAATATGGGCTCTAGATACTATTATGACAGATATTAATATGTAGCTATGTGCTCCGTTTGAATACCTCCTTGAAATTTGGGATAAGGGCAGAAAAAAAATACATGTAATAGGAAATAAAGGTGAAGAGAAAATTAAGTGTCGTATATGGTCAACATCATTGTTTCAAAATCTCAGGTTACCTTGGATGTGCATTTACATATTTATTGACTACCTACTGTATATAAAACATGAATAATGATAAAACAATACAAATATAGCTGTATATATTTTTTGCCTTCTCCCTTGTATTGAATTCAAACATTAACATCAGATTTTTAATTACAGCTTTATCATTCTCAGAAAGATGACCCCCCTCTTGCTCGCAACATGCCCCCTATAGCAGGAAAAATACTCTGGGTGAGGCAGCTCTATCGCCGGATAAGTGAGCCCATCAATTATTTCTTTGTAAGCCAAGAATTAAATTTTAATATGTGGATTTTGGTGGTTTTAATATAACAAATATATCATATCCTATAATATTTGTGTGCATTAAAGTAGCCAACAACGAGCCAATTCTTTTACCAGGCAAGGAAAATTTAGTTTATAAATATACTTGAGAGAGACAAAGTCAATTCCTTCAGGTTTAGTAGATAAGCCAGTCTAATTACAGTTATCTCAAAGTCAGTGAATCTTATAATTTTATGTCTTTTAATAACACAGGACACTTTGTAAAGCCTTTTAAAAAGTAAAAATAAAAAATTTGAAAACAATAAAGTACAGGCCTAGCACAGAAGCTTACTTCTGTGTATGGGCAGATAGGTCACTGATACATACTCAGTGAAGGTGAAGATAAAGCCAAAGAGTGTATTCCTGTATGAAGAACTGCCACTGAGAGCGGAATATAATACAGTTGATTCATTCTCTATGTCCTTCAGATTATTAGATTTCTGAAAAACAGGACAGTCTTGGGCCCTGTTGGCATTCTGAAATTGCCAGTTTGTCTTTTCTTTGTCCTTATTATTTTCTTAAATTTTATTTAAGAGACAGAGTCACAAGGTGGAGTTGGTTTGCTTGATCTCGTGCCCTTTGCTGAAATATAGAACAATATAACTACAAAACAGTAGTTTTGCAAGTAATTGTATTATTTCAGCATTATTAAATATGAAGATTCTGTTGTTTCTCTTTTGCTGCCATCATTTGTGTCATTGTTCTGAATATCAAAAAAAAATTAAAACCCTGAGTCCCTACTCGGGGGACTCAGTTGCTGATTGACTTTGTGGTGAGAGGGCAGAGATTGCCCTGTTTGACATGTGAATCGAAACCTAAATCTTTTGATTTTTAAATAAAGAAATTTTATTTATTTTTTAAATATTTATTTATTTATTTATTTATTATGGAGTTTTGCTCTCTCGCCCAGGCTGGAGTGCAGTGGCGCAGTCTCGGCTCACTGCAACCTCCGCATCCTGGGTTCAAGCAATTCTCCTGCCTCAGCCTCTGGAGTAGCTGGGATTACAGGCACCCACTACCATGCCTGGCTAATTTTTTTGTATTTTTAGAGAGACAGCGTTTCACTATGTTGGCGAGGCAGGTCTCCAACTCCTGACTTCAGGTAATCCACCTGCCTTGGCCTCCCAAAGTGCTGGGATTACAGGCGTGAGCTACGGCACCCGGCCAAGAAATTTTATTTTTATCGTTTGATACATGGTTACCTTTTTTTGCGTGCTGGAATTTAGGAATTTGCCCTGTTATTCATGGTTCAAGGAACATCAGTCAATTATATCTTGTCCAGAACAGTGGGATGGGATCAGAAAAGGAGGTAGAGACACTGAATGCCTGGGGCAGGCTGTGGGGCTGGAGGCCTCTCTCTTTCTAAACCCTTTGTTTCCTTTTCCAGTCTTCCCTCTATATACTGATAACGTTTCCCTACTTCTGCTTCTTGCTGATATGGCCTTCCCCATCTCTGTTTTACTGTGAGGCAGAATCTAAACTGGTAGCATAATTATTTGATATCATTTTACATATAAGTACTTTCATTATTTGGATATAAAAACATTCAGCAGTCTTTTAAAGTAAATCTTTTCCCTTAAAAAAACAGAAAAACTCAGACATTTTATCAAGTCCGGACGGTAAAGCTGTCATCCGTCAGTATAACAAGATCTCCTATGTGCTGGTGGAATTCGAGGTGGTCTATCACACAGCCTGGATCAGAGAGATTTCACAGTTGCATTACGGTGTGTATAACACTGCCATGAGCCTACAAAGTAGGGATTAGGTGATTTTGAATGAGTTCATAGTTCTGGAGAACTTTTTCCATCCCTTCCACATAATCTTAGGATAGTTACAATTTAGATTTAGGGATGCTACAGTGGTTTATTTGTTTACAGTTGTTAATAATATTCTGATTTTATAAGTGAAAATGATCATGACCTTGAAGATGACATACTTAACTTAGGACTTTCTACCAAAAACCAGTATTTGAAAGTAAAAATATCTTTAGGGATATTTCTCCAGACTTTATGAAAGTGTTCATATTCAGTTGTATCATGATATAGATTCAAATCTCAGTCCCATTCTGGAGAGAAAAAATTGCATCCTGCCTTCTTTCCTCTCTCCCTGCTTCCCTTCCTTCCTGTGTCTCTCCTTTACTTTCTCCCTTTTTTATTACTGAATTTAATTTCAGGTTTGAGCTCCAGTAAATGAAGCGTTTTAGTGCACTGTGTCTGCGTGCCTCTGAGGGGAGGGCTTATGTGTTGCCAAGGCTTTGGGCGGAGTTAAATGTGAGACGGGATGGTTCTTAGCCATTATCCAGCCCTCCTGGATGTTGTTTTTGTGTGGGCTCAATGGTTGGTCAGTTCAGATTCCTGCTTTGTCTCATCTTAACCTTAAACTCTTAGTTATAATCTCAACCCTAAACTCTTATACGTGACCTTGGTGGACCCCTTACTGGGTCCCTTGGTAGAAAGGTTTCTCCCTCCCAAACCAGCGTCTCCACCTCAGCAGAGCACAGCATTGCAGGCGCAGGAAGCACAAGTTCTGCAGGTGGGTTGCTGGAACGGTGGTGAGAGGAGTCACTCCTACTTCTGCCTCTTGGTTCCAGAACTCATGTATTTTAGCTGTGTGGGGACACAGCACTTATTTACAGGCCATTGATTCACAGCATACCTGCATCCTAGAGGACAGTGCCCCAACCCCCGCAGGGTGTCGTCCCTAACAGGAACCGTAGGTAAGCCTTTAATAAGCCACTTTTATCAGGCCAGCTGTTTCTGGGTGCTGTGCTATATGGTAGGACCCTGTGGACTCTAAAGAAAGCCTGTTTATGGAGCAGAACTCTCAAAGGAGCTTCGAGAGGAGCTTAAAACTCAGACTATGGAAAAAGGCAAAAGAGAATTTTTAACAACTGAAGCATATACTGGTTTTGTTTTGGTTCTACAATGCCGCGCACTTAATTTTCTTTTTCTCCTGGTGGTTTTTCTACCCCCAATACCCTTTCTCTTATCTGCACATATTCAAAAACAAGCTCTACAGTCACCTGTTTCATACAGCCTTTCCTTATTCTTCCTGGCAGAAAATAATAATTCCTCCAGAGCCCACCATATACTTTATCTGTAGCTCTTTCTCAGGACACTTACTGCTTTATAGATCTACCTTGTGTCCCCTACACCTTCCAAGGTTACCCTCTATGTCTGTTTCATCTGATATCCTTTAAAAAATGGTCATAGCTAACATTTATACAGTGCTCACCATGTGCCAGGCTTTGTCTCAGCACATTACATGTATTATGCAAATTACTTTAATCCTAACAGCAAACCTACAAGGAACTATTATTAGCCTTGTTTTACAGATGAGAAAACTGAGACACTGACACATTAAGTGGCTTGCCCAAGATCACACAGCTCATTCAAATTCAGATAGTCTGGCTTCCAAATCCGTTCTCTTAACCATTTAAAATACTGTACTGTTTCTAACAGTGTCAAGAATGATGCCAGGCATGCTTGGGGGCTCTTAAAATATTTTAAAAATGTCCAATAAGTAGACATTAGACAATCTTGATGAGTAATAATTTTATCAAGTTTTCAGAAGAGTTTGTTCCCCTTGAGAACATCAGTTGGCCTCTATTGGGTGCACTATACTCATTGCAGTGGATTGATGTCCAGGAGAAGTGATCACATACAAACAATATGAAGTAGAATTCTTTCATACTTTCAATATGAAGTAGAATTCTTTCGTGTTTTTTCACAAGTAAAACAAACAGTCAGTAGAATTCTTTAACTTCTTTCATTTCATTTCAGAAATGAATTGCTCTGGAAGGCTTCCTTTGTCCTAGTGATGTGACTGTACTTGGCCACATAGGAGCTTCTAGTAATAATTGGATATGTAGCATCAGCCTCCTTTAGTTGGTTGCTCAGTAAAGTTTCTCTGATGGTGGTTCACATACGATGAAATGCTTGTCTTGTCCTGGAGCAGACTTCCTGACTGTCATTATTGGTCTGTTTTAGTTGTCTTGACCTTTTTGTCTTTTCAAGCAAGCTCAGTACAGTTTTAAGGAAGACAGATTTAAATGTTCAAAAGTTCTTTTGGAATTTCCTTGGTAGGATAAGTGATTTATTTATTTATTTATTTTTATTTTACTTTAAGTTCTGGGATTTCTGCACCTGTCCACCTGTCATCTAGATTTTAAGCCCCGCATGCATTAGGTACTTTGTCCTAATACTTTCCCTCCCCTTGCTCCCCACCCCCCGACAGGCCCTGGTGTGTGCCGTTCCCCTCCCTGTGTCCATGTGTTCTCATTGTTCAACTCCCACTTATGAGTGAGAACATGCAGTGCTTGGTTTTCTGTTAGGATAAGTGATTTCTAATCCATCTTAAAAAGATTCTAAGCGAGTTGGATAAAATTTTAAGTTGAAATTGTCATTTAGCTTGAAAACCTGCATCATTAAGGGCCATATCAAGACTAATTTTATCTGATGAGTAAAAGTCAACTAACTTCAAAGAGATATACAAACTATTTTATTTTACTAGAAGTTTGATGTGGCCACATTCAACAAAACAATGTGAGGTTTGGAAGATTTGGTAATTGTGATAAAATTCTCATGTTAGTAGTGTTTGTTAATACAAGATGTAATTCAAACTAGCACATGCTTGTCTATAATAAGTGTTTTATTATTATGCCTGTAGAAGTTCTTCATGTTAAGCTAACAAATAATCTAAGGCTACCCAGTAAGAACTGCTTGGGCTTATGTATTTCAATTCATAATAAAATAGATATCTGAAAATGCTTGTTTATATGAATGATGTTTATGTGAGATGTAGTGTAAAACATCTTCCCTCCTTTCCAGGATTTCACAACTCAATGGTATTTAATAAATATTTCTTACTGATTTTGAGCCTATTTATCAGAAATACAGGATGGAGATTTAATTTAAATAAGCCTCTTTAAAGAAGACAGTTTGGGGTCTGAGTGGGAAAGAGTTTGAAATGAGGTGGGGCATCTTTTGTGATTCTAACCATCTTCTGGTTCTTTCTCAGGGGTGAAGTCATAATCCATAAGATAAACTGACATAGACCTATTCAACCCACTCAGAAAAATATTGCAATTCATAGCACAAAGCACCATTCTTGGTCAATGTTTCTCTCCCTGGATCTGATTTTGTGGCTTTGCAGACACTCTTCATTCATTTATCTTAGTTTTGAGTATTCACTATGTGCCAGACGCTGTGCCTTAGCACCTGGGGCATCCAAAACATTTCCTTTGCCCTCAAGAAGTTAGTAATCCAGGGGGCAAGACAGAAATATAAACACAGCTGGAAGCAGAAAGGAAATTCAGAATGAGTAATGTCAATCATTATTTATTTGTAGCTTTACAAGCCACGCTTTTTGTGCGACATCCAGAAACAGGGAAGTTGCTGGTTAATTTCGATCCCAAAATTTTGGAAGTTGTTCGGGAAACTAAGTGTATGATAAAAATGAAGTTGGATGTACCAGAACAGGCAAAGAGATTGCTAAAATTGGAAAGTAAATTGAAAGCAGACAAACTGTATTTGCAGGTAAGATAGATTATGTTTTCTAATTATTTTTGAAGGAGTTTTTTGGTAAAAAAAATATGTATATATATATATATATCCCTGCAGTTATGCTTCATGGCATTGAGGGAAAATTTGTTAATATGTTGATTCTTGATAGAATTAAAATACTGACTTGCAAACCAAAGAAAAGATTGGAAATGGAAAGCAAAAAGTGAGAAGATTATCAGAAATCAGATTTAGGTTTCTGGATAATGACTGACGAAATAGCAAGTTTCAAAAACTATTCTTAATATAATTTTATAGATCTTGTGCATTAAATTTTATAATATACTTATCCTAGAATATTTATAAGATATAAATTAATAAAGTGGGGTGACTATACAATACAAGTAGAGGTGATTCTCAACATTGTGGGGCAAAAAGGAGCATTATTTCAATTAAAGTTCACTAGTGCGGCAAAGTAAAATCTAACAAAATGAAAATGGTAGGCAAAAACTGACATTAACATGTACTGCCGGGTGCAGTGGCTCATGCCTGTAATCCCAGCACTTTGGGAGGCCGAGGTGGGTGGATAACTTGAGGTCAGGAGTTCAAGACCAGTCTGGCTAACATGACGAAACTGGGTGTGGTGGTGCACGCTTGTAATCCCAGCTACTTAGGAGGCTGAGGCAGGAGAATTGCCTAAACCCGGGAGGTGGAGGTTGCAGTGAGCCGAGATTGCTCCACTGCACTCCAGCCTGGGTGACAGAGTAAGACTCCATCTCAAAAAAAAAAAAAAAAAAAAAAAGTGCCATCAAAGGTTGATGATTGATTCAATCTTTGATTCAAAGGTCGAATCAAAGTATATTCAGATCCTAACACATTGTTTCTAAAATGTTTGACAAGAGTTAAGTAACATGAGAAATTCTTTAGAAAGCCAGTTAAAACAGCAAGCTGCATTAACTCCTCTTCTTTGCTTTTCTTGGCAGGCTGTGGACATGTATTTTGGAATGCAGGAAAATATATAAATGCAAGGACATTTTTTTTCCAGTACAATTAGTAATAGCAAAAGACTGGAGTCTAACTCCAACAATACAGAACTGATTAAATATGAGTTATAAGATAACTATACAGACATTAATGGAACAGCTGATTATTCAATGAGAAAATGAACTCTATTCCTGTGGTACAACATTTATAATTTTATAATCAATAATATAATAAATAAATTTCAGACTTTTCCTGTTTTTTTTTTTGTTGTTGTTGGAGTCTTGCTCTGTTGCCAGGCTGGAGTGCAGAGGCATGATCTCAGCTCACTGCAACCTCCGCCTCCTGGGTTCAAGCGATTCTCCTGCTTCAGCCTCCCGAATAGCTGGGACTACAGGTGTGTGCCACCATGCCCAGCTAATTTTTGTATTTTTAGTAGAGACGGGGTTTCACCATGTTGGCCAGGATGGTCTCGATCTCTTGACCTTGTGACCCACCCACCTCAGCAACCCAAAGTGCTGGGATTACAGGCCTGAGCCACTGCGCCCGGCCTATTGTTTGTCATTTTTATGATAGCCCTCCTGGTGAGTGTGAGGTGGTATCTCCTTTTGATTTTGTTTCATTTCCCTAATGGCTGGTGATTTTTGAGCATCTTTTCATATGCTTACTAACCTTTTGCATACTTTCGTTCAGCAGCATCTATTCAGATCCTTTGCTCATTTTTAAATTGAGTATTTGTCTATTTTTTTAGTTATAAAGTTCATTTTAGGTTTTAAATACTATCCCTTATCAGATATATGATTTGCAAATTTTTTCTCCCATTCTTTGGGTTGTATTTTCATTTTCTTGATGGTGTTCTTTGAAGCACAAACATTTTAAATTTTGCTGAAGTCCAATTTATCTACTTTGTCTTTTGTGTTTTTGGTGTCATAGCTAAGAAACCTTTTTTGAATCCAAAGTCATGAAGATTTGTGGCGTGTTGTCTTCCAACAGTTTAATAGTTTAGCTCTTACCAAAATAGTATTTAATTGTCTTTTTTTTGAAAAAAACTGGAGTAACGTTGGTATTGTGGAAACTGGATTTGGCATCAAAAGCCATGCATGAGCTTTTTTACTGGCTAGCTGTGACTTTGGAGGATTAGGTTTAAATGTACTGTTATAAATCGAAGCTAATATAGTTTGCATTACATCTTGCAAGATTTTAGCTAGTATTGAACAATATCAAGAAAGTCAAAGTTCTTTAGCCAGTGTCAAGTAGAAATAAAACTTCAACTACAAGTAATGTATAAAGGGGAAAGAGGAATCAAGAGCTTTGAAACTATTAGGTAAAAATTGAAACAGTTTGAAACAGTTTAAGATTATTAATTTGGAGATAAAGTAACTCGAATCTGCATTTCCCACACCACAGTGTAGTAAATTACAAAATAGTAAAAAATTGATCATCATGGATCATCTCTAAAACAACATCTAAGAGATAACATAAAAGCTTATTCTGTTTGTGTGGAAAAGCTAAATTTATTTTGACTCGAGAAAGCAAGTGTGGCATCAGTGATAAGATGAGGATGTTTTAATGTGTCAGAAGATAAGGAACAAAAGAGGAAATGTGTAATGACAGATATCACAAAAAGATAATAATTCAAACTACTTAATATACATCTAGAAAGACAAGTGATAAATATGAAAAATGAAGATGTAGAAATTGCTACTGACTTGTTTAAAGGAGATGCTCAGGTAATTTACAGGTACAGAGAAAGTGTGGTAAATCAGCATAAGTTTAAATGGGCAGCTGTCATGATGACAGGACTACGAGGAAACTGGGATTATGAAACCTTCCTGGAATGAATCAAAATGTGACTGCTACTTTAAAATGAATTAAAATAAAACATGCCATTTCAACTTCCTACAGGGTCTTCTGCAATATTATGATGAGTTATGTCAGGAAGTGCCTTCTGTGTTTGTCAATCTGATGACCCCAAAAATGAAAAAGGTTGGTATTGCTGAAGGTTTGTATTGATTTTCCTGTTATTTAAAATTAGATTTCGGTTCTATAAACTATGGATTTTGGAACATCTATTCTTCTTTAGACCCTCCATCTTTCTAGTTCAATTTTATAGCTCTGTTTTTTTTTTTTCTGCAGAATTTCTTGTCTAAGTTTCGTTGCCTTTGAAAAAACAACTAAATCTAAATCATGAGCATTTTTTCTGAAAATTCATGATTGTTTCCTGGACAGCCAAAGATGGTTAAAAATAAAAAGTCATCTTTATTAGGTGTAATAGAGGGAAAATACATGTAAGAAAATATAACATATAATATTTGTAGGTGATAAATCCTCTTCTATAAGTGCAGATGCTCCTGTTGATAATAGAAGCAGTTGTGTTTTTACCGTTTCTAGGTGGAATCTGTGTTGAGGCAAGGACTCACAGTGTTAACATGGTCGTCTTTAACACTGGAAAGCTTCTTTCAAGAAGTCGAATTAGTTTTGGATATGTTCAATCAACTTTTAAAGAAGGTATGATCTATACATTTAAAAAGCTATCAACATATATACTCAGGATATAAGTAATAGTTTGATTATTATGAAAGCTCTTTAAAGGGTATGACTTTTAACTAAAAGGACATCCGTTAGGTTTAAAATATCATGTTTTGGGCTGGGCACAGTGGCTCACACCTGTAATCCCAGCACTTTGGGAGGCCAAGGCGGATGGATCACGAGGTCAGGAGTTTGAGACCAGCCTGGCCAACATGGTGAAACCCCGTCTCTACTAAAAATACAAAAATTAGCTGGACATGGTGGCGGGCACCTGTAATCCCAGCTACTCGGGAGTCTGAGGCAAGAGAATCGTTTGAACCAGGGAAGCGGAGGTTGCAGTGAGCCGAGATCATGCCATTGCACTCCAACCTGGGCGACAGGGCAAGACTCCGTCTAAAAAAAAAAAAAACAAAACAAAAAACTTTATATTTCTTTTACTGGATTGGGGTCTTCATTTAAGTTTGCTTTATTCTTATCCCTGAATTACCTTGCATTTAATATGTTGAAATGATGGTTCAACTTCACACTGTAGCTTAGAATATGGGGTAATTATAGACTGTCAAAAGTGGCAGAGGAGAGTGCTTAAATATTAATATTAATGTATTTAATATTAACTAGATGAGATGATCATCAAATTGAAGATTGTCTATTGATTTCTGACATATTGGCTACATAGAACAAGCCTGTCATTTTAGATGTGCTGGTCTGTGTGTCATGGCAGCATGGTGTAGTAAACAAACTCAGAGGCTTTGGAGTTAGATAAACCTGGGTAGGATTCTCTGCCTGTTACTAGCTATGTGTTCCTTCCCAGGTTGCTTTACTTCTCAGAGCCTTGGTGTCTTTAGTTGTAAAACTGGGATATCAGTGCCTCCTGTGCTGGAATCAGGATTAAAGGAGATAACACAAATAAGGTTATGGCACATGTTATTGCTCAAGAAAAATTTAGTTTTATGTCAAGCTTTCTTTGCAGATGTCCTCCTAAAATGTTCACCAAATTATGCTTGGCTCAAGATGCAAGTTTCTAGACTTAGCCTTCTAAATTAATTTATAACTCAAGCCTCTTTTGGATGAAAACCTAGCTCTAAAGGAAAGAAGAGTTTTTTTTTCTTACATTTTTCTTCCTTGTAGATCAGTGACTTGTGTGAAATGCATATTGATACAGTTCTGAAGGAGATAGCCAAAACTGTGTTGATTTCTCTGCCTGAAAGTGGTGCTACCAAAGTAGAAGATATGTTGACCCTCAATGAGGTATGCATTTGTTCATTAAATTAGAATCACAAAAATATTGGCCTATAAACCTAAAATGTGAAATTTCAGTCTAAAAGTAGAAACCTGGGTCAGTAGCATTTAGACTTTTTTTTTTTGTTTTTTGTGAACATTCTCTGCTCCAAGGACTTTCATGCCTTCAATAGCAAGAGCCCTGGCCACAACCTAGACTAACATTTTGTTGATATCCTCAGCCTAATGCTGGCGTTTCCTGGGGCTCTGTAAGTGGTTCACAGCTCTCTTCCACTGTGCATGGCTACCAGGGCCATATCATTTTTCTCATGGCTTTAACTCCAACATACTTTCCCTCTAAGTCACTCAGAAACCTGGGAATCATCTAGACTTCTTTCCTCACCCCTTCATTTCCTATATCCAGCCAGTCCTGAGAGGCTTAGCCAGGACTTTTTTTTTTGAGAGGAAGTTTCACTCTTGTCACCCAGGCTGGAATACAATGGTGTGATCTTGGCTCACTGCAACCTCTGCCTCCCGGGTTCAAGTGATTCTCCTGCTTCAGCCTCCCAAGTAGCTGGGATTACAGGCCTGTACCAGCACACCCGGCTAATTTTTGTGTTTTTAGTAGAGATGGGGTTTTGCCATGTTGGCCAGACTGGTCTCGAACTCCCGACCTCAGGTGATCCACAGCTTTAGCCTCCCAAAGTGCTGGGATTACAGGCCTGAGCCACAACTCCCAGCCTAGGATTTTTTTCTTACTTAGATTTTGCTTGAGTTTCAGCCTGTTCTTTCCCTTTCTAGGTCAGGTCGTTACTGCTCATTTTGACTTTAGCAATTCATTTGGTGATCCAACTGGTCTCGCTGCTTCCATGTTTACCCTGACACATCCATCCACATTGCCATCAAATCTGATTGTGAAATGCCCCAGCTTAAATCCTTCTTGGCAGTGGCACATAGTCCTTGCAGGATAAAATGTAACCTCTTCAGCATTGTTATGTTGAAACTATTTAGATACCTGTTTATCCTCCATTGACTCAAAAGCACAAAGACAGGAACCCTGTCTAAACATTTTCAAGGACCAGCACATAATGCAACCTCTCTTATAAATTCAAGACATACATTTATGTTTTGAACTGAACTCTTTCTTTTTTTGAGACAGGGTCTTGCTCTGTCACTCAGGTTGTTCTGCAGTGGTGTGGTCATGGCTCACTGGAGCCTTGACCTCCTGGGCTCAAGTGATCTTCCCATTTCAGCCTCCCAAGTAGCTGAGATTACAGGTGCATACCACCACAACTTGCTAATTAAAAACATTTTTTTTGTAGAGACAGGGTTTCACCATGTTACCCAGGCTGGTCTTGAACTCCTGAACTCAAGCGATCCACCCACTTTGGCCTCCCAAAGTGCTGGGATTACAGGTGTGAGCCACCATGCCCAGCCTTAAAATTATTTGTTCTCAGTTTTGGGGTCTTGACTATAACTGAGACAACACTAAACAACCCATTACATTAAATTAGTTAATTAATTTAGTTTTTTGAGATGAGGTCTGCCACCCAGCCTGGAGTGCAGTGGCAAGATCATGGCTCACTGCAGACTAGAATTCCTGGGTTTATGTGATTCTCCTACCTCATCCTCCCAAAGTGCTGGGATTATAAGTGTGAGCCACCTTGCCTGTGAGATGACCCGTTTTAACATCCTGTTCTTGGTGTGTTCAAGTTTAAGATGATTATATCTTCTGGATTGGGTGTTCCTCTATCATTATTAAGTTTTTTATCCTTAAGTTATTTTGTTTGATATTGATGTAATTATACCAGCTTTTTTCAGGTTACTATTTTTCAGATGTGTCTTTTTCCATTTTATGACTTTCGTCCTTTTTGGATTCTCCTATTTTAGATTTTGTTCTTGTAAAGAACATTTAACTGTGTTTTATTTTTAATCTATTCTGAAAGTCTGTTTTTAAAAAACTGGTAATTTTGACCTATTTACATTAATTGTAACTATTAATTAATATTTTTGGAAATACTTCTACTCCCTGCCCTCTTTTTAAAATTTATTAACTTATCTATTTCTAGATGTTATTTTATATTCTTTTTCAAATATATGTGATCTTTTTCTCATGTCTTTATTCTATTTTTCTTTAGACATTAAAAAATATTTTATATTTTACAACATAATTTCACTATCTGAAAAAAATGGGGGAGTCTAATTCTGCTCTGTGCTGTTTCTACCAACTCTTGCCCAGAGTGGCTTGTTTCTTCCTGTTTTTTACAGTTTTGGATTGGGAGCTAATGCACACACATCTATTTGTGGGAATGCTGGACAGCCTTGGTTGAGAACCTGTTTCTTTTTATTTATTTCTATGTGATGCCTAGGAGTTTTACCAAGTTGGGACAACTTTATGTTGGTTTCTCAGAGGATAGAATTTCTAAAGCTTCATAGATTGTATAAACTCAAGCCCCAAACCTATGTAAGGGTAAACTAGTTGTAAATTCCCAAGGGAGAATTTGCTCCCCGCCAGCCCAGAGCCTCAACCAAGGTAGCTGACTTTCCTTTCTCGTCCACTCTTTCCCTGAGGGCCTAGCCCTTGATTTACCTGATATTAAGCAAGGGTGGGGATGGGGTAGGTCTCATTTCTAGCCTCTCACCCTTGTGAGGGATCCAAGGCCTTAATTTTTTTTTTTTTTGGTTATGAAAAAACAAAGCCCATAGAAGCTATGGTTTCAGGTTGCTTTTTATTTTAGTTTCTATGCTTTAAAAAAATTGAGATGTAACATATACTCAGAAAAGTGCACAAATTTTAAGTGCACCATTCAATGAACGTTTACATATGATACACCCTTGTAACTGTCTCCATGATCAAGATATGGAACACTTTCTGTATCCCAAGTGATTCCTTTGTGCTTTACTCCAGCCAGTTACACTTCCTTCCCACCCCTAAAAGTAATCACCATTTGACTTCTATCACTGTATATTAGTTTCGCCTGTTTTTGAACTTCATGTAAATGGAATGGTGCAGAATATATTCTCTATTTCTGACTTCTTTTGCTCAGTGTTATATGTATGAGATTCATCTTTGCAGTTGTGACACATTCGTTCTTTCATTTCAACTTCTCATTGCTGTATAGTATTACATAATACGGATTTAGTACAGTTTATTTGTTCATTCTACTCTTGAGGGCATTTAGATTGTTTATAGCTTTTGGTTATATACTAAGAATTCTTGTAAATTTTTTTTTGTGGACTTAAGCACTAATTTGGTGGATATATACCCCAAAGGGAAATTGTTGAGTCATAGATTATGAATATATTTAGCTTTAATAGAAATTGTCTTTTTAGAGTTTGTCTCTGAACTAGGAGCCAGACAAGTTCACGCATTACATTTGATTGAAATATCTCTTTAAGTTTTAAAAATCATTTCCCACTCCCCACTCTTTGTTTTGGCTGACAACTTTTTTATTGTGATAAAATATACTAACATAGCATTTACCATTTTAACCATTTTAAGTGTACAATTTAGTGGCATTAGGTACATTCCCAATGTTGTATAACCATCACAATGATCTATTTCCAAAACTTTTTCATCATCTCAAACTAAAACTCTCTACCAATTATACAGTAATTCTCCAGTGGTAGTGCTAAGACTCAAGAGTGTAAGTTGCTGGGCACGGTGGCTCACGCCCGTAATCCCAGCACTTTGGGAGGCCGAGGCAGGTGGATCACGAGGTCAGGAGATCGAGACCATCCTGGCAAACACGGTGAAACCCCGTCTCTACTAAAAATACAAAAAAATTAGCCAGGTGTGGTGGCGGGTGCCTGTAGTCCCAGCTACTTGGGAGGCTGAGGCAGGAGAATGGCGTGAACCCAGGAGGCGGAGCTTGCAGTGAGCTGAGATCTCACCACTGCACTCCAGCCTGGGCGACAGAGCGAGACTGTGTCTCAGAAAAAAAAAAAAAAGAGTGTAAGTCAAGATGCAGGAGGCAGAATTCTGAAGAGCATGCTTGTCAAGCAGTATGCCCAGTCACTTGCCCTGGAGTGATCTAAGATCTAGTAACAGTTGGGCTGTCTTCTCACAAACCTACCAGCAAGTGGCGTTATAGTGAAGCCAGAGTATGATTTGTAATGACAGGGCAAGTTGGATCACACTCCTGACTGCAATCAGTTTTGGAAACACAATATATGTAACATTAATTTTTTGAGACAAAGTTGGTTTGGGCCAAACTGTGGTTTCAGATCGTATTTGGGAATCAGGGCTATTTGCAGTCAGGGCAGTGTTCCTTGTCTTGGCGCATCCAAGGGTGGTTTAGGACAGATTATGCGAATTATTAAAAAGCTTTCTTCTGTTAGTTTCCAGTTGTTCTTTCTGTCCTGTGATCCTAGGGCTGATAGTACTTTCCTCCTTGGCCAGCTGGGTCCCTTTTAGGATTTACCAATGGGTGTGCTAGAAGGATGCTGGAGGAGAGAGAAGGGACTTGCTCTTTCCTGATTTGCCTCCTGTTCCTGACACTACTGCACCCACAACAACTCTTCACTCTGCCAACAGCACTTAGTCACAGCCCTGGCTTTCCCAGCCCTTCCAGAGCCAGCCCCGTGTGCCTTTCACGGTACCAGCATCATGAGGTCCCTCTCTGAGCTCCTGAGATAGCAGTGCTGGCTGGGCAGCCCCCTCACTTCTCTGCTCCAGGTTCTAATAACTCCATCCTCATCCCAAGTCCTAGGGATGCTAGCTTCTTCCTGCTGTAACTGTTATATCTCTGTGTGCCGTCAGTGTCCCTGTAAGCATTTTGGGTCCTTTTAAGGGAGGAGACCACCCCTCATATTGTCTTATGCCCAATTTCTGCCTCCAAAGAAAGAAGTAAAAACTAAAAGGCAGAAATGAAATCCACAGGCAGACAGCATGCACCACACCCTGGGCCTGGTAGTTAAAGATCGACCCCTGACCTAACTGGTTATGTTATCTATAGATTCCAGACATTGTATGGAAAAGCATTGTGAAAATCCCTGTCCTGTTCTGTTTCGTTCTGATTACCGGTGCATGCAGCCCGCAGTCACGTACCCACTGCTTGTTCAGTCAATCACAATCCTCTCATGGGGACCTGCTTAGAGTTGTAAGCCCTTAAAAGGGACAGCAATTGCTCACTCGGGGAGCTCGGTTTTTGGAGACATGAGCCCGCCGATGCTCCCAGTTGAATAAAGCCCTTTCCCTCCACAACTCGGTGTCTGAGGGGTTCTTGTCTGCGGCTTGTCCTGTACACTTTAACTGTGTTTAACCCATCCTCCATATTAAATTCTCTAATTTTATTTGTTACAATAGCTGGTGTGTCTTCCGTTTTCCTGACTGGAGCCTAACTGATAACTTCTGTCTCGATAGATCTACCAATGGAATAGAAAATCAAGGAAATGTTATGATCCAAGTTAAACACTGTTAAATAATTAATGAGTATTAGCAATTCTGTCAACAAAATCAACTTGGGGCTGGACGCGGTGACTCATGCCTGTAATCCCAGCACTTTGGGAGGCCAAGGCAGGTGGATCACTTGAGCTTAGGAGTTTGACTCCAGCCTAGCCAACATGGCAAAGCCCCATCTCTACTAAAAGTATAAAAATTAGTCGGGGGGCGGTGGTGGTGCATGCCTGTAATCCCAGTGAAAGGAGAGGCCAGCTAGGCTTCTTAAGTCGAGTAAAGGCTCAGAAAGCTGTGAAACTCACTCATTTCCTGCCTCAAGCCTTACTTTAGTCCTAGATAAATAATAGTGAAGATATATGCTTAAAATATTCCTAACACCAGGGTTTGTGCATGTTTTCTTCCCTAAGAAAGCTATAAACAGTGAAAATTTTGCTGTAAGCTTCCCTGTGTCCTCTCTCCCTCTCTCCCTTTCCCCTCCCCTGAAACTAAAAGGAATTTTAATTGCCCGTTTGTTTGTGACCAGCAGACCTTATCTATGCTTCCAATTCCAATTCCTTGTAAAAATACTGTGAGATCCTGTCTCCTTTACTACGCCGCTGCAAAGTCATAAAGTAGATGAAACCTAAGTTGCAATTCAGGTTTTCCTCAAGATCTAAGACATGTTAATTGTCTTTGTTTCTCACTCTAGTAACATCTCCCCGCTGCACATATTTCCCACCTTAAAAAGTTTAAAAAGTGATCAAAGAAGGTAACGCTGGCTACCGGCTGAAGACCCCTTCCACGCTGTGGAAGCTTTGTACTGTCACTCTGCTCAATCAAGCCTACAGCTTTTTTTCTCTTAGTCGGTGTCTCCATCACTCGCAGCTGCCACGCCAATTCTTCGGCTTGGCTAAGGCAAAAACCTTTAGCATTACACCAGCTACTTGGGAGGCTGAAGCAGGAGAATCGCTTGAACCTGGGAGGCGGAGGTTGCAGTGAGCCGAGACCGTGTCCACTCCAGCCTGGGCCACAGAGCGAGACTCCGTCTCAAAAAAAAAAAAAAATCAACTTTGCTCTATAGAGACAAAAGCACATTAGTGGTTGCCAGAGCTGTGGAGATGGGGAAATGGGGTGACTGCTAATGGGTATAGGGATGCTTTCTGAGGTGATGAGAATATTATGGAATTAGATAGTGGTCATGGTTGCACAAGTCTGTGAATATACTAAAAACCAGTAAGTTACACACTTCACAAGGTTAATTTTGTAGAATGTGGATTATATCTTAATTAAAACAAAATTTAAAAATCAATATAACTGTCTCCTAGTCCCTGGCGTACCCCTAAGGCACTTCTTTAGTATTCAGTCTGTTTCTTACTGAGTTTTAAGAATGGTCTTAGTCCTCAAGGAGTAGCGAGTCTTCTCAAGAAGAGATGGAGTCCTTATTAGGACAGGATGCTTTACTTTGTGTGGCCTCAACTGTTCATGACGTGTTATAGAGGTAGTATTTGCAGTGACATTATTTTGCCACTTGTTGAACATAAGAGGAAGGTGGCTGAGCCATTGGGTTGCCAGCTGACACAGGACATCTGTGCAGTGGAATGTGTATGTCTAAGTTTCTTACCCTTGGTATTGATGGCAGTGTGGGTCGTTGTGATTATCTGAAGTGGCCCAATTCAGCAAGGATTAATGAAGTTTGTTTTGCACGTGTTCTTTGATCAGAGTTCAGACACAGGGTTGGAGTTGAGGCACAGGGATTGTGTATGGGACAGTATCAGTGAAGATCCCAGCAGGGTGAGATACCGCAGGAGTCCCAGTGGTGGGAAGTCATCACCACCACTAGGGCTGAAGGGACCAGGGAAGAAAATTGTGCTTTCAGAGCCCAGTAAAAGCTGAAGCCATGTGGCAGGGCTCTACCAGAGATGCAGCCTCCAAGCAAGGAGGGAATGGGAAAGAAATACCCCACCTTCTCTCTCCTATAGCTCTCCTGTCTTCTCTTGGTGCCTCCTCTTGGGTTAAACCCAACTGGAAGTCAGAGAATGAGGGAGTCCCACAACGTAGGGCGTGGCAGAGAAAAGTAGAGAATGGTTGGCAGGACATGGAGTGTCTGGCAATATGGCTTTGATGGAGTGACAGGGATTATTCATAATTAAAATCATGTAAATAATTTCCACAATCAGAGCTCTTGGCACATTGCTGACTGCTGCTGCATCCATTTTTCCTTCCTTTGGGTTCTATGGAGAAAGTTTCCACCTCTCTTCAAAACTGAGGTCCTCCAAATGGGCTGTTGATTCCATGCCTACCTGTCTTCTCGGTGACCTTGTTCCGCCAGTTTTCCTTTCTCCTGTATCCTCAGCGTTGTCCTCTCCACTGGGTCCTTCTCTCCAGCAGTATCATATGCTCTCATGCTTTCCTTGCCGACAGACACTTTCCCACTTCTTCCTTTGCTTCTCATTTACAACCAGACTTCTCCAAATGCTCGCACATGCTATCTTCACTTTCCCATCTCCTATTAATTTTTGTTTCCCCAATTTCTGGCTCAAATTATTTCTGGCACAAATTATTATTTTTTAGCAGCCTTATTGAGATAAAATTCACATACCCTACAATTCACCCATTTAAAGTGTACATCTCAATGCTTTTCAGTATATTTACAGAGTTGCACAACCATCACTGCAATCAATTTAGAACATCTTCATCACCCAAAAGAAACTTCGTCCTCATTAGTCATTCTCCATTTCCTCTCAACCCTCCCAGCCCCAAGGCAACCCCAAATTTCCTTTCTGCTTCTATAGACATGCCTATTCTGGACATTTCATACAAATGGAATCATACAATATATGTTCTTTTGTGACTAGCTTCTTTCTCTTAGTGGAGTGTTTTCAAAATTTATTCATAGTAGCCTATATATCAGAACTTAATTTCTTTTTTTTCTTTTTAAAGAAACAACAATGTCTTGCCCTGTCACCCAGACTGGAATGCAGTAGTGTGAATATGGCTTACTGCAGCCTCTAATTCCAAGGCTCAAGCGATTCCCCTGTCTCACAAAACTTCATTTCTTTTTATTGCTGAATAATATTCCATTGTATGGTTATGCCACATTTTATCTATCCATTCACCAGTTGATGGACATTTGGGTTGTTTCCACTTTTTGGCTACTGTAAAGAATGCTGCTGCGAACATAAGTGTCTATTTTTTTTTTTTGTGGACTTAAGTTTTCATTTCTCTTGGGTATGTATACCTAGGAATGGAATTACTGGCTCCCAACTCCATGTTATACTCTTTGAAGAACTGCCAGGATGCTTTCCAAAGTGACTGTATCATTTTTCATTCCCACCAGCATGTATGAGGGTTCCAATTGCTCTACATCCATGCCAACACTTGCTATTATTTGTCTTTTTGGTGACAGCTGTCCTGGTGAGTGTGAAGTGGTATCTCAGGGTGGTTTTGACAAATGTTTCCCTATTAGCTAGTGATGTTGAGCATCTTTCATGTGCTTATTTTTATGTTTTTGAGACAGGGTCTCACTCTGTCCCTCAGGCTGGAGTGCAGTGGCGCCATCTTGGCTCACTGCAACCTCTGCCTCCTGGGTTCAAGCGATTCTCCTGCCTCAGCCTACCAAGTAGCTGGAATTACAGGTATGTGCCACCATGCCCGGTTAATGTTTGTATTTTTAGTAGAGAGGGGGTTTCGCCATGTTGGCCAGGCTGGGCTCAAACCCCTGACCTCGAATGATCTGCCTCCCCCTCAAGTGCCTCCCAAAGTGCTGGGATTACAGACGTGAGCCACCGTGCCCTGCCTCCTGTGCTTATTAACCTTTTGTATGCTTTCCTTCAGAAGTAGGTATTCAGATCATTTGCTCATTTTAAAATTGGATATTTGTCTTTTTATTTTTGAGTTGTAATAATGTTTTATAGATACTAGTTCCTTATCAGATATATGATTTACAGTTTTTTTTCTCCCAGTCTTTGGGTTTTCTTTTCAATTTCTTTATGGTGTTCTTTGATGCACAAAAGTTTTTAATTTTGATGAAGTCTAATTTATCAATTTTTTTCTTTTGTTGTTCTGCTTTTGGTGTCACATCTAAGATAACTTTGCGTAATCCAAGGTCATGAAGATTTATGCCTATATTTTCCTCTAAGAGTTTTTTTTAGTTTTAGTTCTGAAATTTTACGTCTATAATCCATTTTGAGCTAATCTGTTTGTATGGTGTAAGGAGAAGGTTCCGTTTCATTCTCTTGCAAGTGGATATTCAGTTGTCCCAGTACCAGTTGTTAATCCCATTAACTTTACTATTATATGGTATTGGAAACGTATGGAAAAATTTGTATGACATTCTCCCATTTGTTTTGTGGGTATATTCTTTTCAAAAGATTACTGTATGTTATTTTGTCGAGGTTTCTGGATATATCATGGGGATGCCAAGATAAACATGTGTGTTCATTCTGCCAAGTTAATTAGTGTGTCTGGTTCCTGAGGGGATTTCAAAGCTGGGATGTATAAACACATATGTCCAATCTGCCATGATCAGCTGGAATTGTCTACTTGCTTAACACTTATTTTCCCTGTTAGACTGAAGTGGCTTCCAGCCTCCGTTACCATTCCAGTGTTTAGCACTGCATTGAATAAATTGAAAAGGACAAACTGAATGAATGATGGAGCAAGGTCAGAAGAGTCGGTGGGTGTGGAGAGGATCACAGAATATCCTTGGATAGAAGGAGGGACACCATGTCTCCTGGGACTAAAAAATGATGAGAATGCATTCAGATACAGATTAGACAGTCAAGAAAGGAACACATAACACATGGGGGCAAAACATGGGGAATATGGGACTTCCCAAGGCTTTTCTGGAGAGAAGTTTGCATGGACAGACTTGGGATCCTCTGCAGTTGTGTTCTTGAAGGCCCAAAGTGGCTGCTCCTATGTACATTTTTTTTTTTGAGACAGGGTCTTGCTCTGTTGCCCAGGCTGGAATGCAGTGAACATGGCTCACTGCTGCCTCCTGGGCTCAAGCAATCCTCTTGCCTCAACCTCCTGAGTAGGTGGGACCACAGGCACGCACCACCATGCCTGGCAAAATTCTAAAAAATTTATTGTAGAGATGGGGTCTCGCCATGTTGCCCAGGCTGGTCTCAAATTCCTGGGCTCAAGCAATCCTCCATCCTCAGCCTCCAAAAGGGTTAGGATTACAGGTATGAGCCACTGCACCCGGCCCTGATTTACTTTTACGTTTTTTTTTTAGAGATGAGGTCTTGTGCTGTCACCCAGGCTGGAGTGCAGTGGCGCGATCATGGCTCCTGCAGCCTTGAACTCCTGGGCATGAGCAATCCTCTTGCTTCAGCCTCCTGAGTAGCTGGGATTATAGGCACAAGACACTGCATCCAACTACTTTTCTTTGTCCTAAAATGAGTGTATTTTGTGGGCATGTCAAAAGACTTATTGAACTTTATAAACTAGTTTTCTTTTCTGAATTTGACTAGTTCTCAACTTCTTCCTAAAGCATTTGCTAGTAGAAGAGTTTAGAAAGACAAAGTGCAGGCATTTTGAATCAGACAAAACTGGTTTCAAATAGTTTTTCCAACTACTGTGTGACCTGGGAAAATTTCTTACTCTTTCTGAGCCTCAGTTTTCTCTGCTGTGAAATGGGGACCATAATATTACTCACCCCATTACTCATCCCAAGATCAGTGTTTAACTAAATGAGTTAATATGTGTAAAGCTCTTAAATTGATGCCTGTTATACAACACCATGCTCAATTAAAAACTTTATCTAATTTAACTCTCCAAACCAATACTCTGGATTGTCTTCTTTTGAAACCACATCTCAGTTTCAACTTCTGGCATCATCTTCTCTCCACCCCTTCAGCCTTCTTTCTTTTCACCTATGTGAATATCAAGGTAGATTTCTATGTGTGATTGAGTCAGGGATAGGTCAAAGATGGACTTTTTCATCTTTCTGCTGTTCTTTGGGCCTTAGCAGCTATGCTTTTAGCCATTGACAATTTTGAATCTGAAGCATTATGCCATTTTCAGCTATCTCTAGCTTTTTTTTTCAAGTGAAGTTAATTATAGTTTTATAAATTAAAGTCATAGGACTAATTTTCACAGTGTTACTTTTAAGTATCTGGAAAATAATAGTCATTTCTTTATTTAACAGACATACACAAAAGAATGGGCTGACATTCTAAACCACAAAAGTAAGCATGTGGAAGAAGCTGTCAGAGAACTTATATCAATATTTGAGCAGATTTATGAAGTGAAATACACTGGGAAAGTAGGAAAACAGTCAGGTAACTTTTCTCGTTACTGTGTTTGAATTACAAGATCTACAGATTCGTTCTTATGTAAGCACCTTCTGCTTAGCAGGTACTGAATTCCAGACCCTCCCTTCCCCAGAAGCAAAGAAGGTGTTCAGCATAAATCACATTGTTTGTACCAACAGTTTAAGCCCAGAGAGTTCTTTTTGTTAGTTCGGGAATGGTGGGAACCCCTCTCAAATCCAAGTTCCCAACCCCGGTCCAGCGTTGCAAGTTGGCCTTCCTATGGATAGCAGTCTCAGGCCTGCTATGCTAACTCTATTTTTTTTTTTTTTTCTGGTGCAGCATTCTTATCAAGTCACTTTGACTATTTGATTTATTTTACTTTTTTTTTTTTTGAGAAACATAAACCAGGAAAAGGTAAATTCTATAATTTTCTTGAATCTGGAAAACTTAATCTGGGTGAAACCATGTTTTAAGACTTTTTTTTTTTCTTTTCCTAGATCCTTCTCTGTGTAGAGTAAGCTATGAATTCCTACTTACAACTATCTTTGGGGTTTGGGTACAGATAAATGGTACCCAGTTGAAGAGTGCACTCTCAAGGAAGAAAACATGATATGGAAGCATGTATTCTCCACCATCCATTCCCCCTCCCATGATTAAAGGATGCCCTAAAAGGCTCCTAACTTTTGATTCTGCCCACACCCTCATAACCTTCATTCAGTTGGCTTGACTGGGACTAAGAGAAACTTCCTTACTTCATCACATCTGTTCAGGCAAATTTGTATGACAAGGTGCCTGCATTATTTAAAGTGGATGAAATAATTTTTACCCTATTGAATTTCCTGTTATCTCAATAGGTTCTAATAGTTTCAGTTTTATTAATAAGCCCGAGAGAGAAGCTGTTGAATTTGAATCCCCTTTATCAGGGGCAGGGAATTTTAAGAAAAGATTCCCTAGTAGGGGAGTGTTTTGCTTCCTAGATTATGGTTTAAGAACACGGGACTTTTAGCTTTGCTCAGATTATTGTCCTGTCCTAGATATAACAAATCTTTGGATAAATTGGAAGAGAAAGACATATTTCATTTTAAAGTTTTGTTTTCAAGCTCTAAATAAGAACTGATTAGGTAAAACTTTGTAGTTGGAGGTTTTACTTGTTAGTATTGTAAGGGGATGTGCCTGTCAGTCACGATCCCTGTTTACTACGCACCTGCTCTTCTCCCCAGCTGCTGCTCAGGGAAGTAGTGTGAGGCTGGCTTCGAGCAAGGCTAGCCATTGACTGCACCAGTAGTAGGTCACTGACACAGAGTGTGCCACCCAGACTCTCGAAGGAGACCTGAGAGATGGCACTGCCTTACAGGGATGAAGTTAATTAGCTAATTACCAACATATTTGAAGTAGGGAATCTGTGGGAAGCTGGCTTTTTGGAGTGAGAGAACATTCCAGTCAAGCAGAGATCCCATGAAAGTGACATAGCAAGAAGAGAGAGAGAGAGAGAGAGAGAGAGAGAGAAAGAGAAAACTGTGCCTGGAACAGTGGTTCTTAATGGGACTGGAAGGGATTTTGCCCCCAAGGGAATATTTGGCAAGGTCTGGAGACATTTCAGTTGTCACACAGTGTGTGTGTGTGTTGGGGGTGGCCGGGGGGGAGGGGGTGGGTGTTGCTACTGGCTTCTGGTGGATAAGGGCCAGGGATGCTGTTAAACATCCTACAGGACAGCCCCCAGCAACAAAGAATTGACCCACCCAAGATGTCAGTAGTGCTGAGGATGAGAAAGCCTCAGCCTAGAATGAGTATGCACATCACATCTTTCCTCTTAGAGTTTTTCCACTTAGTTTAATTAGTTTCATCACAAGCGTCAAAAACACAAAAATATTATTTCAGTCAAGTTGGAAAACTCAAAAGATAGACAGATAATTTACAAAGATAATAGGTAAAACTCTCTTAAAACTTTTCTGAATTCTAGATTGTATATTTACAGAGTGTATTTCTTAGTAGAATGACAATTCTATTGAGGTGGATAATTTAAATTGAATTCAAGGATGACTCCTAGAGGAACAAATGCGAAAAGCATTTTTCAAAAAACAGTTTTAAAAGTAAGAGCTTTTTAAAAAGGAACTTCCTAAGAGGATTTGGCCATGTAGAATACAGACAATGCTAAAAAGTCAAATGTTATATTTTTGTTTTGTCTTTTGTCTATAGAACAGCGGAAACACGTTGTTTTTGGAAGTGAAACAGGAGAGGGTGAAAACAATGACTATGAAGCTAATATTGTGAATGAGTTTGATACTCATGATAAAGAAGATGAATTTAAAAAGGTATTTATTGTGGAACAACTTCATGCAATTCACAGAATTATGGTTTATAGGATTATAGATAACCCCATATGGTGCTTTTTCCAGGCAGTTCTGCAACCAATCTAATTTCTAACAAAATACAGAAAGTATAATTTTCAATTTTATACTGTAGGATCAGGCAATCCTTTAAGTTTTCCCCAGTATCACAGCTTTTGATGTGATTCTGTCAATTACAGTTTATGTAGTCACCTCTCCTCATTGTGATTGACCATGTTTTCTCATATAGTAAATGTGACGTCAGGGATTGGAGCAGCTGATCCGTTTGACTCAGAATGGAGAACTTTGTTCTCAGTTGTTGTGTTTAATGGTTATCTGTATTGCAAGTCCAGATTGTGGTTCACTTGGGGCTCAGGGATCTGCATTTTAAACTAGCATTATGGATGACCACTCTGGACTCTCCCCCAGGAGAAGCCCTAGATAGGCAGATTTTCACATTGAGTTGAAATGTGTTGAGAATGAAGGTTCAGAAGGGGGACTGGGGTTTCTTTTTCCTTCTTAGTCCTCACCCTTCTGGTCATGCATGAGCTCTGAATGTCACTGTCACATTTGCACTCATTCCTGCTTTCTCCTCCCCGGGTCAGTTTTCTTTTAATCCTTCATACCCACCTTCTTTTCATTCTTTTTCTATTTTACCCACTTTTACACAATCTGATGCAGTTTTAGAAATAAACAGCACCCATTTATTCCACTTTCACCTTCTTGCTCAAGGATGATATTGCCAGATAATTGGGAAACACTTTTCTGCAGCATCTAGATTTCTGCAGAGTTTAGGCTTCTCAGTACCATGCACCAGGCAGCTGTTAGCAACCAGCAGGTGTCAGCTGGAGCACTCCCCTCTCAGAAGTGCCTGTCTTTCAGTTGCATTACCTTTTGACACTGGCTGAAGTCCTTAGAGCATGACTGAGTACCCTCAGAACCTCTCCAGTTGGGGGATCACTGGAGCTGTGCTAGTGGTCACCTCATAAATAGCCTCTGCCTCGCAAATTCATCTCTCACATTGCTGCCAGAACGGTCTAACATAAAAATCTGATTATGTTCAGGAGGATGAGGCAGGAGAATGGCGTGAACCCGGGAGGCAGAGCTTGCAGTGAGCCGAGATCGCGCCACTGCACTCCAGCCTGGGCGACAGAGCAAGACTCTGTCTCAAAAAAAAAATAATAATAATAATAAAAATCTGATTATGTCACATCTGTGCTTTAGCTTGATAGTTCACTAGCCCTGACTGTACCCCACTGCCACATGGAAAATCTTGATATTCCTCTTTGTTCATGCCTTATTACTCTCTCTTCTGCCTCACCAACCCAGTCTCAGAGGGGCCGGGTTCTAGAGCAGTGAGGAACAGTATGGCCAGAGCCTTGCCCCGATGTATGACTCATTGTGTAAGCAAGACATGGGCCCACATCTCTGCCTACCAGGCTCAAAACCTGTCCTGTGCTCTGATCAATAAACTTGGCTACTTCTCCCAAGGGAAGGAAGGGTGTGGAGAGAGGGTCAAACCGCTGTCCCAGAGGGTGGAATTTTCATCTCATATATTTGAGTATTGCACATTTTAAAATACATTTATCCACCAAGCTGAGCTTCTTGAGGATGGAGACTAGTTATCTTCTTGTGCCCATGCCGTTAATCATTGAGAAATGTACCACATTTAAAGTGCTTCAATTTTGTTAGGTGAAAATTGAGTATTGAGCAAGCCAGGATTACTCTGAACATACTGTTTGTGAATTTTGGTTTTTGAATAAGTCCCTCTGGTTTGCTAGGGTGTTTATGCAAACACATTTTTCATGTATTCTTATTTGTCTAAAAAAAACAGACAAGTAATTTAGGACTGAATTTATTTCTACAATATCATTGAAATTGTATAGTTTATTATTTGTTGCCTTTCACATGCCACATCTAATATTCTGTCATTGTTTTGGGGATGCTCTAGGTTTTTTGGAGGAGAGATACCAAATTTAATCTGATTTCTTATTACAGGAGTGTAAAGAGGTCTTTGCTTTTTTCTCTCATCAATTACTAGACAGTCTTCAAAAAGCTACACGGTTATCTCTGGACACAATGAAAAGAAGAATATTTGTTGCAAGGCAAGTTGAAAATATGCTAATTATGTCTGGTAATCATACTTATAATGTGAATAGCACCTCTTATAAATTTATTAATTAAAAAAACTATAAAATTTAAAATATAGCATTCATTAAAAGACTGTATGAAAGTATTTGTGTAATACTGCAAGAACTGTAGTTAAATGAACACCCATATTCCCAACACCCTGCCTGAGACAAAAAAAGGCTACCAGTCCCCTCATGGGTCCTCTCCCTTCTCACCTAAAAGTAACCACTATCCTGAACTTGGTGTTTATCATTGTCTTGGTTTTCTTCACAGTTTACTATGCTTTTGTATCCCCAATCCACGTATCATTTAATTTTGCCTGTATTTGAACTGTGCTTGGTATAATGTTTTTGAGATTCATCCATGGGGTATAGTTTTTTACACTTCTATGTAGTTGGAGTATACGTAGTCTGTTTATCCATTCTACTGGTGATGGTGATTTGGGTTGCTTCAGTTTTTGCTATCATGAATAAAGCTTCTGTGAGTACCTGCCACCTGTTGCACCTGCTAGGAGTGGGTTTGGTGGGTCCTAAGGTATGTGCATGCCTCATTTTACCAGGCAGCACATAGTGAGAGTACCCATGGCCCCTCATCCCTACAGACAGTATTATTCGGTTAAAAAATTCTTGCCAACATACAGGGTGTGAAATGGCATCTCATCAGGATTTTGGTTTGCATTTTCCTGGTTACTGATGAGATTAAATATACTTTCTTGTGTTTATGGGCCATTTGTTGTTTCTCTTCCTTAAAAGTTGTGTTCCTAGTTCAACCACTGTGGAAGACAGTGTGGCGATTCCTCAAGGATCTAGAACCAGAAATACTATTTGACCCAGCAATCCCATTACTGGGTATATACCCAAATAATTATAAATCATTCTCCAATAAAGACATATGCACACGTATGTTTACTGTGGCAATGTTCACAATAGCAAAGGCTTAGAAGCAACCCAAATGCCCATCAGTGATAGACAGGATAAAGAAAATGTGGCACATATATACCGTGGAATACTATGCAGCCATAAAGAAGAATGAGTTCATGTCCTTTGCAGGGAAATGGATGAAGCTGGAAACCATCATTCTCAGCAAACTAACACAAGAGCAGAAAACCAAACACCGCATGTTCTCACTCATAAATGGGAGTTAAATAATGAGAACACATGGACACAGGGAGGGGAACATCACACACCAGGGCCTGTCAGGGGGTGTGGGGATAGGGGAGGGATAGCATTAGAAGAAATACCTAATGTAGATGACGGGTTGATGGGTGCAGTAAACCACCATAGCATGTGTATACCTATGTAACAAACCTGCATGTTCTGCACATGTACCCCAGAACTTAAAGTACGATTAAAAAAAAAAAGAAAAAAAATTGTGTTCCTTTTTTGGCCTGTTTTTCTATCGAATTGGATTAATTCATAAGTATTCTTAGTATATTACATTATTGATGATAATATAACAAATGTCTTTTGTCAGTTTTGCCTTATCTTTTCATTTTCTTTATTAATTTTCATTTTCCATTGCTGAGTTTTAAAAATATTCAAATTTATCAGTTTTAGTGATTTGTGATCTGTTTAAAGAAACCAACTCTTCCCTACTTCATAATGTCTTCCAAAACTTTTGTAGTTTTGACCTTTATATTTAGGGTTTTAATTTACATGGTATTGATTTTTATGCTTAGTGTGAGGTAGCAAATTAATATATTTTTTTCCATATGGTTAATTAGTTGACCAAGCAAAAGTTGTTGAAAAATCAACTTACTTGTGAGGTCAGGTGGGGGAGTTATTTAAGTTGCATTGTATCTATAGATCAATTTGAAGAGAATTAGCATCCTTACAAATATTGAGTCTTCTATTCAGAATTATGTATTACCTCTTCATTGATATGTCTTCTTTAATATCTCTCTGTGACGTTTTATAAATCTCTGTGTAAAGGTCCTGCACATTTTTGTTAGATTTATTCCTTGGCTATTCATTGCTGATTTTTAATTTAATTGTACTGTTCAATTCTCCCAGTGTGATTGTGGATTTATTAAACTTTCCTTTTGTTTCGGTCAGTTCTTGTTTTATGTATTCTATGGCTGTGTTGTTAGGTGCATACAAGGTCGTAGTAGCTAAACCTGCTTAAGAGCACTTTTCCTTTTATTTTTATTTGGCAAATCCCTTTATCTGTATTAATTCTGATTCCTCACAATTTAGTTTGTCATTACTTTACCAACCTTTTTTGTGTAATTGTTTCAGTCTCTTTACTTAAGCCTTTCTCTGTACTTTTTAGTTTTACCTCTTAAAAATATTTTATACCTGATAATTTTCCTTCAGTCTCATTATTTCTGTCTTAGTGAGTTCAATTTGTTTGCATTTATTGTGATTTTTGATATAGTTGCACTTAATTTATGACATTTTATTTTGTGTTTTCTTCTCAACATTCTTTTTCTTTGATTCATTTCATTATGACTGTTGTCTTTGCGGTGGATAATTTTCACCATTTATTCTCTTTTCTGTACTTCAGTTCTTTAAGTGATTACCCTTAACTTTAGAATGCACATATTTTGCTCCAACTAAAAGAAGTACTGGCCAGGCGCAGTGGCTCACCTCTGTAATCCCAGCACCATGGGAGGCCGAGGCAGGCGAATCACTTGAGGTCAGGAGTTTGAGACCAGCGTGACCAACATGGTGAAACTCTGTCTCTACTAAAAATACAAAAAGTAGGCAGGTGTGGTGGTGCACGCCTGTAGTCCCAGCTGCTAGGGAGGCTGTGGCAGGAGAATCGCTTGAACCTGGGAGGTGGAGGTTGCAGTGAGTCAAGACTGTGCCATTGCATTCCAGCCTGGGCAACAGAGTGAGACTCCATCTCAAAAAAAAAAGAAAAAAGAAAAAGCACTGTCCTTAGTTTTGCAGTTTTCTAGTCTTATTTCTGACTACAAGGGCCTTGGCAGGCTTTACTCACTGAACTGTACATATTTTATTCCTGTTTGATGTTTTAGTTTTACTTTTTTGTAAACACTCAAAAATAATATATTAAAATAATTTATTTACTGGCATAATTTATTAAAATCTCCAGGTTCTCATGTAGTTTTTTGTATCCCATTGGTTCTTTAGTGAGGATCTGTGAGAGGTAGACTCTTTTATCCTTTTTTGTAAGTCTGAAAATGTTTTGCCCTCATACTTTCATAACATTTTGGCTGGATATAAAATTTTTCTTTGTCTTTTAGTACTTGGAAAGTATTTCTTCATTTTTTTCTGAGTTTTGTTGCTGCTGATGAGAAGTCTGCAAGAGTCTAACTGAATATTCTCTTTTAATCCTTAATGTTTCTGCAGTTTTCTTTACCCCGTGTGGATTTGTCTTTATTTAATCCTGCTTTGTTCTCAGAGTGCACTTTCTATTTGAGGGTTTATAGCTTTCCTTAATGCTAGAAAAAACCTCAGCAATTTTCCCTTTAGTTATTGCTTCTAGGATATTCTTTCATTGTCTTCTTCTGGAACTCCTATTAATTGAATGTTGGGTAGAATGACCACATAACTTATTGTTCCAACTATGGAACTTTTGTGAGTGAAGGAGCACTGTCCAGATGAGGTGCCAGGACACAGTGAATCTGGAACTGTCCTGGGCACACTGGACATGTGGTTATTTCATATGTTGGGGCTTCTCATTCTCTTCTCGTTGTCTCCTAATGACTCTGTCATCTATGTTATCTTTTTGCCTTTCTGAACTACATTATGGGCAGTATCTCTGTATCTATTCTAAAGATTTTGTCATCTGTGGCATCTTAAATATTTCAAGAAAAAATACTTTTTCCTTATCCTCCAGATATGGTATTATTTCTGCCTTTTTAGTTTAGCAAATTTTTTATTTTTTTGGAAGAGTCTTCATATATCACTGAACATTTTCCCTTACTTTAGAGCTTGTTATCTGGACATTAATTTTTATCTAGAGTGAGTTTCTGTTTCGTTTTTGGATTTCGTTAGCTCTCTTTCTTACCCTTAGACATATTCACGCATACTTGGGTTTTAATGTGCAGGCTCTCTTTGAGCGAGAGCTTTGTTTTTGTGTTTCTTTTTCCTTCTCTCTCTCCCTATCTATGAGTTTCACTTTTGCCTCTAAATGACACTTGGAACCCTGAGTACAGAACCAGGTCTTATTTCTTCACAGTTACTGGCCCCTGGAGAGATACTGGGGGTATGGCAGGTTTGGCTAGGGAGCACACGGGTAGCCTAACTTAGTTACTTATCAGGGAATTTGTGGATGTGCTTCTTTTGCCCCAGGTCTGCATCTCCTGGAAAAGCCATAGCTGCAGGAAGTAAGTTGACGCATTTTGTCTTGCAGCATCATCTGCAAGACAGATGGGAGAGCATCATCTTAGTTTTTGGCCTTAAGTAGTGAGGCTGGCCGAGGCCCCATCCCTCATTGAGTCCTGTCCATCCTCTATATTCCACCAGAGCCAACCTCCCCACGGTCACTGCCTCTTTCCAGCCCGGAACCCTGGCTAGGCTGTCCTTGAGTTTCTCTCCATTTCTACTTCATGGAGATGCTTACCTTGTATTTGAGCATTCTCATGTCCTTTATCTCCCATCCATGATTGTGATGAGTTTGGCAAAAAGAAGCTTTTTTGAAGTATGAACTCACTATGCTACATTGATTTACAAGTTCTGCGGCAATTTAGCAATTTTTGAGGAGGCATACATGAGGATAGTACTAAAAACCCTTACTTGTCTAAAATGTCTTTCTCTTATGCCCACACACGAACGCTAGCTTGGTCTTCTGGGATCAGAATCCCTTTCTGTCACGCTCTACAGAGGCTGCTCCATTGGCTTCTTTGGTTTCAGTTTTTAGAGGAGAGTTCTGCTGCGAATCCGATTTTCCTTTCCAACTAACAACTTGTATTTGTTTTGATGCTGACAGGATTTCTCTTTTATTCTTGAAATTCACAAATTGTATGTTTAGATGCAGGTGGATTTCCCCCCATTAATCCTGTCAGGCACCTAGAGAATCTCTTGAAGATGAAAAAAAAAAGCCTATTCTTAAGGTTAAAGGAGTGCTTTGCTTTAATTTCCCATATCTACACAGTATTCACGTGCCGTATCTAGGTAGTAAGCATCTCTGAGCGGAGTGACTCTCTGGAAATTACTTAGCCTCTCCCTACCTTGGTTTCCTTATCTACAATATGGAAAGAATAATAATCGTAGGGTCTGCCTCACAGAATTAATGTGAACATGAACTGGTAATCTATGGAAAGTGGCTGGCATACATTAAAACATTCAATAAATGTTACTTATTCTTACCTTTTCTCTAAGTATTTTCTCTCTCTTTGTATTTTGCACCTGAAATTTTGGAGAATACCTTCAGCTGATTCTCTAATTTGCTATATAAGGTACCAAATGATCTAGTGCACTGTTCACTGCCTTTATTATTCAACTGTTCCTTTATACTTTATGAAAACTCTTTCTTATTCTCAAATTACACACTTTGAATCAATGCCCACACTAATTTTATTGCAACATCTTGAATTTCACTGGGACACTATGAATTGAGGGGTTTTGTTTGCTTGCTTTCTTTTTGTTCAGTCCTTTCCAATAATACGTTTATCTGGGAACCATTGGCCCTGAGTGCTAAAAGTTGGGTCTTCACTTTTGAACTGTGGCCTCTATGTTTCTTGTGATCCCCTCCCACCCCCCATCTGCTTGTATTTAGAAATGGAGGTGTAAGTTTTCAGTAATGACGGTATTTCTTGCACTCCCAGAGAAAAAGAGAATGGACAGTTTACATTTATTATAATTTTGCCTGGGATAGGGGTGGAGGTTAAGACAGAGGGAGCTATGCTAGCCAGACTAATTTGCAGCTCTGCATGTGTCCTTCATAACTGGACTCAGGCGTCTGTGCTGCTGTCTGTGCATGAGTGATATTGTTTAACAACGCGGTTTTTGGAAAGCATGGACCAGAAACTTCCTGTTTAATCTTGTGAAAATATAGATAAAGAAGCATATAAAAGTATATGCTGGTGATCTCATCTTGTATCTGTTGCAGGGCTGGGAACAAAGAATGCCTTTAGTAAACATTGTTAAAGGTTATTACTGAGAAAGAACAACATTAAAATAGTAGAAAATGTATATGAGATTACTATTTTACTTCTAAGACTATTGGGTCATTGTATTTTCTTAGTTCTCTGCAATTTAGGGTTCTGTTATAAGTAATATTCTCTTTGTGTAATTTGGCCTTTTAAAAATGATCTTTATTGTTCGGACTGAATTTTGTAGCATAATAAACTAACAATGAAATTTTAGGGTAAGGTTCATCAGCTAAATGTCCATCTCATTGCAGCCTTTATGGGCGAAAGCAGTCAGAAGATATTATTTCCTTTATAAAAAGTGAAGTACATCTTGCAATTCCTAATGTGGTAAGTATTATTAAATACACTGATAATTTGATAAGGTGCTTAAGAAGTATAGTACTAGAACTGAGCTTTCATTTAGGTAACATTTTGGTCCTATGTCTTTTTTCACTTTCCCTCACTATTTAACAAATTGGAAATGTCATTTATATCTGTTATGAAAAAGCTACTTCTGGGATGGGTGCAGTGGCTCACGCCTGTAATCCCAACACTTTGGGAGGCCAAGGCGGGTGGAGCACCTGACGTCAGGAGTTTGAGACCATCCTGGCCAACATGGTGAAACCCCGTCTCCACTAAAAATACAAAAATTAGCCAGTTGTGGTGGTAGGTGCCTGTAGTCCCAGCTACTTGGGAGGCTGAGGCAGGAGAATTGCTTGAACCTGGGAGGTGGAGGTTGCAGTGAGCTGAGATCATGCCACTGCACTCCAGCCTGGGCGACAGAGCAAGACTCTGTCAAAAAAAAAAAAGTTACTTCTGTATTAGCTCATGATGTATTGAAGGACTCGTGAAAGAATTGAGTTAGGCATCTGTTCTGCCAGCAGTTAGCAAGCACCCTACAAATTGCCTTGCTTTTTCTTACTTCAGACATTAAATTATCTAAATAAAATCATCACAGTTGTCCAGATCCCTACCTCAAACACATGACTGTGAGGCAACGCACTAAGGTAAGGATGGCAGAAGAGAAAGACAAAAAGAGCCTGTGCCCTGAGCATCTGAATCACCCGTGTCTTCCCATGGCACTTATCTTTACAACTACCCCAGCTGCTGATGGGCATCTGGAACTCCAAGCCACATGGGATGGCTGAGCTGCATTCTGCGATGGGTCAAAGGATAAGGCCAGGCAGAAACGGTCCGTGACTCACCTAAAACCACCTTTACATGGTCTGACCTCCTGAAGGATACCTTCTTAGCTTATTTGGCACATTTCAAAGAACTGAGGTCAGAATCTTGGTGGTGTAGCTTCTTCAGTTACTTTGTTTCATAGATCTCTAACACATAGTCTGTAATTTCCCACTGCATTCTGCCACCCTCATGGGGAAAAGGATGACAAGTACTAGTTTGACCTTTTTAACAAAATCAAAATGTCATTTCTATCTGTTATTAAAAAGTTACGTCCGCATTAGCTCGTGGTGTAATGAGGCTTGCAGGAATCGATAGCGGGAAAACTTCAGGATAGAGAAAATCTGCATCCTCCCCATCTTCCTCTATCATTCTCCCCCTCAAATCAGCCTTGCACTGGGCCAGCCGAGGCTTGCCCCACTCAGTGGGGAATGGAGGTGGTGAAAATTGAGGGATGGACTGTATGTGCCGGCAGTATTACACATTTGTTTCTTCTTTCCACAGGTGATGATTCCTAGTTTGGATGACATTCAACAAGCCATTAACCGTATGATCCAGTTAACCCTGGAGGTCAGCAGAGGAGTGGCTCACTGGGGGCAACAGCAAATCCGTCCCATCAAGTCTGTCATTCCCAGCCCCACCACTACTGACGTGACCCATCAAAACACAGGAAAACTGCTGAAGAAGGAAGAAAGTAAGAATGTAAAATTAGTCAATGATCTTACTGATCCTTTTTGGATTTGATAGCATATAGATTTTTAAATTATTTTATATGTTTGATACCTTTTGCATTTAAAAAATAGTATGTTTCATCTTAAACATAACGTGCAGGCATTTTTTCCTGGCTTTGGGTGGTGGGTGAAAAGGATTTTTAAATCACTTTTCTACTATGATGATCTTAAGTTAAAAATTAAAATAAACCTTAGCACTAATTTTACTTTCTGCATGATAGTAGGTTGGATAAACTTAAGGTAAACATAAATTCGTCACTTAAGTAGTTATGAATATGATATGATAGTGACCCAAAATGTTATGAACATTTTTTTGACACTTCCTGTATAGAAAGAAACTGGTTTCTTTTTTATTTTATTTTATTTTGTTTTATTTTATTTTATTTTATTTTATTTTAGTTCTAGGGTACATGTGCAGGATGTGTAGGTTTGTTACATAGGTAAACATGTGCCATGGTGGTTTGCTGCACCTATCAACCCATCACATAGGTGTTAAGCAAGCATGCATTAGCTATTTTTCCTGATGCTCTCCCTCCCTTCACCCCCATCCCCCACCAACAGGCTCCAGTATGTGTTGTTCCCCTCCCTATGTCAATGTGTTCACATTGTTCAGCTCCCACTTACAAGTGAGAACATGTAGTGTTTGGTTTTCTGTTCCTGCATTAGTTTGCCAAGGATAATGGCTTCCGGCTCCATCTATGTCCTTGCAAAGGACATGAACTCATTCTTTTTTTATGGCTGCATAATATTCCATGGTGTATATGTACCACATTTTCTTTATGCAGTTTACCATTGATGGGCATTTGGGTTGATTCCATGTCTGCTATTGTGAATAGTGCTGCAATGAACATAGGCGTGCATGTATCCTTATAATAGAATGATTTATATTCCTTCGGGTATATACCCAGTAATGGAATTGCTGGGTCAAATGGTATTTCTGGTTCTAGGTCTTTGAGGAATTGCCACACTGTCTTCTACAATGGTCGAACTAATTTACATTCCCACCAACAGTGTAAAAGCATTCCTATTTCTCCACAGCCTTGCCAGCATCTTTTGTTTCTTGACTTTTTAATAATTGCCATTCTGTCTGGCATGAGATGGTATCTCACTGTGGTTTTGATTTGCATTTCTGTAATGATCACTGATGTTGAGCTTTTTTTTATATATGTTTTTTGGCCACATGAGTGTCTTCTTTTGCAAAGTGTCTATTCATGTCCTTTGTCCATTTTCTGATGGGGTTGAGAAACTGGTCTCTTCAACTGGTCTCTTTAACTTTTTAATGGGGTTGAGAAACTGGTCTCAAAACTATGTCACTTCCACTGTGATGCAGGGAAAGGCAAATTGAAAATAACAAGATACCAGGTAAGGCCCAGTGTGGTGGCTCACGTCTGTAATCCCAACATTTTGGGAGGCCAAGGCAGGTGGATCATCTTAGGTCAGGAGTTTGATATCATCCTGGCCAACATGGCAAAACACTGTCTCTACTGAAAATACAAGAATATTAGCCGGGCATGGCGGCACACACCTGTAATCCTAGCTACTGGGGAGGCTGAGGCAGGAGAATCACTTGAACCAGAGACAGAGGTTGCAGTGAGCTGAGATTGCACCACTGCACTACAGCCAGAGCAACAGAGGGAGACTCCATCTCCAAAAAACAAAAAACAAAAACACCCCCAAGATACCAGGTAAGCTACACAACCAGGTGGCTCAGACCCCTATGGCACCTTTCTATGTTGCACTAACATTGCTTTCTCAGCTTACATCTGTGGTCTCATGGGGTGTTCCCTACAACCAGCTAATAAAGGATGAAAAATCTCAGGACTGGTCTATCTGAATTGGCTTGATGTGTTGGTGTCAGCTGAAAATGGACTTCTGTTTCACTACAGCCCACTCAGGAGTGGCCCTAAAGGAGAGTGAAAAGGGGAATTCCCCCCAGAGGGCAGAGCTTCAAGTAGTATACCTTTTTTATAAGGAGAGTGGTCTGAAGCAAAGATATACATGGACTCTTGGGCAGTGACGAATGGCTGGACTGATCATTCAGGACCTAGAAAGAGCAACTTTGGAAAATCAGAGGCAAGAAGAGCTAGGGAAAAAGCATGTGGATGTATCTATGAATTTACATAAAATACCTGGGAAGATAAATATTAGTTCCTTCAAGGGCTGATCATGATCTTGAAAGACACAATCCAATGCCATAATCTCAAATGTTGAAATCCCAAAAGATCAAAATCCAAAAAATATAATTCTGGAAAAAATAATTATTATTTTAATAAACAGTTCTTTTAAATATATTTATTTACATTTTTAAAGGGGGATTTGATTTTCAGAATTTTAGACATGGATTTTATACTTTCGGGATTTAGATTTTAGGGATTTTGAGCTTTTGGGATTTCTGAGATTATGGTGTTTGGGATTGTGTTTTCTGAGATTATGAATCAAACCCAGTTCTTTCTTCAGAGAGGTTAAATAATTTTTCCAAAGTCACAAACCTAATAAGAGGGCTGGGAATTAATCCATACAAGAAGATCAGTATCTAATTTTTTTATGTTTAGTCCAATGTTTGCCATTATTCTTTATTCTCTCCCTAGTCCATTCTATATATTTTTCTATTATTGTAGCAGGCTAAACATAAAACTATAAATTGTTAGATGCAAAAATCTCCTTGGACTTATCAACAATCTTGCAAATAAGAATTCTATTATCTGCAAAATTATCAACCAAGTACGATGTAAATAGACATTTTCAGACATGCAGTGTCTTTTAAAATGTACCATCAACACATGCTTTTCCATAAAGTTACTGAAGGTTGTAGTCTTCCAAAATAAGAAAGCAAAAGCAAAAGCAAAAAAAAAAAAAAAAGAAGATATGGGATATTGGAAACAGGAATAAAACACAGCAGACAGGTGAAGGGAATTTCAAGGTGAATGTTGAAGGGTGATTGTGCAGTGATAGTTATGTTCTAAGCATAGAGGGCAACCAGTGTGACTTAGGAAACAGGTGAGTTTTGACTGCTCTCAACAAATGCTGGATGCCGTTATATATACTGTCTTTTAACTTGAAGGCAGAATGCCTGGGTAAACCTGGTCTGTATTCTTGTCTGGACTTTCTTATTCTCACCATGTGCTGATGAAGTTGTTGCTCTACACTCATTGCTCTGGGTCAGCTGAGGAAACTTATTCATTCCTCAGAAGCGTTCTGCCTTGACCAACTACTGAGAACTGGAGGCAGGTAATTGTGATATAAGGAAATAGAGATTAGCTCACTATCCTGGCCATTTTCTTGCTGGACATTTATTACTCGGCTCACAAACACAGTGCTGCCAGATGCCCTGATTGTCATGACACATATATTTTCTAGGACTTATTTATGATCCTGCCCCATAGCTTCCCCCACAAAGGGCTTTTGTAAACTTGTAGAAAAGATGAAGCCAGACCAGTCCCAGAGACTCTTTTCTTGTAGGAGCCTTCGTCTCACATGAACAATTAATGTTCTTTCCTTTATGGCTAGTTTTGTGCTTACTGCTCAGCTTTTAAAAGGTGTTTAGGGATAAACATGTTGGTTTATTGTAAAGTTTATCTTCAAAGAAAATTCAGGATAATGGTTGCCTCTGGGGGTAAGGGCAGGGAATGGGATTAGAGAGGTACCTAGAGAGGACTAATCTATTGGTAACATTCTATTCTTAACTTGGTGGTGAGTACATTGGAATTCATTTTTCTTCTTATTTAATATACATTTTACCTATTTCTTGTGTTTTATATATGTTTCTGTAAGTATATTTCACTTACCCACACATAGACTTAAATACAGCCTCCTATCAAACTAGGAATAAGACAGATTTTCCAATAATGTCATCTGTAAAAATATTTAGAAGTATTGCATTATCAATAAAATGAAGAATAAAGAAGGAAGCCCACTATTATCATTTTTATTTGATAGTTTACTAGAGATCTTCATTATGAAATAAGACAAGAAAAAATGAGAAGAATTGGAGAGGAAGACTGAGATTGTCCTTATTTAAAGATTATATATAGAAAATCCAGGAAATCTAGAAATAATTGTTACAACCAATAAGTTCAGTAATGTTTATGTATAAAAGATCAACATACAAAACCCCCAGTATTTTTACATTTACCAGTAATACAATTAATGTATAATAGAAACACAGATTTTTTTTATTAGCCACAAACCATAAGGTATTTAACAAATAAATGTAAAAAAAATTTGCACAGCATTTTTGGAGAAAATATTACTGAATGAGATAATGGAAGACAAGAATAAGTCCACATCATGAAGAAGTCAATTCTTTGATTAATCTATAAATGTAATACAATTCCAAAGAAATCATAATAGATTTTTTTCTGTTGTCAACTTGATTTATAAATTTGATTGTAAAATTATATAGAAGTGAAAAGAGTTAAAAATAGCTGAGAAAAATTGGTGTTGAAGAAAAGCAAGGTAGGGGGTCCTGCCCTGCCAAATAGCAAGGAGTGTTACAAAGCCAGGCTAATGAGGACCGTCTTTTAGTGATCCAAAGATAGATAACATACAGCAGAACAGGACAGAGGGTGCAGAAATACTCATGTTTATGAAAATATATGGTATAGGTGGATTTACAAATCAGTGGAGAAAGAATGTACTATTTAATAAATGTGGCTAAGGATTTGTTTCCATGTGGAAAAAACTTACAGTAGTATCTTGAATTAGATACACATCATACCCGCTATTCTATATCCTATAACACTATTCCATCTATTTTACAACACTTTTAGAATAAAACAGCACAATATATTTAAACCACCAGGGTAGGGAAGGATTCTCAAGACATACAAAGCTCAAACCATAGAAGAAAAGATGTTTAAATTTGACTTCTTTATATCTAAAAACATCTTTAAAGGACTCTTAAATTTAAATGACCATGCTGAAGTCCATAATAAAATGTTAGCAAACTGAATCCAGCAGTGTATAAAAAGTGTTGTATAGTTTGACCAAATGAGGTTTATCCCATAAAAGCAAGGTTGGTTTAACATCCTAAAATACACCATATGAATAGAATAAAGGGAAAAAACTCATGATTATCTCAATAGACATAGAAAAAATATTTGACAAAATCCAATACCCTTTCATGATAAACATGCTCAGCAATCTGGGAATAGAATTGAACTTCTTCAACCTTATAAAAGGCATCATACTTAATGTTGAAAGCCTGAATTTTTTCCCCCTAAGATTAGGAACAAGTCAAGAATACTAGCTCTTACCACATCTACTCGACATTATAGTGGAAATTCTATCAAGTGGATTAAGATAAGTGAACTAAATTGAAGATACACAGATGGGAAGGGAAAAAGTTAAACCATCTTTATTAGCAGATGATATGATTTTGTATGTAAAAATAACCTAAGGAATCAACCCTCACACACACAAAAAAACCCCATTAGAACTAATAAATGAATTCAGTAAGACTGCAGGATACAGGATTAATATACAGATATCAACTATATTTCTAAATATTAGCAATGAACCATCTGAAAATGAAATAAAACAATTTAATGCACAAAAGCAAGGAAGAATAAAATACATTTAACAGAAGTATAAGGTCTGTACACTGAAACTGCAAAACATTGCTGAAAGTTATTCTATGAAGAGATACATCATGCTCATGGGTTGGAAGATCTAATATTATTAAACTGGCAGTTCTTCCCAAATTGATCTACAGATTTTATACAATCTCTATCAAAATCCCAGAAGACTTTTTTTGCGGAAGAAATTGATAAGATGATCCTAAAATTTGAATAGAGAATAGGGGAATTCAAAGGACCTATAATGGCCAAAAAAATTTTGAAAAAGAACAAAACTGGAGAACTTACCACTACTTGGTTTTATTTATTTAGAGATGGGGTCCCACTCTGTTGCCCAGGCTGGAGTGAGGTGGTGCAACCTCAGCTTACTGCAGCCTCTGCCTTCTTGGCTGAAGCAATCCTCCCCTTTCAGCCTCCAAGTAGATGGGACTACCGGCACGTGCCACCATGCTCAGCTAATTTTTGTATTATTGTGGAGATAGGATTTTGCCATGTTGCCCAGGCTGGTCACGAAATCTTGGACTCAAACGATCTCCCCGCCTGGGCTTCCCAAAGTGCTGGGATTCTAGGCATGAACCACTGTGCCCAGCCAGCTGGAGTCAAAATTTATCTTCAAAAGATGTATTTTCAAGTTAGCCCTCATTATTAGAACTGATGCTTAGTCCACATGTCTCCTGTCAGCCTGGCCACAATTCTTGTATTTTGGATTCTTTTATCTCTATTTGAATATGCATATAGTGAATATACATATAGTGATACACAGGCCGATTCCTCCACTGGCCGTCAAACAGCTAAAACTATAGGTGAAATTCTCTTTTAGGTTACTGTGAGGAGGGGCTTATCTCTATTTGAATATGCATATAGTGATTCTTCACCAAGAATCTTTGGGATCTAATTTCTTCAACCAGTTTATTTTAGGGTCATTTTTAGAGTAGGTGGATCTGCCTAGTTTTCAATTTGACACCCTAGAAAAATAAAAGCATTGGTGACTATTGAAGACTGTATCAAACTGAACAGTCTAAGAAAACTACACAAATACTGTATCAGTAAAAATACCAGGTTTAACAAGCAGGAAGCCAAGATGCCAGATGCTGAATATCTACAGCGCTGACCTTTAAACACCCCAGCAGAGGTTGTCTCATTTAATTCTCACAAGTATATCCACGAAGACTAAATACTTGGCCCAGGGTCATTTGGATAATAAATGTAATGTCTCTCCTTGAACCACTGCGCTATTCCTCAGGGTGGAAATTTCAACGCTTTTAACCTTTTCTTAAAGGACTTTAACATTTTGGGGTGTTTTAATCAGTGTCTTTCAGTTATCCTCTCCGAATAACAGTTCTTCTAGATTAAAGAAATCTAGAGCTCAAAATCTGACACCATAGTTTAATGAGAATACATGAAGATAGCAAGAGAATAGCTCTTAATTACTCAAAATAGCTCTTAGTTTCTTGGAGGGAGAATCTTTAAGAAAATACAGTTTGAAAAAGAATCACAAATATTAAAACTGATAATATTTAAAGTTGAATATAGAAGTTATTTATAGTGTAAAAACATCTGTTTTCAGGATCTTTTGAAGAAGCTATTCCTGCGAGGAAGCTGAAGAATTTTTACCCGGGGGTAGCGGAGCACAAGGATATTTCTAAGTTGGTCCTGCTCCTTTCTTCCTCTGTAAATTCCCTAAGAAAGGCAGCTCATGAGGCCCTGCAGGACTTTCAGAAGTACAAGACTCTCTGGACAGAGGACCGCGATGTGAAAGTGAAGGTGTCTTTCTGCTACTTGTGATGTTGTTTGGGTTTTGTTTGTCTCTAATTCTTGAGGGTGGACCAGGAAAATATCAGGGATAATGACAGGAACCCATGAGCAGAGGCCAAGAATCTATAAATACCAAGCACCTGTCACCTTCTAGCTGGTGTAATTCTCACATGGACACACTGAGGCAATTGATATTACTGAGGCTCAGACAGATTTTGTTCAATTTCCTTAAACAATTGAGTACCAATTATGTGCCACCACGGACTAGAGGCTAGGTATTCAAGGGTGCGTCACACTTATGTAGACCCAGCTGTATTTCGGTTAGAGACGCAAGGGAACTTTAGAACTCTGAATAACCATGCCCTGCAGACTGTGAAATTCCTCGCTTCCTGGTGGACACCCTATTTCTTACCCAGCCACTGGCCCCATTGCACACACAAGTGTAAATGTGTATGAGCAAATGCAATTTTCTAATGTAACTATGGTAAGATTTATACTGTTAAAAAATTAAAATATTGACTATTTTCTTACCACAGGAATTTTTGGCTAACAACCCCTCTCTGACTGAAATCAGATCAGAAATTCTACACTATGCTACTTTTGAACAGGAGATTGATGAGTTGAAGCCTATTATTGTTGTAGGAGCACTTGAATTACATACAGGTATTTTAAAAATGTTTATTATGTAAAGTATCTGTACTTTCACATGAAGTGTTACTTTATTTAGCAAGCAGTTATTAAGTTATCTTGGTACAATAGTATTATACCAAGATATAATAATAATAATATACCAAGGTTATAATAATAGTATTATACCAAGATATATTATAATATTATTATACCATTAAAAGTAATGGCAAAAACTGCAATTACTTTTGCACCAACCTAATATAAATGTTAAATAGTTCTGGGCCATTGATATTCTTTATACACACATCCGTAGACACACTACACAGGACGATTCCTCCACTGGCAGTCAAACAGCTAAAAGTATAGGTGAAATTCTCTTTTAGGTTACTGTAAGGAGGGGCTTGTATACATGAGATGGGACTCAAACAGTTTGAAGTCTGCCAAGAAGTTGATCCATTTGGGATTAGAGTATCAAAGGATGAGGAGACAATCATTAATGCTTGAAATAGAAAGATGACTTTATTGCTTGCTGTAGTGACAGAGAGCTGTACTGGTCAGGCACAGTGTACCTGGCAGGGCAGACTGCTAGTCTCATACAGGGTGTCTGGGCAGCATGGAGTTGAAGGACTGTGGACGTAGACAGGTTGACATCATCTGTAGAAGGATGCTTACTCAGGTGAGACTGTTGTAGGCTGATTGGCACTCAGAGGCGGGTTTATTGGAGTAAGTCTTTCTTGACTAGTTGACATTCAGAAGAAAGGGCCTGGCACTGATAGGGTTGTACACATATGAGAACTGATGTTGACTTGGTCTATGGTTTGGGTTTAAAGCTGGTTGTGGTGGCTCATTGTTACCATGGTTACATAACAATCAGTCTTATCCTAAGTTTGTGGAAAGATTTTATTCTCAGACAATATTTGAATGAGGTATTTTACATCCATTATCCACCTTAAGTAGATTTTCAGGTCTGTTATCAAGAAGTTAATGTAACTGTGGCTCTTGAATTTGGCCACTTGGGTTACTTGACCTCTTTAATCTCCATTTCCTCTGCTGATGAAAATGACAGTATCCACCTCACGAAATGCTTTATATGAGACGCTTAGCATAGTACCTGGCGTATGATTGATGTTGAATAAATATTAAATATTATTATTATATCTACCAAGGAAGTACTTGTGATTCTCTGAGGAAGAATCACAAGTACCAAAGAATTACAAGTACTTAAGGGGGACTATTTACCTGGAAATCAGAAACTATGCATCAGTGGCAATAATTACAAGAACTTCTGTAGCGTTTTGGAAACTGTATCTATTATTTTTTAAAAGTTCACATTTGTCTCCTCATAATGGTTAGCACTATGATCCACAATACAAAAAGCAACTGTAGTATACAGACAGAGTGCGCTGGGGAGCTTGTTTTTGGAGAGTGGCATCTAAAAATGGAAGAGGTGATGGTAGTTATAAAGAGAGGGGAGGGTGGGCTGAATCCCTAAGGCCTGAGGGAAAAGGGTCCCCTAGGGGATCTCATGAGATATGATCTCACAGCCTCAATCACCAGACTGGCTGCATGGTTGTTCTTGGGCCACGCTTTCTCCTCAGCTCCACAGGCCTCTTAAGTTTAATGGTTGGAAGGCAAGAGCGGTGCAGCCATGTTTCAAGCTTGGCAGAATTGGGGAGTGTAGGGGTACTGAGAGGTAAAAGGGGAAGGATTGATAAGGCAGAGTTGACTAGTTAGAGCTGTTTTGTTTTCAAGAAATAGAAACACATTTGAGCTATGTTAAGGGAGAAAAGGTTTATCCCAGAATCCAGGGTGCAACTGAGCCTTCAGAATAGACCAGAATCAGGGACAGTATAGGAAGCTGAGGAAGTTCTTTCTCTATGCCTCTCGTTTCTTCTTCCCTCTGTGCATGAGTTTTTCTGCTTCCCAGACTATGTGGCTCCTCCTCAAGCCTCATTTCAAACTCTCAAGAAAAGACTCTGATTGGTCCATAATATAGGTCATGTTGACCTGGGACAACTGGCTAGGTCCAGGGTCCAGGGTCAGGGTAGACGGATACTCTGACCATGTGGATGATGTGGTGAGTAGAAAAGCAAGAAACCTGTGAAGTCATGGCTTGACACACAAAACAATAGATTTCACTCCACCTCATGGGATCTCTCGAGAAAAATGCGAGAATGAATGAGGGCCGCTAATGGGATGGTCAGAAGAAGTGCAAGGGTCACACAGAACAGTGATAGAACTAATTTCAAAAATGCTCCCCCATGGGCTGTGGTGTCAAACTCATGCACATTTCCACGGGGATACATGCTCTGTGGGACAGGAATTAAGTCTTCAAAATCTAGTAACCTTATAGCACATGTAATTCATACTAACCACATTTCAAGTGTTCAAAAGCCACATGTGGTTAGTGACTACTGAATTGGACAGAGCAATTATAGATGCCCTTATAGTTTCAGAATGCCAGTTATATTCTAATTTAATTTCTTCTTGTCTTCATCAGAGCCGATGAAATTGGCCTTATCCATCGAGGCCAAGGCATGGAAGATGTTACTCTGTCGATATCTGAATGAAGAATACAAAAAGAAAATGTCATACATGATAGCATTTATTAATGAATACTTGAAAAAGTTATCTAGACCTATTCGTGATTTAGATGATGTCAGATTTGCAATGGAAGCCTTGTCTTGCATACGTGATAATGAAATTCAAATGGACATGACTTTGGGACCAATTGAAGTAAGAAATGATTGCATTTTTTTTTCTTGGAATGCTTTTTTGTTTTTTAAAGAAATAGAGACACACTAAGAAAGTGATTCTTTAACATATTCATCTATTATGTAGCACAGTCTGCCTATTTCTCGTCTCTGATGTTGATGTCTTTGGGAGAATTTTGGCAATTATCAACAGTGAACAGTATACAAAAGACACTGTTGTAATACAAAGGAATGTTAATATATTAATAATGCTATAGTGGGGTAGGTAGTGTTTAATTTTTGATACTGGCACCAACATTTTGTGGAAAGAAATAATTGTCCCTTGTCATGTCAATCCCAACATGTTAGGCAAGTTCTCCCAAGATCTTTGGCTTGCCTTAGAAACCAATTATAGGTCTCACTCATGAACGGTGGTGTACCACAGGCAGTATGGCAGAAACAGTTCCCTCAGGCTCCATAGTAAACTGTTGGAACTTACATCAATGAAAAATGTTTTTAGGAAACAGTATGAGTTTTCTATTGCTGCTATAACAAATCACCACCAACTTAATGGCTTAAAACAACACAGATCGTTTATTTTACAGTTCTAGACATCAGAAGTCCAAAAATGGATCTAATGGGGCTAACATCAAGATGTCAGCAGGGCCATGTTGCTCCTGGAGGCTCTAGGGGAGAATCCATTCCCTCCTTTTTCTAGCTTCTAGGGGCTGCCCACGTGTCTTGGCTCATGGTTGGTTCCCTTCTAGTGATGCCATCACTTCTACCCCCATTTCTGTCATTGTGTCTTCTCTCACACCTACTTTCCTGCCACACTCTTTCTCTTATGTGGACTTTTGTGATTACATCAGGCCCGCCTGTTAATCCAGGGTAATCTCCCCATGGCAAGCTCCTTAACATAATCATATCTGCAAAGTCCCTTTTACCATATAAGGTAATATGTTCACAGACTTTGGGGATCAGGACTTGGATAGCCTTGGTGAGTTTGTCTATTACTAATATTTAGAATGTTTTAGGACTAATATTATTTAGAATTTCTGATACATGGTGATAAAAATCAAGCTTTTGATTCTTTTTATTATTGGTTTTGTTGTCTATAAACAATGCACTGCCTCATTGCCTACAATATCTGGGGAATTGACACCACTACTGCCTCTTTATGGTACCCAATATTTATGACTGTTTTATGCTTTCTTGAACCCATTGAGAGTTTATACTCTTTGGTAGCTAATGAACTTTTTACTTTTACTGCTTTAAAAAAATCGTGGTATTTGGGGATTTTGGATGCTGACCAGCCAGACTTCAAGATATAATAAATTATTATATCAAATTTTCCCTGACTGCAAAAGCTTAATTCTTTACCAAACTTTTTTTTTTTTTTTTTTTTTTTTTTTTTTTTTTTTTTGGTGAAGACAATTACTGGTCATCCCTTGGAGCCTGGATCATTCAAGTTTCTTTTCTTTGGAGTATCTCCCACATCATTTCATTCTGTTCCTTGTATAGTCAACCCCTGTTTTAATACAGTCTGTATCTTACGTGGTGTTGACATAGGGTCAAGGAGGAAAAAGAGACATATACATCTCCATCAGAATCACCTAGGTGCTTATTAAATGCAGATTTCAGAGCCTGTGATCCAGAGTTAGTATCTGGTAGTCAGAATCTAAAGGTGCTTTTCATACACTTTTAATTTTGGAAACCACTTTTCTAGAACATGCTGTCTTCTTCTAAGACATAGGAATGTGTTTCTAGAAGGCGTCTAAATCATTTGGCAATGGCTTTCCCTTGTGATATTTCTAAACTCCACCTTCATCCTGCAGGAAGCCTATGCTATTTTAAACAGATTTGAAGTTGAAGTAACCAAAGAAGAATCAGAAGCAGTTGATACCTTAAGATATTCTTTCAACAAATTGCAGAGCAAAGCTGTAAGTATGAATTTAACTACATTATTTTTTCTTAAGTCACTATCTCCAGAAAAAAAAGGTATTTTATACCTTTTTAAAGCTTAATATACAGTCATGTGCCACATAACAATGTTTCAGTCAACAACAGACTGCATATACAACGGTGATCTCATAAGATTATAATACTGTATTTTTACTGATCCTTTTCTATATTTAGATACACAAATGCTTACCATTGTCTAGAATTGCCTTCAGCATTCAGTATAGTAACATGCTGTAGAGGTTTGTAGCCTAGCAGCAATAGGCCATACCATATAGCCTAGGTGTACAGTAGGCTATCCCTCTAGGTTTGTGTAAGTACACTCAATGATGTTCACACGACAAAATCACCTAATGACACATTTCTCAGCCTATTACCATCATCAAGCAATGTGAGACTGTAAATTATTTTAATGGCTTTATTGAGATAGAATACACATACCATAAAGTTTACCATTTTAAAGCATACAATTCAGTGTTTTTTAGTATATTCACATTGTTGCTTAACCACCATCATTGTCTAATTTTAAAACATTATCACCCCACAAAGGAAACCCCGTGCCCATTAGCAATCACTCCTGATTCTCTCTCTTGCCCCAGCCCTGGCAACCACTAATCTACTTTCTGTTTCTGTGGATTTTCCTTTTCTGGACATTTAATGTAGACTAAATCATACAATATATGGTCTTTCGTAACTTGATTCTTTCATTTAACATAATTTTTCAAAGTTCATCCATATTGTCCATGTGCGAGGACTTCATTTTCCTAATGCCTAATGAGATAGAGCATGTTTTCATGTGGCCATTTTATTGGTCATTTGTATATCTTATTTGGAGAGATGTGAATTTAAATCCTTTGCTTGATTTTTAAAAATTTTGTTGTCTTTTTACTTTTGAGTTGTAAGAATTCTTTATATATTATGGATACAAGTTTCTTATCAGATATGTGATTTGCAAATGTTTTCTCTTCTGTGGGTTATCTTTTCGCTTTATTGATGGTGTCTTTTGATGCACAAAGTTTTTTACTTTGATGAAGTCTAGTTTATCTTTTTATTGTTGTTGTTGTTGGTGTTTTTGGTATGTTATCTGGGAAACCATTGCCCAATCTAGAGTTACAAAGATTTACTGCCATGTTTTCTTATGAGAGTTTTATAACTTTAGCACTTAAATTTTGATTTCTGATACATTTTGAGTTAATTTGTGCATATGGTATAAGTTAGGGATTCGACTTCATATAAAAGCATGTAGATAATCCAGTTGCATTGACATTGTTTACTGAAAAAACTATCCTTTCACCAACAAATTGTCTTGGTAGCCTTGCTGAAAATCAATTGATCATAGATGTAAGAGTTTATTTCAGACTCTCAATTTCTATTCTTTTTATCTATATGCCTATCCTTATGCCAGCACCACACTGTCTTGATTATAGTAGCTTTGTGCTAAGCTTTAAAAAGAAAATAGTGGCAAAATGCATGTAACATAAAATTTACCTTCTTAACCATTTTAGTAGTGTTAAGTATATTCACATTGCTGTGCAACCAATCTCCAGAACTTGCAAAAAATCTTGCAAAACTGTTACTCTATTTAAACAACAACTCTCCATTTTCCCCTACCATTTCTAGGTTGCCTGTTCACTCTGCTGATTGTGTCTTTATAGTCCTTTCTATTTCTGTTAGGCTGGTAGTGATGTCCCCTTTTTCATTCCTAATTTTAGTAATTTGCATCTTCTCTCCTTTATTCTTACTTAGTTTAGGTAAAGGTAGTCAATTTTGTCAGTCTTTTCAAATAAAAAACTTTGGTTTGTTGATTTTCTCTATTGTTTTTCTATTCTCTCTACCATTTATTTGTGCTCTAGTTTTTATCATTTCTTTTCTTCTTGCTCTGGGTTTAATTTGTTCCTCTTTGTTTAATTTGCAAAGTTGAGGTTACTGATTTGAGATTTTTTTTCTTTTAATGTAGAACTTGATAGCTACAAATTTCTCTAAGCATTTTTGAAGTTGATAAACATTTATACACCAAAATTAGACATTAAAAATGAACTCCAAGGGGCCAGGCATGGTGGCTCATGCCTGTAATCCCAGCACTTTGGGAGGCTGAGGTGGGTGGATCACAAGTTCAGGAGGTCGAGACCATCCTGGCTAACACAGTGAAACCCTGCCTCTACTAAAATTACAAAAAAATCAGCCAGGCATGGTGGCAGGCACCTGTAGTCCCAGCTACTTGGGAGGCTGAGGCAGGAGAAAGACGTGAACCCAGGAGGCGGAGTTTCCAGTGAGCCGAGATCGCGCCACTGCACTCCAGCCTGGGCAACAGAGCAAGACTCTATCTCAAAAAAAAAAAAAAAAAAAAAAAGACCTCCAAGGGATGACCTACATCCTTTAATTATACTGAATTTTATAGAATATTAATTAAATTGGACATTGGCTTTAACATTTCTTATTTATGGAAATATTTGTCACTTATACTGAAGCAAGACATAACAGCAAGGAGACACAAAACTGAAGCTGAGGTCACAGCTTGTGACTATAGCTCCACTACCAGTCAACTGGATGATTTTATGCAAGTTAATAACATTTGTTTCTCAACTTCTTCTTGGGGTCATTTAGGAAGGATAATTTTTTTATGTGTCTATGAGGCTTACTTGAGGTAATGTATATAAAATACTTTTTTGAAAGAAATAAACTCATGTTTATTTAAATTCATATTCAATATTAACTAATAGCTTACTCCTCTTGCTGGTTAGTCAGAGGAGCGAGTCTTAGAAAAGAAATAGGAAATCTCTGTTGAGGTTTAGTGAAACCCAGTTTTCTGCTATTATATCAATGGAAAAGATTCATGGCTGAGCATGGTGGCTCACACTTGTAATCCCTGCACTTTGGGAGGCTGAGATGGGTGGATCACTTGAGCCCAGGAGTTCCAGACCAGCCTGGGCAACATGTCAAAACCTTGTCTCTACAAAAAATACAAAAATTAGCTGGAAATGGCAGCACACACCTGTAGTCCTGGCTATTTGGGAGGCTGAGGTGGGAGGATCACTTGAGCCCCAGAGGTTGAGACTGCAGTGAACTGAGATTGTGCCACTGCACTCCAGTCTCCAGCCTGGTGACAGAGTGAGACACCATCTCAAAAAAAAAAAAAAAAAAAAGAAAAAAGAAAGACTCACTTAGGTTGTTCCTCTATCTCTTTAATGGTTAGTGTTAAACCCACTAACCCATCCTTTAGCAGAAATAGATTGTTCTATACTACAGTCACCATTAAACTTGAGGTAATATATGTTCCAATCTAAAGATAGCTGCTATTGTTGAGAGCAGTTAATAGCAGGGGCCCTGGAACTACACAGCCAGGTTTTGAATCTTGACTTTGCCTGATGCTGGTGGTGGGACTTTGGAGAAGTTACTTAGCCTCTCTGTACCTCAGTTTTCTCAACTGTAAAATGGTAATCATATTAGCATATTACAATTTTCTTCATAGGGTTGTTACAAAGATTAAAAGAGTTAACATATATAAAGAGCATGGCAGATAGCAAGCATTATTTAAGTGCTGGCAATTATTATTGAAGGTTTAAGCAGAGTATTTCAGGACCATTGTGTAGGGTATTTGCTATTTTTTTTTAATACCTAGAGTAATATCACTTTCTTTTAGGAATTTGCTCCAATGACTGCAGGCATGTGACCTTATTAGAGATTGCTAATCCCAAGTCTTGGCCTAGCCCCACAGACAACATGTGACCCAGACCATGCCAATAATAGTATCTGTCTCCCATGTCACAGTGATGGCCTGAACTGGATCAACCAGAAACAGTTACAGAGAAATTGGCTTTGCCTCTTGAGTCAGGCTAGAATGATTTGAGTCTCCTGTAGGTTCATTTGGGTTATTAATATATTTTATTACAAGCAAACAGAGACTTCCTTGTTCATATAGGATATCTGTGAGATACACTTGTTGGAATAGAATTGTAATTTTTGTTTTTAATATGTTACTTTCACTCTCAGGTTGAATATTCTTTTTTATTGTAGGTTTCAGTACAAGAGGACCTAGTTCAAGTGCAGCCAAAGTTTAAAAGCAATCTACTTGAGTCTGTGGAAGTTTTTCGTGAGGACGTGATAAACTTTGCAGAAGCATATGAATTGGTAATTTAAGTATTTTCTTGCTGTATGTTGAAATGTTCTGTGATGTGTTTATATGAAATGAAAGTGATGAACCCTGAGGAATAGGTACGTTGCATGTATGTGGCTATATTTGCGTATTTGCAGCTATCAGAAAAAGGGGATAGCTAATCCTTTAAACCAGGGATGTCCAATCTTTTGGCTTCCTTGGCCATATTGGAAAAAGAAGAATTTTTCTGGGCCACACATAAAATACGCTAACACTAACGATAGCTGATTAGCTTTTAAAAATTGCAGAAAAATCTCATACTGTTTTAAGAAAGTTTATGAATTTGTGTTGGGCTGCATTCAAAGCTGTCCTGGGCTTCATGTGGCCTGTGGGCTGTGGGTTGGGCAAGCTTGCTTTAAGCAAATTTTATAGAGAAAGAAAACAGATTTTACTGTTAAAAGGAGCAACAACTTTGGAGATTGTGGAAGGAACAAAGGGTCTGGTTTTGTCTTTTCTCGGGGGCTGAATTCTCATGGTAGAAAATGTAATATAGTTGTTGGAAGGCCGTGAGAAACTATAAACTTCTAATACCAGGATATTATGCCATTGATTTTGCATTCTCACTAACTCTTAGAGAACCAAAAAGGTCCCTAAGAATAAATAATAGATGTCATACTGGGTCAGTCCCGTATGCTACTCAAACTGGTATTCTGACTGATAATGTTGACCTTGAAGTTAAACTCAAGACTGAATATGTTCCCCTGAAATATTCTTTCTTTTAGTGGTCACAGTGGATCTGTATTCATAAGATGATTTAAGCCCTTGGTGCTACTTATATAATGCTTTTTTTTTTAACATGTGCTAAACATATCTGTTGATTTGCTGCCTCATTCTATTGTTAAAGTAAATCTAAAATGGAGACCAGGTCTGAAGAGTCCCTGAACAGACACAGCCAGTCACTTATATAATGTTTTTTTTTTAACATGTACTAAACATATCTGTTGATTTGCCCCCTCATTCTATTGTTAAAGTAAATTTAAAATGGAGACCAGGTCTGAAGAATCCCTGAACAGACACAGCCAGTCAGGCTTCTTAAGTTACCTTGCCCTTCCACAATTTGCAGACATAAGCAAATCTGAACACACTATTTCTTATAAATGCCTATATTAGAAACAGCTTAACTAATCAGAAGCCGCAAACAAGCCCATAATTATATAACTGGGGACTTTCCAGCAGAATAGACCAAAGAAGACAACTTTATAAATGAAACCAATAAAATGTTTTCTTTGCATTACTTCTGTGCTCACTCTGTAAAAGCCTTCTGCAGTGGAGACCCTGAACCAAGTCTAGTTGGGAGTTTCCCAATTTATGAATTACTGTGTGCTCAGATAAACTTAAAAAAAAAATTATTGGGCCTCAGTTTACTTTTTAAACACTATTATATTGGGAATCTAGTCTATTATTTAGTATATCTATCATATCATGATTGACCATGTTAATATACTTAATAGCCTTCATTTTTCCATTGGGAGTAGCCCCTGTTATTTTAATTTGTTGCTATAAATTCATTTATTCCTTTGCTTATTTTGGGGAGTGTTTTTGAGGATTATTTTGCAACTGTGTTCTGGTTCATAGCCACCAGACACTGCTTTCTGCTTCTTCCAAATATTCAATTTACATGTGTCCCTATTTCCATATTGGGCTGAACAGTTATTAAAAAGAGGATGTTCTCAGAACTCTGTATCAGTTATTCTAATGCACAAACACAGCATCATCATTTGTAATCATAAATGAAATTTGGCAGAGCCCTTGGGGTACACACTCCATATAGAATGTAATTTTGTCACATTTTTTATTAGCTCTGTCAAGGTCCTTTAAAAATGAATGGAAGATAGAGTGATGAAAATGTTCTAAATGATTGTGGTCATGGTTGCACAACCCTGTGAATGTACTAAAAATCATTGACTTGTACACTTTAAATGAATGAATTGTATAGTATGTGAATTCCATCTCAATAAAGCTGTTAGAAATAAATAAAAGCTTCAAGTACAGGACACAATTAAATAATTTAAATTAAAAAAATGCTTGTTTACTTAAATGGAAATAATAGATAAACCCAATAAACTGACAAATACATATGATTAAGAATGAAAATGGAGATTATATTCTTCCTTACAGGAAGGACCTATGGTTCCAAATATACCACCCCAAGAAGCTAGCAACAGGCTACAGATATTTCAGGTGAAACCACATTTTTTTTGTTACATCGACAATGTGTAATTTAAAAAATTATTTTGGGGAAAGATGGAGGTTTTACTTTTTAATAGAAAAGTTTGTATTTCAAGTACATCAGTCCTTAATTGTATTCTAATCTGCTAAATGATGCAATTGACTCCTCTGTCTCCCTCCATGCTCCTCTCCACAGAATAGCTCTCTGTATTTTTAGAGAATAAGACTGATTCTCAACTTAAGAATATAACTTATTTTAGTTCTAAGCATTTCATTTGATATGTAAAGTAATAAGAAATCATAGTATAGTAAAATTTATCAAAATAATATTTTAAATATTGGCAAATGTTTTCCCTCTGTATTCATTATTTTGTCTTCCTTTTGCATCCATCTCTTTAAGTTTCCCTACTTCTTTGTCCTATCTCCTCTGCCTGTACAATACTCATTGGATCAGGCCAACCATTCACCATCTTTTTCTACACTCGGATTGCTGAGCGCGTCTAGAGAAAGTTCACACATCCACATGGATTAATACTTTGCAAATTCATGGATTCCTATGTGAACTTCCTCCTCAGGAGCATCAAGCAATTCTCTTCTTTGCTCCTGCTCTTTTTCCTGTTTCCCACAGTGGCTGAATAGTGTGATTAGTTCTTTTCATGTCCCCTTTCCCACCTGCATTCTTAGTAATCAAAAAAAAAAAAAAAAGATCAGATGCCTACTGTGTGGCTTGCTCAGGAGAAATTTGATGAAGAAGTGGTTCTTACCTCTAAGCTGCTAAAATCTGATAGAGAGATAGCAAGCTAGAGAGAAAACTGCAAGTGCGATGAGAGCTGTGACCTAGGTATGTGAAATTGTGTAATGGAAACAGATGGGCTGTTAGAGCAGATGGAGAAGGCTTCCTGAAAGAGGAAGAATCTAAGCTGCATCTTGAAGGACTAATTAGAGTTAGCCAGGGGAAGACGGAGGGGAAAAAGAAAGTTAGGCAGAATTTGCAGCTCATACAAAGGCCCGGCAGAGAGGAAACTAGTAGGGCAATATGGGGAGATGTAAGGAGTGCAGGGTGGGGTCGTGTACCTTTGGGATGCGGTACTAAAGAGGATAGTGGTGAGGAACGAGGTGACAGAGTGGGCAGCGAGCACCAGTGGAGGGCCCGGTAGGCAATAATAAGGAGTCTGAATTCTATCTTGAGGGTTGGAGGGTTCTAAGCAGGGAGTGATATGATCATACTTGAATTTTTAAAATAGTTGGTTTTTTAAAGATTTTTAGTGGTACTAATGTAGAGACTGGTTTGGAGAGAGGAAGATCAAACTGAGGGCAGTTTTGGTAGTAAAAGCAAGAAATTGTAAAGAGGGAGACCAAGCAAGTGACACCTGTATAATGAAGAAAATTGGATGGATCATGAATTTATTAACGAAGCAGAATTGACGGGCCTGAAACCTGGTTTGAGGGAAAAAGTTAAAGGTTTCCAACTTGGGCATATTGACGAAGGTAGAACTACTTATCGAAGGAGGGCATGTAGTAGGAGGAGTAGCTTTGGGGCTTGTTTGAGCGGATGACCTTGTTTTCAAGTTTGCAGAGAAAATTTAGGGCATGTGATGTAAACCAACTGATTAGTCAGCAACTGGGACATTATGTGCCAAGATTTTACCCAGGGGTGTGGTTGCTAATGTAGCCAGGTATTGTGGCATGTGCCTGTAATCCCAGCTACTCAGGAGGCTGAGGCAGGAGAATTGCTTGAACCTGGGAGGCGAAGGTTGCAGTGAGCCAAGATTGCACCACTGCACTCCAGCCTGGGCAAGAGAGCAAGACTCCATCTCAAAAAAAAAAACAAAACAACAACAACAAAAAAACCCAACAAAACAACAACAACAACAAAAAAACCATCTCAAAAAAAAAAAAAAAGGCAATGTAGGGCACATCTTTTGCCTTTCTGTACCTTCTGTTCTGCCTGTCTCTCGAGGTGTGAGCCAAACAGGCTGTTTGGCATGCACTTCACTGGGATATGTGACTTGAGGTCAGATTTGTAGACACAACCCTTTTCAAAATGAGATGTACTCCAACCCCCTAAAAAAAACAGGTGCCAAAGGCTGGATGTGTGAAGGCAGAGGTGCCTTATATTGGGCCTTGGGTCCTGATGGTGCTCTCTCATGCAAATTTATTTTGGGGAGTTCTTGGGCACCCTGCTGGCCTGTTGACAAAGCTGATACTTTATTCCTGTTCAGCTGATGCTGTGGGTGTTTTTATGTTACTTGCAACCTGAAGGAAAAAAAAGGTGAGTGATTAGCATCCATCAATAGTCTTTACACATTGATGAGTTTTTAAACACCATTATTTTAATGTATTCTAACTTTAGTGTTATTGTTTATCCTTCCTTAGTGTTCACATAGTCCCACTCTTCATAGTGAAGAGTCCTATGGACTCTTCATTCAGTACATTTATTGAATAACCACCATGCCAACCACCAAGGAATACACAAAGTACAAAATATGGCACTTGCCCTCTAGGAACTAAGAGTTCATTCGAGTTCACCTGGTATCTTCATGCCTTCCTGATCTGGGTCCTGTAAAATATACTAACGTATCTGTCAGATCTGTATTTTTGTCTAAGCCTTGTGAGGTCTGATGCTGGATATTCTCCAGGGCTGGGAATTTAGGGTTCTCGGGAATATGCTGTACCACTTACACAGAGTGCTCATATGTCCTCACAGATGGGTTACTTCTGTTGGCATTTGTGCTTTGAACATTGCTAATATTTAGCATCCCAAATATAGGATATTCAAATCCCAATTCAAAAGGAAAAATTAAAAGACATGTGCATTAACTTTGGTGATTTAAGTTGTTAGAATTATTTCAAATGGTGTTAAAATTGGATCTTCTTTTTTATAGACTCTTCATTGCATGTACAGAAAACAGGACTGAATGGATTAGACTAACACTTTGCTCATTTGAGCCCTGTAGGATAGAGATGGCCAGTCTAAATTACTGAAAAATCCTGAATTGTAGAGTTTTAAAAATGCAGCTTTATTACTTTTAGATGTACTTATGGGAACTCGAAATATAGGCCTTCTGGAGAAGAAGAAGAAATAATTTTATATAAAATGAATGCTTTTAGAATGCTTGAAAGCGAACTTTCCTAAGTGTTTAACTTTTTCTCTGATAGCTTGGTATCAGTATAAATTTGCTTCACAAATCCTTATTTTATAGCTATTACTTAATAAACCTCAACCTAGCTTTTATCCCAATGAAAATAAATTCCACTTTAATTCTACTGAATTAATTGTATTTTAGTACAATTTAAAAACCTTTGTTACAGGCCAGTTTCGATGATCTGTGGAGGAAATTTGTTACGTATTCATCTGGTGAACAACTTTTTGGATTGCCTGTGACTGATTATGAGGTTTTACACAAAACCAGGTAAGTTTAGAAAATAAGCAAGTATTACATGCAAATAATTAAATACTATCTATTAGAAGAATCATGTCACCATTAAATCCTTTATCATGCAGAGGACACTACAGCTTGGAGCACAACTGAATATTCTCCTTATTCCAGCTATTCTTTACAAATTGGACACACAGTCTCCTATACAAAAGAAACGTTCTAGGGGAGTAAAAAATATGTTGCTAAAATTTTGAGCATGCATGGTCTATATTTAGCCTATGCTTTACTTTTTCTTTTGACTGTTTTTGCATAGTGTCAGTGATTATGCAGAAGCACAGCAATTTTGAGTAACTTTTGTTTATTTAGAGGAATAACCTTCCTGGCTCCCCTTGCCTTCTTTTTTTTTTGAGACAGAGTCTCGCTCTGTTGCCCAGGCTGGAGTGCAGTGGCGCAATCTCGGCTCACTGCAAGCTCTGCCTCCCGGATTCATGCTATTCTCCTGCCTCAGCCTTCCGAATAGCTGGGACTACAGGCTCCTACCACCATGGCCGGCTAATTTTTTTGTGTTTTTAGTAGAGACGGGGTTTCACCATGTTAGCCAGGATGGTCTCGATCTCCTGACCTCGTGATCCGCCTGCCTCGGCCTCCCAAAGTGCTGGGATTACAGGCGTGAGCCACCACGCCTGGCTCCCCTTGCCTTCTTACTCCATTTGTGGTAAAATGCTCTTCCCCATTGGGTAGACATAGAATTTATTGAGATTGACGTCCAAATAAGCTAATTGATTATAAACCACACATATAAACAAGTGTATTTCAATCAAATTTTAGAATATTCTTAAAGAATTTGAAATATAACTTTCCTTAAAAGCAACATTAATACAGTGATAGTATTAGCTCATTAGAGTCTTGGCTTTAGAAAATAAGTTTATGTTGACTTCCTTCAAAGCCACAACGTGAAAATTTCATGAAAATAGACATGAAATTTTCTGAAGAGAAATGAATGCTTCAGCCATTTAGGGTAGGTGGTTTGTATTCTCTTTCTAAAACAGTCATTCTCCAAACGTAATCCATTAGCCAATTGTGTTAGAATTGCGGATGTCTGGCCCTCATTTCTGATTTACTGAATCAGAACCTCTGGGATTGGGTCCCAGAAAATCTGCATTTTACACACTCTCCAGGTGACTGTGATGCACACTCAGCCTGAGATCCAATGCGTTCACCCTCAGGCTAGCAGGAGAAATCATCATCACCATTTACCATCTGGACCAACAGACCATTTTCATTTTGATATTTTAAATTTTATGAATAATTTTAGAGAATGGTGAGAATGGTGAGAAGCTTTGAAGTTTTTTTTTTGTTTGTTTTGTTTTTTTTTTGAGACAGGATCTCACTCTGTTGCTAGTACTGGAGTGTAGTGGTGGAATCACTCGACTTCCGTAGTTCAAGTGATCCTCCTGCCTCAGCCTCCCAGGTAGTGGGGATTATAGGTGCATACCACTGGGCCCAGGTAATTTTTAAAAAATTTTTTATACATACAGGAGTCTCCTTATGTTGCCCAGGCTGGTCTTGAACTTTGGGGCTCAAGTGATCCTCCCACCTCGGCCTCCCATTGTGTTGAGATTTCAGGTGTGAGCACCCGCACCCAACCGAGAAGCACTTTTTTTTTTTTTGAGACGGAGTTTCACTCTTGTTGCCCAGGCTGGAGTGCAATGACATGATCTCGGCTCACAGCAACCTCCACCTGCTGGGTTCAAGTGATTCGCCTGCCTCGGCCTCCCGAGTAGCTGGGATTATAGGCATGTGCCACCATGCCCGGCTAATTTTATATTTTTAGTAGAGACGGGGTTTCATCATGTTGGTCAGGCTGGTCTCAAACTCCTGACCTCAGATGATCTGCCTGCCTTGGCCTCCCAAAGTGCTGGGATTACAGGTGTGGGCCACCATGTCCGGTGAAGAAGCACTTTTATTAGAAGATTTAATAATAATTTAAGCAGAGTAAACTCAAACTTTTATTCTGTAATATCCTAGTTTGAAGATGTATATATACAAAATGGGGACCAGCACTGAATGAGACTAACTCCTCATCGGCTGTCATGTGTGAACCTGGAGCATATCCATGCTGTAAATATGGATTTCATATTTTAAATCATCTCCAATGGATCTGTGGCTTATCATTAATTCTGACTTTTCTTGCACTTGCATTGTCAAGACTCAAAGCTGTTGAAAACTCGGACAGTCATCATTTTTTTAAGAGAAGACTGTCATCTGTTTTGCTTCATAAATATTGAAGACTTTACTTTTAGATTTGAATGATCAATTCCAAGAAATTTTAAATTTCTAAATCATCTATTTCCTTGAATACACATCTGACTTCAACATTTGTCCACTTATGAAATGTATCAAATACAACTTATGTAAATATAAATAATGAAGGAACACTGTCACTTATCTTTTTCACAAAATGGAATAGTTTAGGTTCTTGTTGCAAAATATTGCATGATAAGGCCCTTATTTCTATTGAAGTCTACGGAAATATATTGTTTACTTATAAATTACTGGATTTTATAAAATTCATCTAGGTTATGATCATCTGAAGACATAGTATGAGATTTCACATATTAATCAATTTCACCATCAAAAGGGAATGCTGCTTTCTCTTTCCTGTTTAATACTTGGGAAACACATTTCTTTGTCAATTTTCTTCTCTTTACCCTTTTAGGTAGAAAATGAAAAATTCTGAATTCTTAACTGTATTAAATGAAAGCAACTGTATTAAACAAGCAAAAATCAAAAGACAACAAAAATGGTGTCTCTGGCATTCTTTTTATATACTTTTTTGAAAGATTTTGCAATACTTTATGTTATACAGTAAGAAGCCTGGAGGATGATGCAGTAGTCATTTTTTTTTCACTGTTGCATTACCCTTTAGGCAATGTCATCATTCTCTTTTCTTATTTTTTTTAGTCATTTTTAGCATAGTTGAGAATAATAATAAGTGGTAATGAAATAATTCTAAGAATGATGAAAAATGAATCAAGAATTGAAAAAATAGGACAACTAAGATCGCAGAATGTGTCTTAGATTTGTAAAATCTACTACGCCTACATGGTAATTACAAGATAGAATGGGCTGGGTGCCGTAGCTCATGCCTATAATCCCAGCACTTAGGGAGGCTGAGGCGGGCCGATCACCTGAGATCAGGAGTTCAAGACCAGCCTAGCTAACATGATGAGACCTCATCTCTACTAAAAATACAAAAATTAGCCGGGCGTGGTGGCATCTGCCTGTAATCTCAGCTACTCGGGAGGCTGAGGCAGGGGAATTGCTTGAACCCAGGAGGCAGAGGTTATGGTGAGCCGAGATCGTGCCACTGCACTCCAGCCTGGGCAACAGAGTGAGATTCTCTCTCAAAAATAAAATAAAATAAAATAAAAAGATAGAACGACTTTTACTTCATTACAAAATTTATTTTTGGTTTTTGAAGTATCTCTGATGAAGAATAAAAGTTGTGAATGTCAATCCTTATAAATAAACTTGAAAACTAAAACTGAATCCAGTAGAACCTTATGGCATACTAAGGGCTGAGGAATTTCTGGGAGAATCCACAAATTCTGTTGAGTGGTCAATTTGGTGTTTTACACATTTAAGAATTTTCCTTTACTTGGACCTTTTATTCTTGTTTTAAACACAGTAACTTCATCTGGGCACATGTGGGATTTTTTTTTTTGGATAGGATCTTGTTCTGTTGCCCAGGCTGGAGTGCAGTGGTGCAATCATAGCTCACTGCATCCTTGAACTCCTGGGCTCAAGCAGTCCTTTCACATCAGCCTCCCAAGTAGCTGGGACTACAGTCACATGCCACCACACCTGGCCACATGAGGGAAAACTTCTGGTAGGAATAGGGTGTTTAAGCTCAATCTTAAAGGCAGATCAGGGCTTAGTCAAGGGAAATGTTCTCATAAAATCCAGCTTGTATTTGAAAGAAAAAAAAGTCAAATGAAACCTTAGCCGCAGCTATGACCTTATCATTAAGTTTTGGTCACATTGTTTGCAATGATTGGTATAGTAAGTTTCTCATTAAAAAGTAGCAAGATTTTTTTTCTTTACAGAATAAACCATTTGCTAATGTCAAGTTATAGTCTGACTTGGAATATTTGGGAGCAGTAAACTTGGCCTTAATGACAGATCTTTAACGAAGTCTTTGTATTGAAAATGGATATAGTTGTATGCATTTGGTATCTATAAGACATTGTACACGCAATGTATGAAATATTTGATTGGATGAACTCTGCCTTTCCAATAATGGACTTTATTAAATATTATACATGATGTGATAACTTAGTTACTTTGTTTCCCAGAAAAGAACTCAACTTGCTGCAGAAGCTGTATGGATTGTATGACACCGTAATGAGCAGTATTAGTGGTTATTATGAAATACTTTGGGGAGATGTAGATATTGAAAAAATTAATGCAGAACTGCTGGAATTTCAAAACAGGTGAGTTTCAATGGAATTTTTTATAATGCCTGTCTTCTTAGGATCCTATAGGTATTTCAGAAGCTAATTTATTCCCTAATATAATAGTGTATATACATAAAACCTTCCTCAAATAAATGTGAAGGTGGCATATTTTTTTTCTCTTTCTTTCTGAAAGATGTCGTAAACTTCCAAAAGGACTTAAAGATTGGCAAGCTTTTTTGGATCTCAAAAAGAGAATTGATGATTTCAGTGAGTCATGTCCTCTACTGGAAATGATGACCAATAAGGCCATGAAACAGAGACACTGGGATAGAATCTCCGAGTTAACTGGAACCCCATTTGATGTGGAATCTGATTCTTTTTGCCTTAGAAATATCATGGAAGCACCACTCCTTAAACATAAGGATGATATTGAGGTACATAAGTGTATACGTTCTTATCAATGATCCATTAAAGAATGTCTGCTTTTTCTTTTCTGGGAGTTGTACAGATATTTTATGAGAGGTTGGACTAATTGCCCTCTATAATGCACCCTCAAAATTTGGAATGATCCTGAACATTCTTGACTTTTATGAAATAATCTTGTAACTCAATGAGATTATATGATTATTTGAAATACATTATTTGAAATACATTTGTTCTGGAACCCTTCAATACATCTTCCTTGTCCCCAGAATGCACTTCCACTTAAAAAAAATTTGTTTATTTATGTATTGTGTTCTTGGTGAATCCCTCTGAACTATTTTCCAAATTTCTAATTTTATGCTTTTTCCTGTTCAGTCTATTAAGTTTTTAGAATTTTCTATTATTACATTTTTCCTTTCCAAGATTTTTAATTCATTCTTTTTTGTGGCCAATCTTTTTTTTTCATTTTTTCATTAAAAATTTTCTGTCCCTTTTGTAGATTCTTAGATCTACAGTCTTAAATCTATATATATTCCCAGATCTGTAGGTTTCAAATCTATAGATTTATAGATGTCTTCGCTTATCTCTTTGAGCATTTTAAACATAATTATTTAAACATTTTTCATTAGGGAAAATTTTAAACACATACAAAAGTAAAGATCTCCTTGCTCTAGCATTTATCAACTCATGGCCAATATTATTTTATCTATACTATCTTTATCTATACTTCAACAACTCCAAATTAAACATAAAGATGTTTTCAGATTCTTCTTTAAGATTAATTTCACCTGGACTGAATTTTTGCTGTGATTGTTTTTTATGTTGGCTATCCTCTGAGCCTTAGATTTTTTTCATGGGTTTTGTAATTTTTATTGGGGTGGCTGGGAGGACTCATTTTGAATGGGCAGGATTTCAAAAATTCTGGCTTATATAATGTGTTAAAATTGTCTCTGTCCGTTTGTGTCTTCGTTTTCCTTGTCTAGTGGCTTTGTGGTTGCCTCCTACACTGTCCATGTCCCCTCAGCCCCAAGTTGAGAGCCAGGTGTTGTAATAGCGGTCTCCTTCCTCTACTGTGCTGTGGTGTGATGATCCAGGAATGTGCTGACCTATTTCAGGTCCTGGTTGTGGGGCTGGTTTTGTGTCACCCCATCCCCCAGGTCCACAGTTCCATTAAATCTAGTTGCCTAGATGGCAGCTAGAGGCAGTGTTTTCAGCCTCCTTCCATGAATGGAGGGCTTTAGACCCCAGCCCAGGTACTCCTTTTCCTATAGATCATTTTTACTCTTCTTCACCCCATGGGAACCAAAGGCCTGGCCCCAGTGTCCAGGCCTCAGGCCTGTGTTTCAGCTCCACCAACTGGTTTGCATAGCTTTTCCACTTTTGGTTCATGGATATGTTTGTCTTTTTTTTAAGTCTGGCTCTGTTTGCTTTTTTACTTACTTTAAAAAAATTATTTTATCCATTATTCTATGTTTTTGGAGTTGAGAAAATGCACCATGTGACCAGAAATCTCCCAAATATATGGTTTGGGTTTTCTGCCTTCCCCTACCTCTTTTTAACAACATGTGTGCACAAAAAGCTTTTCTTTCAAAGCATTTTTGTCCTATTTGTAAATATCACTAAGAAACAAAGAGGTAGAAACACTTTGGTGACCATCTCCTTCTTATAAGTAGGTTTTTATACTTAATAATATAGCCATTCGTAGGCTGTGCTTTATTATACAATTTCAAGTAATTCCAGGCTTCTGTTAATGACTCTTGGTACACAAAACAGAGTCTTGGTACTGTCTACCCCAGATACATCTAGTTGCTCAGCCACACATGCTGTACCATTAGCCAAATTAGATTCCTGCTGTTACTGGACTCACTGCCTCTAAAGGAAGGCTTCCCTTCAGTACAGAATTTCCTCTTCCTCCCAGAGAGTCTCTGCTGGAATCTCACCTCCTCCTCTACGAAGCTGTTCCTCCTCAGCACAGACCTCCCTCCTCAGAAATCACCATGGTTCACATCATTCTTAGGACATTTATTACACAGTAATTTGTGTTAAGATCATTTGTGGAAACATCTCACACCTTTAAATTCTTTTTCATCTCTGTGATTCTAACTATGAACACACATTGAGGCATTGTGGGGAAAATATGTTACTTTTATTTTCTTTCGTGAGTCTTTCTTATTAAGTATTCTCAAAAAAAAAATATAGAAAAACCCATAAGAAAAAAACAACTGATGCTTAAGCAAATGAGATATTCATATTAGGACCAGAACAGGCAGAAATATAGTAATATCTATATGTTACTTGAAAGAGTTCAAAAGACTCTTATGTATATTCTCATTTGAATCTCATAGCTAATCTCTGGGATAAACAGGGCAGCTGTGATTATCCCCATTTTAGCCAAAAGTTCGAATTGAAAACATAATCTGAAAAATGATGATTTAAGTTCCATTGTTTCATGTATGTGGTACAGAAAAATAATTAGTAGTCGGCGATTAGTAAATAATTAGTAAGGCTCTAGTGTCAAGTTGCAACACAATGATCTGAAGCCTTTTCTTGGCTGTAAAATGACTAAATGAACTGGGTGACTTACAGGTCCCTTTCAAGCAAAAAAAAAATTCTATGATTTGATGATGCACTTAATTTGTAGTTGAAAACATCATGACATATACTTTGCTTTTCCTTCAAAGGATATTTGCATATCTGCCATTAAGGAGAAGGATATCGAAGCCAAGCTGACTCAGGTGATTGAGAATTGGACCAACCAAAATCTGAGTTTTGCAGCATTTAAGGGAAAAGGAGAGCTCCTGCTCAAAGGAACCGAATCGGGAGAAATTATCACTTTGATGGAGGATAGTTTAATGGTCTTAGGGTCTTTACTCAGCAACAGGTAATTTTATAATTTGAGAGAGAGATTTAAATGGGATATTTAGGGTTATAAAATTCTAAGTAAAAGCTCAGTTTTAAAGCTCTTTCATTGGATGGATTCTGCACTAAATTTGGTATTATCTTGTCTGTTCCTATACAAACTGCCCGTTTTCCCTAATAATCATGGCCTCCATCTCTTCTTTAATGGTACTCATCTCCCCTTCCCTATTTTTCCTGGTGGGCCCCATCCTAATTATTCCTCCCCAGACTGGCATCTTGTCCTCTGAAGGTCTTGGCTCCCCACTGAGATGACCTCTTCATTTCATCTTTTCTCTCCTTTGTTCCTCTGACATCATTGACCTCTTGGCTAATCCTGTTCAAACATTCACCCAATGGCCCGGGAAAAGCCTGCTGGCCACCCGTGAGAGCAATCTACCACTACAGCAATCTACCCATTAGGGGCTTGGCACTTACTTAGAGACTTTCATTTTTTATGGTGAAAAGAGCCTGAGACCATTATGGCCTGAATGAGGTCACCTGTTCATCATTGAACTACGAACCAGCTTGGAGGTGCCTATGATCTTGAGTGCAGCTTTAGGAAATTCCTGTAGGACTCAGATTAAATATTCTGTCAGGTCTTTGGCACTGGCAACCTCTATTCCTCTGGCCGACTGTGCAGTAGTTCTCAACTATTCTTCACCTGAACACACCTAAGAAATAGCTAATATCCCTTTTCCACGTTGGGATCACTGGTTAGTGAGTTGCATGCTGCATGACCTCTGGCTCCAGGGGCAGTCTTGTATTTGCATAATGACAAAGCTGCCAGTCCAGGGAGTTCTGGGTTGAATATATAAAGGTCAAGGTCCTCGGATGCATCCTCTGTGTTCAGAGAATCCTGGCAAAGATGACCATAGGATATTCAGTACTTCCTAGACTTCATGGGCAACTGCTGCCCTATGGTTCATTGCAAATTTTGCCCATCTGACTTCCTGGATGATGACCTCTTGATGAAGGGCTGTAGATTCACCTGGGCAGTGTCTGCAGCCAAGAAATTCAGGATTTGAAGGCTTTCTTCAATTCATACTTACTTGGACATAACCTGATGAGTAAAATACCTATTTGTGTTATTAGTAAACTCAATGTTTACAAACTTCTAGGCCCTGCCAGAAAGAGTATAAGGATAGCTAAGAAGTCATCAAATTCTGGGAGATTCTCTTCCTAGAGAACTTTGCAGTGCCAAGTAGGTCTGGAAAGCCTGTTCCAGAACTAACCACAGACTGACCTAGTAGTGAGTCATACCTGCTGGATCCCTAGGACTACTTTGATGTGACTTCAGAAGGAAGCTGTATGTCTCCTTCGGTAAGACTTGACTGTAGGTATTGCCTGGATTGTGACACTTCCCTGGTGGATCCCTGATTCCATGGGACTTCATGGGCCATGGTGGGTTTGACCACACAAAGTTGTACAATGCAGGTATCTAGCCAAAGGACAGAAACTAGCTATGCTCGATTTTATTTCAGATCTCCCTTTTCCATCTTTAGAAGTTATACACCATCAAGGATGACTCTTTTTTTTCTGTGCAGAACAATTTTGGCCTATCTAGTTGCTTCATCTCCCTAAATGCCTGCCCATGCCATGTTGGTTTACATGTCCTTATTTGGAAGATGTTTTTGGCATATTGACTGCCTTTCAGCTCTCGACCAGTGGCCAGGGAAACAGCATAAACTGAGTATTGGGAAAAATGCTTCTTACTGCCTGAACAACTGGATTACCTACCTCCTTAGAGCAATTTATGTACAACTCCATTTATAACTTCATGTATAACATAGGCTTTCAGGGAAATTATGAGTTGTATTCAGGCATCAGACCGTACCCAGAAAAAACCCCATTCTACATGTGAATCACTCTGTCCTAGATCAGAAGAAGTTTGAAGATCCTAGTCAACAAGTGCCACTCACCAGCAAATGTCACTGCACCACATTGAAACTGCTTGCCCTTGCTACACACTGCAGTCGGCTTCTTGCTCTAACTGTAGGTAGTTGGGGTTTTTACCCAGTAGCCTCCCATTGCTTCCTCCATGGCATCCATTCTATTTCTTGTCCTCCTTTGTTGTGCTCAGCTTTCTGG